>NC_000021.9:34264708-34574662 GCF_000001405.40 Homo sapiens | reverse complement strand
TTTTTCTTAGAGTTTGTATTATCTTTTTTTGACGCATTGTGTGCTTTATCAGATCCTCAAGTTCTTGTATCTTCTCAGTTATGACAAACATTCTATTATTCACGTTTCCTATTCTGGACTGGCTTTTCCCAGGACCTGAGGCTGATCTACCTTCTGGGGGCTCTTCTTCGCTCTGTCCCTAAGTTGGGTCTAGTGCATCCTAAATCTCATGTCTTTCTCCTTTATGGTTTATGCCATCATTTTGCTGGACTACATTTATATTTTCTCCCCTAGAAAAGAGAATGAAAAGTCAGTTGTCTGATTTCTTGAAAATATACGTAGTATCTCACCCTCACGCTTGATTGATAGCTTATCTGCAGGTAGACTTCTCCAGTGGACATTGTTTCTCAGAACTTCTAGGAAAGCTCATTGGCTTATAGTGTCCAATTTAGCTGATGCAAAGACTGATGTCAGTCCAACTTCCACTCCCTTGCAAATGACTGATTTTTTGTCTCTCTTGAAACATCCTTCTTTGTCTTGGATATTCTGAAATGCTTTGTGGATGTGTCTTCACATGGGTCTGTATTCATAGTAGGCTTCATTTGGTGAGTCCCTTCCATTGGAAAATTCATCTTCTTTAGAACCTGAGGATTTTTGTAGCGTTCCTTAAGCTCTGCCCTTTGATTTCTGTTCTTTCTGGGCCTCCTAGTAATGCTGGGCCTCCTAAATAGGAACTCTGTATGTCTTATATTTTCCTCCTTTATATGTTTTCATGACACGTATAATTTTGACGGTTTTCTAATTAGAAAAGCAATGTATATTGTAACAGCGACAACAAAAATTACAAGTAGGCATGATTATAAAATGAAGCAAGGCCTTGGAGGAGGCAGGAAGATGCAGAATTGAGGGAACAAAAGATGGCATTATCTTTGGGAGGAAGAGGAATGCTCCTTATTGACATACCAGAGAAAGGACCAAGAAAGAGTCCAGATGCAGGAACATGTTGTAGCACACAGGGGAGCAGTGAACTCGAGTCACTTGGCCTTGCTAGTTTTATAAAGTGGAAGTTGAGGTCACCTACTTAGACTGAAGACTTGGGGTCATAAGAAGGTGTGAAACATGTACAGAGGAAAAAAGTGGTGACTGGCAGTTTGACCCAGAGCCTTGAAGACCTATCTGCATTTGTAGTGGGACCAGTTGGCCTGGTTTTGTAATGTTCGATTATTGGAACCTATGAGCAGGAGCAGGGTTGAAATTTGGCAAGGCAAGCATGGTAACAGGACATTGATGAGGGAACTCAGTGAAGGCAAAATATTTCCATCAGTGATGGTTAATACAAAAGATTAGCTAAATAATCCTTTTTCCATGTTTGTGACTTAGTCTGTCTGTGTCTCCCTGCCCCATTCACCATTACCATGCCAAAATGTGTCCCAAGAAGAACCGAGAAAAAAAGGATGTTGGGAACTTTTGGTCCCAGAATGGTCTCTGCTAAAAATCTATCCATTTACATCAAGTCAGTTTTCAAAAAGCATCCTTTGATCACTGTTGTAAAACCAACATTTCACCCAAGAGAATAATTTCATCTTGCATGCAGAATTTTTAGCTGACATTTGCTTGGATCTAGGAGGAGAGTCCAGATAAGCCAAGGATATGGTTTGGCTCTGTGTCCCCATCCAAATCTCATGTTGAATTGTAATCCCCAGTGTTGGGCCTGGTGGGAGGTGACTGGATCATGGGGGTAGATTCCCCCCTTGCTATTCTTGTGATAATGAGTTCTTTTGAGATCTGGTTGTTTAAGAGTGTATAGCATCTCCCCTTTCACTGTCTCTCTCCTGCTGTCATGTGAAGACATGCTTGCTTCTCTTTTGCCCTTCTGCCATGATTATACATTTCCTGAGACCTTTCCAGCCATGCTTCCTGTACAGCCTGTGGAACCGTGAGTCCATTCAACCTCTTTTCTTCATAAATTACCCAGTCTTGGGTAGTTCTTTGTAGCAGTGTGAGACCGGACTAATACAGCCAAATTCACCCTTTTTCATGGACTTTAGAATGTTGAGACTGGAAGAAACCTTAGAGATGGTCAAGCTCAGTGGTTTTGAAACAGTTTCATTTTATTTTGTTGTTGTTGTTCTGAATGTCAGATCTTTATAAGTGAATTCTTTCACTGAACTCCAACACATAAAACAGCAAAGTGGAGCAGCCCCTCATGAAGTAGGGGTCCACCCTGGGGCCCCCTGATTAGCTCCTAGTCACCCCCTGTGCCACCTCCACCAGCCCCAGGATGTCCCTTATTTTACAGTTAATGGAACTGAGCCAGAAAGAGGGCACATGGTGTCGGAGCTACAGGCGCCTCCAGTATTCTGTGATCTTCTGCCTGCCACTGGAGAAGCAGTGGGTCCGGGACCCAAAAGGCATGTGGATGAGTCCAGCCCTCGGACAACCTAGTCCTCATTGGGCAGAGGGAGCCATCTCCTGGAATTTTTAATTCGAGGACTTTTTACCTTGACCTCTTGCGAAATCCCTGGGCCATAGTGGGTTAACTGTTTGTATTCTGGTCCCACTGATTTTCTGTGTTTGCTTCAGAGAAGGTGAAGGTGAATTCTGCAGATTTTCCATCCTAC
This sequence comes from Homo sapiens, assembly GCF_000001405.40. NCBI lineage: Eukaryota > Metazoa > Chordata > Mammalia > Primates > Hominidae > Homo > Homo sapiens. Next base: position 34,572,062 of record NC_000021.9, on the reverse strand, counting down.
CGTCTTTGGAACAACTGGGTACTGTGTCTCCTTAATGATAAAAGGGAGCTCTTCTTGAAATAGGATGATCATTTTCCACAGTTTCTTGGTAAACCAATTACACTAGTGGTGATTAAATTAGGTCTTTGATAGGCATGCAAGTAAAAGCATTTGTTGTAATTTACAACAATAAGTAAATTGTCTAAATGGTTTTAATATCATTAAAAATTTTTATCTGGCAGGCACAGTGGCTCACACCTGTAATCCCAGCACTTTGGGAGGCCGAGGCGAGAGGGTTGCTTGAGCCCAGGAGTTCGAGACCAGCCTGAGCAACATGCTGAAACCCCATATTCACAAAAAATTAGCCAGGCATGGTGGCACACACCTGTAGTCCCAGCTACTCAGGAGGCTGAGGTGGGAGGATCACCCGAGCCTGGGAAGTAACACTACAGTGAGCCATGTTTGTACCACTGCACCCCAGCTGGGGCAACAGAGTGAGACCCTGTCTCAAAAAAAATTTTATCTGTATTCTGTGTACAGTTCTAATTTAAAACAAACTGATTGACACTGTTAGGGAAATTTGCTCTCTTTAATTAAAAATACATTAATATTTTAACACAATACTTCTGTTGAAGAGGTAGATACAAGTTTAAATTTTGTAAAATGTATTTAATTGATTTTAAGTGGTAACTTTTTTTCAGGATAATTTTGCAAGTATGTCAGAAAACTAAATAATGTGACAAATTTAAACATGTTACATTTATTTTATTTATGTATTTATTTATTTTTGGAGATGGAGTTTCGCTCTTGTTGCCCAGGCTGGAGTGCAATGGTACGATCTCGGCTCACCACAACCTCCGCCTCCCGGGTTCAAGTGATTCTCCTGCCTCAGCCTCTCGAGTAGCTGGGATTATAGGCATGCATCACCATGCCCGGCTAATTTTGTATTTTTAGTAGAGATGAGGTTTCTCCATGTTGGTCAGGCTGGTCTCGAACTCCCGACTTCAGGTGATCTGCCTGCCTCGGCCTCCCAAAGTGCTGGGATTACAGGGTTGAGCCACCACACCTGGCCACATGTTTCATTTGTTTATAAAGGAACTCCCCTCTAAGAACAGATCCTTTTTACTCTTCTTCATCATGGTTAATTTTTGTGAATTTTTGTTAAAGTTTGCAACTTGCTTGAGTCAATGATTGGGGAAAGAATTTTTTAAAAAATATATTTTATCCTAAGTCATGTAAATTTCTATAAAAAAAGGATATTCTAGCACTGTGCTAAAAGCAGTTTGTAGCTCTTTTAAATTGTATTTGGAGCAAGTTCACTTGAGAAAATTAGATGTGGATTCTGGTCACATTCTATTTTTGGTTTATCGTAGTGTTACTGGGTTGATTGTGCACTTCATGTATCATATTTTGGTTTTGAGTGTTCCAAAAAAAAAAAAAAAAGAGTCCACTATCATCACAAGACAGAGATGTATCAGCAGAAAAAAGTGTTCTAGATGAAGGCAAAAAGAGTTTTGAGCCACTCAGCATGGATATGTGGAAAACATGCTCCACGTGTTTCAGTGGTAGACCACTAATTCAAGACGTCAGTCATGCTGCTTTATAATCTTAACTCATATTGCCTAAGAGGTTGTCATTTACATCCTGTTCTTAGGATGTTTTTTCCATATTTACCAGACCTCTTACACCACTGGTAAGTAACGAAAGCTATATGCAGAAGCAAATCACTCTAGTCTTTTTGAGAATCCTTGTGCTTAAAAAGCTCCTTCTTTCTTTTTTCTTAATTATTATTCCCTTACTTGTCTAGTTCTCTTATTTTCTCCAGATCATATTTTACCTATAACAGTTTTTAACCTCTACATCTTTAGAAAGGAAAGGCCCTTTTTCACTATCTAGAATTTTCTAGACTGGATGGTTTTTAAAAAAAATCTCTACAGTTACTACACTTATTGAACACTGCATTTATATAGGGATTTAGGGTCCTTCAGCTACCCCAGGGAGCTTGGGCCTGGGCCCTCCCGTCTGTCCTTCAACTTTAGTCTGTAGTTGGGCTGTGCCACCAGCTTCCAGAAGAAGCCATGGGCAGGCCCACCACTACCTTCACCTCCCTTCCTCCAGCCCCTTTGCCTCTACCAAACCCCACCCGAAGCCCCTTGAGTGGATCTTGTGAGCCCTGTGGTCTCTGCATTCAAAGACTGGATCCGGGAAGGAATTAATCAGTGTCCCTGGGCAAAGTCTTGAATTCTTTATTGTTTGAGATTATGACATGAGATTATTTCCTCATCTGTAAAATGTAAATAACACCTACCTCAGAGCCAAGATAAGAAATTTAAGATGATATATATAAACACCTAGCACAGTTGCTGGCACACAGGATGTGCTTAAATTGTGAGTCGCTTTTTCCTTCCTTTTCCTTCCTTTTCTCTCCAGTTGTTCCTCCCCTGTATCCCATCAGGCACTCCATCCTGAAAGCTCTGCCACAGTGATTTCTCCACCTTAGCCTCTGGCAGTGACTCCAGGGTAGGCAGGTGGAGGAAGGACAGGCCCTGCCTTTCTGTCTGAGCTCATAGATGCTATCATAAGTGGGTTTCTAATCTAGGATATGGTAACACATAAAACATCACCATGGAAGAAAGGTGCGTTTGTTAGTATTTGTATTAAATTATTTTGAGATAAAAGAAAAAAGCTCTTATTTGAGGCCCAGTCTTTTAGGATTTATGGTGATTCCTATATAGCAATTCTTCCAACTTCAAAAATAAGCTATAGTCTAAAAAAATTCTCTCTCTGCACTTGCTGTTTAGTGCTGGAAGGCATTTTCCACAGAGACAATACTGTATTCTCAAGCCCACAGAAACCTATGCAACCTATAGTGTGACTAAATAATACTGCTCAGAGGCTACTCTAAAATTTACACACTAAGTGATATGGTTTGGCTCTTTGTCCCCACTCAAATCTCCTATTGAATTGTACTCCCATAATTCCCACATGTTGTGGGAGGGACCTGGTGGGAGATCATTTGAATCCTGGGGGCGGTGTCCCCCATGCTTTTCTCATGGTAGTGAATAAGTCTCACAAGATCTGATGGGTTTATCAGAGGTTTCACTTTTGTTTCTTCCTCATTTTCCTTTGCCGCCGCCATGTAAGAAGCACCTTTTGTCTCTCACCATGATTCTGAGGCCTCCCCAGCCATGTGGAACTGTAAGTCCAATTAAACTTCTTTTTCTTCCCAGTCTTGGGTATATCTTTATCAGCAACGTGAAAACAGACTAATACACTAAGAAAGATCTTGCAGAAAGGAAGACATTGAAGAAAAAAGGGATGAAATGAAATCAGACTTGAAATGGCTCTGGGCCTTCTCAGAGCTACTGGAAAGCAGGCCCAAGTGCACGCTGCCTGCTGGTTCTGCCCCAGCAATTCATGAGTATGATTCCTCAGAGAAGCAAGGCTCCTTTCTTCTTAAAGACCTCCTTCACGTATGATTAGCATGCAATTCCTCCAGTGGATGTAAGGAGAGCCCTCTAAGAGCTCATTCTGCTGTAAACACAGGGAACCAAGGTGGCACAAACACACCGTGACTCCGGGCATCGCTGCCATCTCGCCAACAAACACACTTTCTAGACTCAAAGTTACAAGCTCACTTCATTGTGAAGTTGGAAAACCAAATTCTCAAAGTTAACTGAAAAGTTAAAAAAACATTTGAGGTCAAGCTCTTGCCAGCTCATCTAATTATATATAGCAAGGTCCTGTGTTGGATTTGTGGGAGGCAGGGGGGAGATTTGCATCAAAGGTAGAGCACTTTTAGTTCCTTTTTCTAACATGAGCACAAAAAAGTGTCTAGATTTCAAGGCTGAATTCCGATTGTAGGGGCTGATGAGGTCAGTGGAAGTGGCCCCAGGCAGCTGCAGTGCTGAATGAAGCAGAGGTCAGCTTTCAATGTGCACTTCGGGCTTCCTTCTAAAGGGACCATGGCATGCTATGAAAGCTGGGGCAGAGGTCCCAAGCAGGAGGCTCACATCCTGGTGGAAGCTGTCTTAAGAGTATTGCCATACAGATCCGCCAACACCCTCACTGCTCCCAGAGCCGAGCCCCTTCTGTGCGCTTAGCTATCAGATGGAATTTGGTCCTTACTTTGACATTGACCAACCAAATGCAGAAGGAACATAGGGAAATATCTATTTCACTCCAGTTATCTTCTGTCCATGTAGCAGAATGAACTCTGGAAGATAAGTGGCAAAAGCAAGCCTCGTGGCTCCAACCCCATTTTCCTCTTATGTTGCGATTTCCTTGCATCAACAGCAGCGACAAGTGGGAAATTCCAGTGGCGCCCGTGCTGCTAGGGACTTCTTAGGTGTAGGTAGAACCTTGGCACCTTCCCAGTCAGTAACTAGACCGAAGTTCTGAATTTGAAAATAGATTTCAGATTAGCATGAGTGGTGAAATATTTTTTTTCTAACAGAAGTATGCCTCTTAGAGCTTGTGTTCTCAACTTTCGAAGTATTCAGGAGTTTCTTTCTTTTTTTTTTTTTTTTGAGATGGAGTCTCACTCTGTCTTCCAGGCTGGGGTGCAGTGGCTTGATCTCGGCTCACTGCAACCTCCGCCTCCTGGGTTCAAGCAATTCTCCTGCCCCTTTCCCTTAGGCCAGAAATATTTCCACTTCTGCTGCAGTGTTGTGTAGTACATTCCAGAGTCTCCCGAGTAGCTGGGACTACAGGCATGTGCCCCCCACGCTCGGCTAATTTTTTGTATTTTTAATAGAGATAGGGTTTCACCATGTTAGCCTGGATGGTCTCGATTCTCCTGACCTCCTGATCCTCCCGCCTTGGCCTCCCAAAGTGCTGGGATTACAGGCGTGAGCCACCGCGCCCAGCCTCGGGGGTTTCTTTTTAGTGGAAATTACTTGTACCTTTCTTACTTTGAAGCATTTTGTTTGTGTCTACACAAATTTTGAAATTTTACATAGAACCACAGCAGGATTTAGGGGGTGGGGAGGTGGGAGGCAAAGCAGTACCATTGATCAAGTTTGTTAGTTTAAAGCTGGTGTAGTTTGGATGTTTGTCCCCTCCAAATGTCATGTTCAAATGTGATCCCCAGTGTTGCAGGGAGGCCTGGTGGGAGATGTTTGGGTCAAGGGGGTAGATCCCTCATGAACGGCTGGGTGCTGTTCTTGCAGTAGTGAGTTGAGTTCTTACTCTATGAGTTCACAGAAGAGCTGGTTGGTTAAAGGAGCCTGGCACCTCCTCCTCTCTCGCTCTTTCTCTTGCCATGTGACACGCCTGCTCCCCCTTCACCTTCCACCATGAGTAGAAGCTTCCTGAGGCCACACCAGAAGCCGAGCAGAGCTGGTGCGTGCTTGTACAGCCTGCAGAACCATGAGCTAAGTAAACCTCTTTTCTTTATACATTACACAGTCTCAGGTATTCCCTGAGAGCAACACAGCAGGGACCAACACAAAAACCATCAGGTCAGAGAACAGTGAAGTGAGTTTGCTTGGTGTGCTTCTGACCCCTCCTCTGCCCCTTTTTTTCAGGTAAGGCCTGGGTCTTCAGGTGAGGCCTGGTCCCACTCTCCATTCTTTGTCCATTCCAGTGAGGGACTCCAGGGAGCTGAGAATCCTAAATTTGAATGTGGCCTTCCAGGTCACTGTGACCACATTTGTTTTCAAGGAAGGAAAATGGAACATATTTTATTTACAGTTTGTTGCCATGAAGTGTAACTTTCAGCCATGTGGACTCAGGGAATGTTAGTGGCCATTTGTTCAGGAAGGGTAACCTGCCACAGACCCTAGTCCTGGAATATTGAGTGGGTCTGGGGTTCGCACAGAATTTGGAGACCCTGGATTAGGAGAAGACTCTGGGAGTCATTTGCCCAGAAGCAATCCACTCTGGGGCTGGACTGCCCAGCCACATGCCACATGGTTGCCCGGCCTCTACCTACTCGCAGGAAAAGGCAGCTTCCTCTGTCCCTAGACAGCCCATTTCATCTTTATGCAGCTCTGAAATAGTGCCCCTTTCCCTTAGGCCAGAAATATCTCCACTTCTGCTGTACTGTTGTGTAGTACATTCCAGAGACGTAGCAGGTTCAGCAGGTGACGGAAAGTGTTCCTGCGTGAACGTAGTCTCCAGCCCCGACACCTGGTAGATGGTTCACACGAACACACACACATTGGGGAGCAAAACCCAGGTGTGAGCTCCGCCCTTGCAGAGCTTCAGGCAAATGTGTATACATGGTCGCTGGGGAAGAGATACTGTGAAGTGTATTATATCACAAGGTATACCAGCTCTTTGTGCTAGTTATGTAAGCCACACATTTTGCCGAGCACACATAGAAGGAGGCTCATTGAATTCACCTAATACTGCATTTTAAAATGACAAAAAATGAATGTGTTGGTCAGGAAAGAGTTCTGGGGCTATGTAGTGGCACCATTTCTTGTGTAGGCCATGTTTTCCCATCTGTTGAACAGTTTGTTCAATACATATACACACACACTCATATAAGTGGTTATTAAAGAAGCATCTTCCTCAGTTATGGCTGTACTCCTGTGTAATACAGCTGTTTCAGCTGCAGCGCCCTCACCTTCCCAACCAGCGTGTCAGTGGAGCAGTAGCCCCCATTTGAGGGCACGGGATAGGATAGGTGACATTGCCACAGAGTGTGAGCTGGAGCAGGCTGCCCTCTGTGCACTGCCAAGCCCTGAAAGCCCAGCAGGAATGTGATGTCTTTAGTTAGCACTTCTCAAACTATCTACCAGGGAAACCTGGTTTTTGTTTAAATTTCCAACCTGTTGCCAACGGATAAACATAATATGATAAAAGTGAATTACTAGAAGAATGAAGTGGAACAAAAAGAGACATGGAATACAAGCCTTAGCTTTTTCTTTTCTTTTTCAGACAAGGTCTCACTCTGTTGCCCAGGCTAGATTGCAGTGACACCATCACGGCTCACTTGTTGACTTTGACTTCCTGGGCTCAAGCAATCTTCCCCAGTAGCTGGGCACAGGTGCATGCCACCATGCCTGACTGGTTTTGTTTGTTTGTTTGTTTAATTTTGGTAGAGATGGGGTCTCACTTGTTGCCCAGGCTGGTCTTTAACTCCTGGGCCCAAGCAATCCTACTGTCTTGGCCTCCCGAAGCACTGGGATTCCAGGTGTGAGCCACCACACCCGGTCAGCTTTTTCTTATTAGTTCCAACAGTCATACAAGTTTTCTGATAAATTTAAAGGTTTTAAAGGCTAATTCTCTTTTTCTGGTTTTCCCTCATGACATGTTGGCCCCTCCCCACTGATCACATATTGGGTAGCACTATCTTAGATGACAAGCAGAGGTCAAGCCCAGGATTTTAAAATATAAATATGTATATTTATAGTTATGAGGCTTTTATAAACTTCATAGAAAAATAATTAATGAATATTGTATCCAACTTACATTACTTCAGCTTTACTTTAAATTTTTTCCAGTGATCACAACCCACATTTCATGTGGTTGTGACTCTCCGCTGTGTTGCTATTCCACTCTTATTCACTGGCCTGGCCCTCCTTGCTACCCTGGCTGTCTGTCCCTGCCTCCCTGTTCTCTCCTTTCCCCAGTCTCCTTTCACATCAGGCTCTGGGCGGCCCAGGGCAGTCTTCCCCCAAATCGCAGCCTGGCTGCATTCCTTCCTTCTGGCAGTCTCACAGTTCTTATGGGACAGTGTCCGGGTTCCTCCACCAATGGATCTGGCCCCTGCCTGCCTCTCCAGCTTCATTTCTTATTCATTTCCTGCCCTGTGATCCCCCCGCCTGATATGGTTTGCTGTGTCCCCACCCGAAATCTCATCTTGAATTGTAATCCCCATAATGCCCACATGTCAAGGGTGGGGACCAGGTGGAGGTGGTCAGATCGTGGGGACGGTTTCCCCCATGCTGTTCTTGTGATAGTGAGTCTCCTGAGATCTGATGGTTTTATAAAGTGTCTGGCATTTCCCCTGCTGGCACTCATTCTCTCTTCTTTCACCCTGTGAAGGGTGCCTTCCACCATGATTGTAAGGTTCCTGAGGCCTCCCCAGCCATGCGGAACTGTGAGTTGATTAAACCTCTTCCTTTATAAACTACCCAATGTCGGGTAGTTCTTTTTTTCTTTTTTGGGACAGAGTCTCACTCTGTCGCCCACGCTAGAGTGCAGTGGCACTATCTCGGCTCACTGCAACCTCCGCCTCCCTAGTTCAAGTGATTCTTCAGCCTCAGCCTCCTGAGTAGCTGTGATTATAGGCACCTGCCACCATGCCTGCCTCTCTCTCTCTCTCTCTCTCTCTCTATATATATATATATATATATATATTTTTTTTTTTTTTTTTGGTATTTTTAGTAGAGATGGGTTTCACCATGTTGGCCAGGCTGGTCTGGAACTCCTGACATCAAGTGATCCACCTGCCTCAGCCTCCCAAAGTGCTGGGATTACAGACATGAGCCACCGTGCCTGGCCATTGGGCAGTTCTCTATAGCAGTGTGAGAATGGACTAATACACTGCCCTACCCCATGGACTTCAGCCATGCTAAGTTCAATGCAGTTCTGGAAGCCTTTTCATGCTTCCCTGCCCTTGGTGCTGATAAACCAGCACTCTGCTGAGTGAACGGTAGCTGTTTCTTCATTTCCCCACATGTTTTTTCTGTCATAAACAGCAGACTTAAACATCTTTATACAACTTATCTTTTTTAATGTAGGAATAATTTCCCCAAATGGAATTACCAACTCTCAAGACTACGGACCCTTTATAAATATGATTGCATTTTGTCAAATGGTTTTCCAGAAAGGTTGGATTACTTTTCAGTGTCCACATCAATAAACCCTAAATTTTAACTCAAAAATATTCTGTCAGATTGGCCCCAAGTTGAGTTTTATGCTAGATTTTACTGTGTATTCTCAGGTTTCTGGTGGCTAAAGTGAGAGAACTGGCTTTCTGCTTTAGATGTTAGTTCTAACAAGTTGGGGTCTTTGTCTCCCCATGTTCCTTTACCCTGAAAACAGCGGACACCACAATCAATACTGATGGCAATGGTGTGCGTGTGGAGGTAAGGGGAAGTTAAAAGGTTTGTTTATGGAAGAGTCCCTGTTCTGTGTGTCAAACAAAGGTGGAAATGAAGAGGAACAAAATAGGCAACTTAATAAGATAAGCTGATGGCGTGCTGGTGGCAGCAGGTTGCCATGGATGCAACATGAATAGGATCTCTGATTATCGTAGATAAGAATATCCTACTGTGCGTTATTATAATATCACTGGGTACCATGAGCATTTTACACCTATCTCATTGAATCTTCATCACCACTGCACAAGCTAGGTACCATGTTATTATTATTGTATTTTATGGATGAGAAAACTAAAGTACATGGAGATCAAATAACTTACCAAAGGTGGCGAGGGCTGAGCGAATCTGGGATTTGATCCTGGGTAGCCCAGAGCCCTGATACCACCGTTGACAATGGAGAATTTAACTTTTGCATTTGCCTGAGTTGATGTGAAAGTGTCCTTTTGAAAGTATTCTAGACTTTCAAAGTCTAGGATAAGTTTCAGGTGAGTGAGAGCACCTTGGGAAGAGGGACTGAGGTGGCACCACCCATGTCGCCTCTGCTCTCCCACATCACTCCTTGGGGACCCTCTGTGCATGCTCCCCTTGCCCACAGCATTTGTCACCTGGCTTTATTCATATGCCACCATGGAAATACGCTTTCCTGGGAATGCCTGGCACATGGTAGGCATCTAATCAGTGATGACCAAATGGAGCAGAATATTCGGGGAAGTCATGGAATATAGAGTGTTTGATTTTCCAGGAGCGTAAGAATGTACCAAAAGATGTCACTGCAGAGTAAATCGGTGCTCCATGAAGTCTTTATTGACTTCTGGCCAAAACGTAGCCTTAAGAAATTGCCCCTGAAGGAAATGGAGCAAGATGATTGTTTTATATGCCTTCATAATGGAATTCATGGAGCATTCAGTCAGATTTTCTTGAAGTGCTTGTTCAGTATGACCTCACAGAAAGTATGGGGCAGATCTGGGAGTGCCCCACTCTGGTTAATGCAGTCACATGGAAGGAAATGTAATTGAGTGTGGCACCAGTGCACTGCAGTGATAAATGACCAGGGATTTTCTGGGTAGTCTCCGAATGAGAAGGGATAGGATCTCGAGCCTTTTAAGGAACCAAATCCCTCAATCCTGTGTGCCTATAGAAAATTGCAGTGGGCAGGAGCAGCCCAGCGTGCTCCAGCTGTCCTCAGCTGTGGGACCACCGTGGCCCTGAACGTCGGGCCAATATTGACGGAATATTCTTGAGTTAAAATTCAGGTCTTGAGTTAGAATTCAGTATCAAAAGCATTGACACTGTGCATGGATTCATGTTTAGCTTCTCTTTTTTTCATAAACAGTTTACTGAGGTAGCTAACTTCTTTATAAAATTATCCAGAAAGAGGTCAACACTTTCCAGAAAGTGCTAGTTCTTGCAGTTCTGCTTTCAAGTATTTCAGACCAGCCAAGCAAAACTAGCTCCAGCATTTTTAACTCTTGGAGAAAGATTTCACTATTTCAAATGTATTTTTGTTTAGGTAGAGAGCATTAGAATAATATCTAAAATAAGTTGGATATTGTAGGTGAATCACAGTTCCTGACATCAAAAATAGTCAAACCATAGCTTACAAATACACTTTTGGGATCATTTTCCCTTGTACTAAAAATAAAGTTTTAAAGTAACCACTTGCCCAAAAAAAAGTTTCTCCTGCTGGAGAAAGTTGCATAGCTTGGGAACTTTTATCCCGTATTTACTCTGATCATGATGTCAACACAGCACTAGTTTGTGAATTAGTCCATTCTCATGCTGCTATAAAGAACTACCCTAGAGAGGGTAATTTATAAAGGAAAGAGGTTTAATTGACTCACAGTCTGCATTGCTGGGGAGGCCTCAGGAAACTTACAATCATGGAGGAAGGCAAAGGAGAAGCAGGCAACCTTCTTCACAGGGCGGCAGGATGGAGTGAGTGCAAGCAGGGGAAATGATAGGCACTTATAAAATCATCGGATCCCCTGAAACTCACTCATTATCACCAGAACAGGATGAGGGAAACCACCCCCATGATCCAATTACCTCCACCTGGTCCCACCCTTGACATGTGGGGATTATCGAGATTACAATTCATGGTGAGATTTGGGTGGGGACACAGAGCCAAATCACATCAGTTTGTAAGAGTATAGTCAGAATGGCTTTATAGTCAGAATGGCCTTACTGGACATTGCTCTCTTTTGTTTCTTTATTTGACCACTAATTTTCCATTTAGCTTCCCCCAGGCTCTTACTGTACTTCCTGCACAAATGTATCATTCTTCTGATGTCTTTGTGAAATCATGTCAATATTTCCAATTTTTCACACATGATTTTCTTTTTGTCATCACTTCAACCAAATTTTCTTCTGGTGCTAATTATTAAGTATTAAAATTATTAAAGAATTGAGAAATGGTTTCCGTTATAAAGCCCTGTCTTCATCATTTAGAACTTTACAACAATCCTCTTTTGTAAAGTTTTCCAGGAAATGGATGTCCCACAAAAATCAACAATCTTAAAATAAGTATCAGTATGGGCACTATTGTTTGCCTCTGTTCTTTCTCCTTGATTTTTATTCTTATTCTTTGTTACTTCTTTGTTCTAAGCGTAAAAGATGGAAAAATGATAAAGTAAGATCCTGCTTTCAAATTCTTAGGGAAGTCTAGGTTGCTTTGCTTATGTGGAGCAGTTCACAGAAGGAACTTTAGAATTAGCCACCTGTCCGAAGCTTTTAGCCCCTCCCAGTGTGGACTTCTTTCCCTGGGACTTTCATGGGCTGCCTGCATCTATCCTAGAATGTGCCTGTACCGGCAACCCCGTCAGACTAAACCAGGCTTGTTACAGTCATGATTTGTGCATCCTCTTTTGCTCGCTTAGGCAAATTCTGGATTTGTGTTAGAGTGGTCAGAAATGCCAAGAACCTGACTTCTTAGATTAAAAGACAAAATTGTTGGGGGGAGAAAGGTTTTTTAATGGTCTGAACATTTTCTCAGTTCAGAGCCTGAGATCTGCATGAGCTCACCATTGCTCTCGTTAAGTAATGTTCACTGGCTCACCGTGGAAACTTGAAGGCATGTCAGTGTACCTGAACCGTGCCTTTTTCAGGACTAACTCAAAGACCTTCAGGAAGAAATATTTGGGTACAGCCATCCGGGACCACAGAATCACAGGGCAGGAATGTGAATGTTGATGCTGGCGATTGTGAGCTGCCTGACCTTAGGCAAGTAGTCTCAATTCACCAAGCCTCCTTTCTTCAAAGGTAAGGATAGTTAACACCTTCCCTATATCCTCTCCAGGTTTTAGAGAAACTTGAAAGAGTTAATACATGTGAAATGACCTTGTAAACTGCAAAGTGTAGGTTGACTGTGACAGAATTATTATCAGTCAGAACCTGCATAATAAACTGGAAAATGTGAGCTATGTTCCAAAGAACATCAGGACCCTCTGTGGGACCCAGTTCCGGATACTTTGGCTGACTCAATCCACCGAAACAAAGGGTTATTTCAGAGCATGGCATTTAAATTGTTAGGCTTATTAGACCATTACCAGCAGGGCATTTGTATACCTTACAAATGAGTTCTTTATCTTCTTCCTTGCCTACGAAAGTTAAAGAAGTGCTGTGGTGGCCGCCTACGTAATTGGATTCATTGTGGAGCTCTACTTGAAGTTGCACTCATCTGAACTCATTCTTGAACATATAAGCCACTGCCCAGAACAAACAGGGCTCTTCTTACAGAAAGACTCCTGCGCTGTGAATCAGTCACAGATTGTATTAAACTTCCCAACACTACTCAATTTGTCAGGCAAGTTTTGTTTTATTTTTTCCCTAATCCTGGCCTTATTCCAAATTTTCCAACTATTCCTGGAATAAGTAGACTACATCCATCCATCTTTGCATTCTCTCAATTTCCAGTGGCCCTAGTGGGAATTTCATGTAGCTAGACTGACAGCAATTTGTATTTTGTTAAATTATGATTAATTGGAAACCTGTTTTTAGCATTTAGGTGGAATGTTTCTTGTAGTATTCCATTAGCATAGATATTAATACACTTGAGTGCTAATACCTCTGCCTTGCTTTCCCACACTTTGTTCACTTATATAAGCTGAATGAGATTATCCATGATTGTGTTCTTTCCGGTCACATCCTTTTGGATTCCCTGAATTCCATTGGAGCATTGGAGCCCAGGGAGCCTTTACCGTTGATTTTGCGACAGACAGGGCGAGATCCAGGAGATGAAATGTTCTCCCCAGTGCAACTCAGTTTGTTACTGGAAAAGCGAGAGCTAGAAACCAGGACTTCAGACTCCTAGAACCAGTGTCCTTTTGAAGATGCCGTGGTTCCTTGAAAAACCAGAGTAAAACTCTACAATTCAAAATCTTTAGGAAATACGTTAAGTTGTTTGAGATGGCCAGATTTTCTGTAGAGCTGAAGGGTATATAGCCTCTTGGTTGTTAGAAATGTGATGTTTAACCATTTGAGGAATCAGTGTCTAAAATGGACAGTCCAACCCTGCCTTCTTAAACAATGATGAACGTTTTCTTCTTGATCATTTCCTTTCCTGATGATTCTTAGCCTTTCTTGATCATTCCAGCTCATCAGTCATCTCAATTCTCAGTCACGGTGGAGGTGGAGTTGGGTGTCAGCTTAAACAGGTCTGAACCTGAGGCCTGCTTTCCTAGAGGAAGTCCTGGCCTGGCAAACCTTTCCATCTCTGACTGTCTCATGGAGTTCTTTGTCAGAGTGTTGGTGCAGGGCTCCTGCACCGGGTAGCAGGGCACCCCAGCTGCAGAGTGGTTTGGTGATGGGAACCTGAAACAGCCTTCTCCCTCGGAGTTCGAGAGGGAGAATCTCTTTTATGGAATAGCCAAATGTCTTGTGAATGGTCGGCAGCATGAAAAGCATTATCCTTTTCTATCAGTAACGCACAAGCACCTCCTCAACAGCTTGAACTTGTCAACATAGTTCATCACAGGCTTGATGGATTATTCTTCACTATTTTAAGAATTTGTGTTAGGCTGGGTACAATTTCATTGTCACTTTACCTCAAATTCTGATTCCAGGTCGGACATCCAAGAGAATTAAGCACAACATGTAGCCTTAGTTCCTCACCTATAAAAAAGTGATAGTACCTGTCTCCTAGAGTGGCTTGAGGGTTACATGAGAGAGTGAGTGTTGACTGCTTACATCCATACCTGATAGGTGACTGGCAGTCAATTTCGGATCGCTGCTATTTCTCATCATCTTCATCATCGCCATCTTCATCACTAGTGGCTGTTAAATCTATCAGCATCATCTTTTTTTGTGAAAGATGGCCACCACCTTTCTCATCTTTCAAGTATGTTAAATGAGAAAGTTGTGTTGATGTTTACTATTTTAAAAAATTGTCTCAAATTTTAAAAAGCCACCACGTGTTACTTGCTAATGTAACTGAATCTGTCACTCATTTTAGCATCTTCCCCAGGCTTGGCAAAGGCACACTGTGATAGTTAAAGGTGCCTGCTGGGATCTCAGGGTGTTGGGTTGGACTGTCTTTCTAGCCTTCCCTTTGACTCATTCCCCGACTTGAGCAATCACGTGACCTGCACCAGCCTTCCATAGATGGAACAGAAACATGTGGGCTGCCACCTGCACACCTCAGTGGGGCGTTGTGGGAATTATGAGTTAGTGTTTCTGACATAGGTGGCTGGAGTGAGCTATCCAAGTGTGAGGTGTCCATGTGGCTTATCTAGCCGAATGGACATTACCTTTACCAGGGGCTCTGGTGTGGTCTTCACAGCTTTTTTAAATTTAATTTAATTTTATTTTATTTTTCGAAACAGAGTCTCACTCTGTCACCAAGGCTGGAGTGCAGTGGCGTGATCTCGGCTCACTGCAACCTCCGCCTCCCGGGTTCAAGAAATTCTCCTGCCTCAGCCTCCCGAGTAGCTGAGATTACAGGCGTGTACCACCATACCCAGCTAATTTTTGTATTTTTAGTAGAGATGGGGTTTTACCATGTTGGCCAGGCTGGTCTCGAACTCCTGACCTCAGGTGATCCGCCTGCCTCGGCCTCCCAAGTGTTGGGATTACAGGCGTCAGCCACCATGCCCAGCCTTTTACAGCTTTTAAAGGACCATAAATGTGTCCCCATATTTTCATCAGGAGTGCAGTGAAAGCACCCTTCTCAGCATGGCCCTGCAACCTCATAGGTAATGTGATTGACGTCACACCACTGGGCTCAGTATTCTTCTGTTACATTGGAAGAAACAAAAACTTCAATAATACTTGGTCTTCACCTGAACGGTGCACTGAAACGTTCTGTCATATTTTTTTAGCCTTTTGAAAAGTGTTCTAAATATTTTTGCTACTGACTGTATTACAATGATTGCAAAAATAAACTATTTCCAAGAGAGTTCTGTTGTATATTTTTAGTATCATCAGAGTATCAGAGACCTCACTTGAAAAATCATTAAAAATTAAATTACATATTTTCAACTTGTATGAATTGTACATTTTATTGTGAAAGCCATCTTATGCCACATCCCTTTAGAATTAGCATGGGTAGTGCTGACCTTATTTTAAACCTATTATTATTATTATTATTATTATTATTATTTTTTGAGACAAGGTCTCAGTCTGTCACCCAGGCTGGAGTGCAGTGGCACGATCTCAGCTCACTGCAGCCTCGACCTCCTGGGCTCAAGCGATTCTCCTACTTTAGCCTCCCAAGTAACTGGGACTAGAGGCGCACACCACCATGTCCGGCTAATTTTTCTATTTTTTGTAGAGATTGAGTTTCTCACCATGTTGCTCAGGCTGGTCCGAAACTCCTGAGCTCAAGCTATCCTCCCGCCTCAGCCTCCCAAAGTGCTGAGATTACAGACATGTACCACCTCACCTAGCCTCAAGTCTTTACTGCTCTTTTTTTTTTTTTTTTGGCCTTTAATTATTTATTTATTTATTTATTTATTTATTTATTTTTTGAAATGGAGTCTCGCTCTGTTGCCCAGGTTAGAGCGCAGTGGCACGATCTCAGCTCACTGCAAGCTCTGCCTCCCGGGTTCACACCATTCTCCTGCCTCAGCCTCCCGAGTAGCTGAGACGACAGGCACCCGCCACCATGCCCGGCTAATTTTTTGTATTTTTCGTAGAGACAGGGTTTCATCGTGTTAGCCAGGATAGTCTCAATCTCCTGGACCTCGTGATCCACCTGCCTCGGCCTCCCAAAGTGCTGGGATTACAGGTTTGAGCCACGGTGCCCGGCCTGCCTTTTATTTTTTTAAAAATACCTTTTTATTATGGAGGTTGTCAAGTGTATACAAAAGCATGGAAGATATTCTAATGAACTCCCTATATTCAGCTCCTCACCCAGCCTCAACAATGATCAGTACATGGAATCCTCCTTCCCACACTTCCCACCATGGAGTAATTTTATTTTTTTATTATTATTATTATTTTATTTATTTTTTTTTTTGAGACACAGCCTTGCTCTGTCGCCAGGCTGGAGTGTAGTGGCACAACCACAGCTCACTACAGTGCTGACCTCCTGGGCTCAAGCAATCTTCCTGCCTTGGCCTCCCACAGTGCTGAAATTACAGACATGAGCCACCCTGCCAATCATGGGATCATTTTAAACATATCCCAGGCATCATATCATTTCATTTGTATGTATCTCTAAGAGATAAGGACACTTAACAAAAATAAAGTAAATGTACTTTCTTAATATCACCAAATATCCATTCTGTGTTCAAATGTCCCCGATTGGCTCATGAATGTCTTTTTATAATTAGCGTGTTTGCGTTAGAATCCAAATAAGAGGCACTCACTGCATTTCAGTGATCTGTCTCTTCTGTCTCTTTTCATCTGGTTTCTCCATCCTTTGTCATAGGTCCCCAGTGAAACTGTTTTCATATGTCTCATAGGCTGTCCCACAGTCTGGAAACAGCAAGTGCACTGTTAGCACTGTTTAGCACATCTCTGCATTCCCTCTGATATGGTTTGGCTCTGAGTCCCTACTCAAATCTCTTCTTGTAGCTCCCATAATTCCCACGTGTTGTGGGAGGGACCCAGTGGGAGATAATTGAATCATGGGGGCAGGTCTTTCCCATGCTGTTCTCATGATAGTAAATAAGGCTCACAAAATCTGATGGTTTTAAAAATGGGAGTTTCCCTGCACAAGCTCTCTTTGCCTGCTGCCATCCATGTAAGATGTGACTTGCTCCTCCTTGCCTTCCACCATGATAGTGATGCTTTCCCAGTTACATGGAACTGTGAGTCCATTAAACCTCTTTCTTTTGTAAATTGCCCAGTGTCAGGTATGTCTTTATCAACATCATGAAAACGGACTAATATACATCTATTTATCTAAACTCAGAGGCCTGGGAGCTTGCTGAAAAATCAGAGTTTTTTGTTTTTGTTTTGTTTTTATTTGGACAAGACTACTTCACACGAAATATCCTGTACTGACTATTGCTGTACACCAAGACGCATGTGATCACTGATTGTCTCCTTCTGTGATGTTAAAAGCACCATCCCTGGCTTCAGGTGTGTTCAGTCTGGCCCAGCTTCTGCAATTCCTGATCCGCCTCTCACCTGGTGGTTTCAGCAGCCAGTGTTTACCCCAGCCTCCAGATGTATCAGCAGCTCTGTGGTTTCAGCACCACACTTTCAGCACCTAATACAGAATTCACTTTGAAAGAAAGATTTCTAAAAATGACTTGCTAGTAGGTAGTTAGAAATACTGAGTGATTCTTAATAAAATAATGATTTCAAGGTGAAAGCGATGGCATAATTCAAAATGTGTTTACATTTTTTCCATAGAAACACATACTTGATTACTAACTAGGAAAATAAAAAGATTTCTGTCTCAAAGAAAGAAGATGAGTATGAGAAGCAACCAGTAGAGTTATCTTGTTTACTCTCCTCCCGAGAGCTCTAGCTAAAGATTCGAATAGTGCATTGTTTCTGAGATTTTTGTCTTAATCATAAGTAATTCTAAAGCATTTATCTTCCTTAAAATGCCAGCAAATTGAGGCAACTTAAAGTACTCCAGTTCCTTTAGGTAATAATGTAAAAAATCGCTGATTAAATATTGAGGAGTCCCTTTGAGTAAGGTGTAATGACATGCCGTCTTACAGAGCCAGGGTGTAGTTGCTGCTTCTTATCCCCTTTGCATCCTCATTATGTTTCTTCTCGATTTCAGACCTCTCTTTGGTCTGAAAAGATTTCGCTTTATAGGTTATTTGTTTCATCACAAGTAGAGCTGACTCTGGAATGAACTCAGTGCGTTTTGATCATGAACCCAGCACTGTGCTACAGGCTTGCTTACTGGAATATACAGTGTCCTTTAGAATCCAGAAACAGTGGTTCATCTTAGGAATGTATGGCCAAATGTTGATTTGGGATTTAGAGTTAAGATTTTTAAATTGTACCTAGGTGTCTGGGTTTTATATATTGTTCCACTTTTTATGTGGAATAAGCTTCATCAGAATCATTTCAGGAAATGAGAAAAGTAGGATATGGTTATGAATCAGCCATGGAAAACTACGGTATGGAATGAATTAGTCAGAAAAAAGGTTTCAGTGGCCAGCGTGAGCTGTGTGCTATCAGGAAGTGGCATGACTTTCCATGATTTTATGTGCTATAAATCATGTGGCATACTGATCCAGACACCTAGAGTCTTTTTTTTTATTATTATAATTTTTGAAATAAAACTGAAAAGCACCAATGAAGCAAAAGCACCAAAGCCCTTTCAGTAGTTGCTTGCTCGTCCCTACTATCAGCTGGAATGGATCTCCACCCCCACTGTGAGCTCCGCTGGTGAGGGATCATTCATCTAAAAGTCCATTGTGGCTGCTGGGTCAGGTTTGAGAAGCAGTTGGCTTCCGCAGAGTTGCTGCTACAAAAATGTGGCATCTGTCTGTTTCTTTTGTTTGTAATACTTTTTCTCATACCCCTTGTCTGGCCGCTTCTAGATCTCTGCCATTTATGGTCTAGAAGGTAGTTGCTTCTCCCTGTGTTGTGCTGTGTTTAGAAAGATAGTCTGAAATTCAGAATTAGGCAGTTATGTTCCAGTCTTCTATCATCCTATTAAAGAGAAAAAGAAAAACTTGCGCAAATGGGGTGGATTAAAAGTTTGGGTCATGTGAAGTTCATAAAGCTATATCTCCAGAGGGAAATGCTAAAAATATACTCAACCACTAAAATTGCCCATGGAGGGAAATAAGTTTATTGCTTTATTGGTCATGTAAGTCAGTTAAAATATAATCAAGTCAGCCTCCTCACTGTCTTTTATTATCGATACATCCATGAATAGGCATTCAATAATGACAGCTTGGTATGTGTCTATGTGTGCATGATTGGTTTTTTTTTTTAATAGGCACATGTAATGGAATAATTCAGTTAGGAATGGAGTCTGCATGTGAGTGGCTACACTACTATTGAATATTGATGTCATTTCCATTGATTCTGATGCCTTTGGCAACCTGGTAAACATTTTCTCTGGAAAAAATCTCGTAAACCAGGTTTGCCCTGTTTCTCTGCCCTGTTTGCCGTTTGTGGTAACCTGGCAGGGTTCCTATGGAGAATTGTTGGTCTGGAAGTTAACCCAACTTAACATCGCATAGTATCACTTAGCAATCACGTGGTAAAAATTGGCATGTTCTTCCTCCCCCTCTACCTTAGACCAATGCCTCCCAGACCTTACTATGTACAGGAGTCACTTCGGATCTTGTTAAAATGAAAATTCTCCTTGAGTAGATCTCAGGTGGGGCTCTAGATTCTGCGTTTCTGGCAAGCTCACAGGTGATGCCACTGTTCTTGGACACTATATACCAAACAACATCTGTAGAGTTCAACAAGAAGCCAAACCCTAAAGGGTATCGTGCCTCTAACGCTAGTAATGCAGAGCCAGCCCTTCTGTATCCAAGACCTCAAACCTCTCTACATCATATAAACACCAGCCCTCCAGCAGGAGTGAGGAACACCCTAGGATGGAGAGGAACCCTGATAGAGACATCACGTGAGTCCTACTGGCCTTTCCACCTTGTATCTTAAACTTCACTTGATCCTCTGAGCACACAGCCATCTGTCCCAAATTCTGCCAAAGCCTTATCAAGAGCTAATAATGCCTTCCTTTCTCCATTGACTGGACACTTTCTGAGCAAGGAAGGTGGTTAGAACTGTTGGTCATCTAAGTCTTCCCCTGGGACCCATGATCGCTATTCCTAAGTCTTCATTCTAAGATTTTTTTTTTACACAGCCCACTTGTCTTCATCCTCCAACATTCAGGGAGAGTTCAGAAAGTTTAGTGGGATAAGAAGGGATTTTGACATTAGTGGCAAGGGAAAAATGCTGGAAGTCCAATGAACAAAGGTTTGGGAGACTTCAGAATTCTTTAAGATTGACTTAAAGAATCAAAAAAGAATGTTCACTAGGGGAAGTGTCCCAGTGTGGAAACTTCAGCAGCTGTATTTCAGAATCACCAATCACCAGAACATGGGTTTTGGACTAGCTGAAGAATTGTTGAACCAGTGAGAGAGCTGCCTTCTGCCTCCTCCTGTTTTCCCTCAATTGTCCCAGTAAAAGTAGGTTAAATATTTAATTGGTTACTTTATTACCATGGAATTTTCAAATAAACCAGCAAATCAACATCATTATTTTAAAATTTTAGGAAATGTGATTCAGGGTTTGTCATTATTTTTTCCAAGGAAGAAATGATTATAGATATTTTCTGCAAGGGTAAATATCTGTGACTTTTCCAGTTTAGAAGCCAGCCACAGACCTTCATACACACCATCCAAAAAGGAAGAGTGTTCAGGACATAAGATTAAAAATAGTTACTATTGGTATGCACCCATTCTAATGTTTTCCCTTAGCGTCACGGGTGCCTTTAAAAGCCTTTCTACTATTTTCCTTGGGTCTTCCCAGTTTTAAAAACAAGAGCCCCATTCCAGATGATTACCAAAATGTGGCATTTGAAAAGGTGAGTTTAATCGTTGTCATAGAATTCCTTGTCTGACTTTATCAACATCATTGAGTTATGTGCATTGAGTTGTGCATATGTGAATGAGTTACTTACAGCTTGGTATTAGTTGATAGCAGGATACAGATTCTATCGGCTATATGATAAAGCTCTGCCCACTCCATTGGATGGATCTAAAGGTAGTGGGGGCATGCCTTAGTATGGGGGACTGAAGCTACATTCATTACATTCCTGTCTCATCATTTTCTTTCAGAGGCTTTTCCTTGAGAACATTAAAGCCAACTGTAGAGACCTATAAGGATGAAGGTGGTAGTTTGAGATGGGCATATTTTATATTGTTACATGCTCTTAAGTTGGCAGTGGTGTTAGTCTGCTTGGGCTGCCATGATGAATACTACAGACTGGGTGGCTTAAACAACAGAAATGTGTTGTTTCACAATCCTGGAGGCTGGAAGTCCAAGATCAAGGTGATGGCAGGGCTATTTCCCTCAGAGGCCTTGCTCCTTGGCTCATAGATGACATGCTATCTCTGTGTCCTCACATGGTCTTTTCTCTGTCTGGTGTCCAAATCTCCTCTTCTTATAATGACACCCAGCAGATTGGATTGGGCTCCTCCTTAATGGCCTCAATTTAACTTAGTCACCCATTTAAAGGCCCTACCTCCAAATACAGTCACATTGTGAGGTACCAGGACGGTTAGGACTCAACATATGTATTTTTGGGAGGAGTTCATTTCAGCCAAAACAAAGTTCACAGAAGCCACTTTGAATTTGCAAAACTGTTTCTCAAATGGAGATTACTTCATGGTTCTTCCATTTCTTTTTGAGAATAGTTTTGTCTTCATCTTCATTGGGAGATGACACATCTGCTGTTTTGTCGTGGAAGTAAGAATTGGGACAATAATAACATAATTGTCTAAATGATATTTTAGGGTATCAGGTGGTTTTGCTCTGTGAGAAAACCTCTTTAGAAATACAACGAGGGTGTCCACAGATAATAGAATGGGCCTCTGCCACTCAGGAGTCTTGGCAGTGCTTCCATTCTTCCATACTCCACCTCATCATTGATGTGCCGCCCTGTCACTGCCACCACCAGCAGGCACATCTCGGGGAAGGAGCAAGGTGGGCCTCAGAACTTCACCTGGGTCTGTGTTCAGTGCCTCCTGGAGTCTGTCTGGGTGGCATGGTCATCTCTGGGTTCTAGTAGCTGGCATGGTCAGTGCCTGTAGGTGTTCGGTGGATGGATGGATGGATGGATGATGGATGGACAAACGAATAAACTGATAATGTTGGCAAACCACTTCCCCCTTAGCTCCGCTCAGAAATATTTCAGAACATCAGCCATTGAGGCTGCTGACCTCCTCCTGGTCCCCATCATTGTCCTCCATCTTGGAGACAGCTGCTGTAGATGCCACAGATAGAGTTAAACCTTGTTTTGCTTGATGTATATTAAAAACAAGGCAAATATTTTGCTTACCTGTTTTAGCCTGGACTGGAGGGTCACCAGCACCACTCTGGCTGTGAGAGAGTACTACTTTTCTAAGTTTCCCTCCGTAATTTTTCATTTTGGGATCCTCGGTATTCACCACCTCGGCAGCCACCATGAATCATCTGGTAGATGCATTTTCAAACTCAAAAGCAGATTAGAACATCACCTGAACCACCTTCAGGTTAGAAAATGAACGTTGCTATAAAAGAAGTAAAAATAATAATTATACAAGGGCATAGGTTAAGTCTTTGAAACTGCCTGCATGGCAGATTTTACATTTTTGAACCGAGGCTGCCACAGCTGTGGCTAGTGGTTGTCTGACCCTCTTCTTTCACCTGGTGCCTTCGAGGGCCACTGAGAGCATGAGTCAGAGCACACCAACACCCAAACAAAGCACACATGCTCATGGCGCCTTAGTCCCTGGCCAGAGACACGCCTGTCTTTCATCACGTGGGATGGAGACAGTGAAGAGCCTGAGCAACAGAAGACTGATGAAGAGCTTCAGGCGTGAGATGATTGAACACCACCTAGCACCTGGCAAACGGTCTCATAGTCCCTATCCTGGGTGTTGGACCACAACGAACTGTTTGCTGACCGTGCAATTTGGCAAAATCATCAAACCTACACAAAACAAGAAACAAGCGCACAAAATAAGTGCAAAGAGGAAAAGTAGGCATTTTTCTCTAATTGCTATATATTCTGGCATAGTCCTTTGCTTTGTTTACAATAGAACTTAGAAGAAATACAGTTTTATTTAGATGGCACTAAGAGAATTTAAGATTCCTTTGCCGGCATATTTTGAACTAAACTTTAGTAGATTTACTGACAGATGTAGAAGTTAATAGCAGCTTTTTAAATTATCATGAATAATGTTTTCAATTAAAATAATATTTCTTATGTTAAGCAGGATATCAATGTTATCACAATACAGTTAAAGACAAAGGTTTTACAAGTGCTAAAATGGGATGTAAGGTATACCTCAGTGAAACTGTTTTTAAAAGTTTTATATTTCAAAAGTTTCGACATTGCAGAGAATTTAAATTCTCAGCAGTACTGCCTTAACTTTTTTTTATTATTATTTTTACTCTTTTGAAAACTCTACTTTCCAGCTTTCTCAGTTTGAGAGGACACTGAAGAGCTTTTGCAGAAATCAGACATGTCATTTTATTAGGAAAACTGATTTGATTATTGATATGCCAATTATAAAATTCTTAGTCATCCAGCACATATCTAGCCATGCAAAAAAAATTTCATATGTAACTTTGAAAGCAAAAGTAATGAAAATCAATGTGAAATTACATTGATTGGCTAAATTCAGTTCTTCTCAAAGAGTAGTAAAATGCAGTTGTTAAGAACATAGGATCTATAGGCTTTGGTTCAGAATCCTGGTTCCAAAGCTGAGTGGTGGTAGGTGTCTTCATCTGCTCGGGCTGCTATAACAAAATGCCCTATTCTAGGTGCCTTAAACAATAGAAATTTATTTCTCACAGTTCTGGATGTTGAGAAGTCTGAGGTTAGGCTGCCAGCATGGTTGATTCCTGGTGAGGGCTCTCCTCCTGGCTTGTAGACTGTCACCTTCTTGCAAAAAGGACTCTACTCACCTGACTTCACCTAACCCTAATTACCTCCTAAAGGCCTCACCTCCAAATACCATGTCTTAGTCCATTTTCTGTTGCTATAACATAACACCACAGACTGGGTAACTTATAAATAAAAGAGATTTATTTGGTTTGCGGTTCTGGAAGCTGAAAAGTCTAAGAGCATGGTGCCAGCATCTGGTGAGGGTCATCGCATGGCAGAAGGCAGAAGCTGAAGCAAGCACAGGAGACAGGGAGAGGACATGGAGCCAAACTCATCCTTTTTATCAGGAGCCCACTCCCAGGATAACTAACCCACTCCTGCAACAATGGCATGAATCCCTTTGTAAGGGCTCTGCCCTCGTGGCCTCCTCACCTTGTCAAGGCCCTACCTCTCAACACTGTTAAAATGGCAATTAAGTTTCTAACACATAAACTTTTGGGGGACACATTCAAACCATAGCACCATTGCACTGGGTGTTAGGACTTCAACATGTGAATTTTAGGGGAACAGAATTCAATCCATTAGCATTGGACAAAGTACTTAATTGAGGTCATTTGCCTGGCCTCTTCATGACAGCCTTTTTCTCTTGGGACGATGTTTTTCAAAATTGTGTGTTTCCTGGGGTGCATTCCCATACATGGCAGTGAGCAGGTGAGGGAGGGGGAGAAAGGTGAGGGGAAGCTGTGATGTGGAAAGAGTAGTAGACCTAGGTAAAAACCTGGCTGCTGTGATGGGCCTGGACTCCTGGATATGCCCTATTCTCTTGGCATGTGGGACAGTCCCCGCTCCTGGGCTCAGGCTCCTGTAGCACCTGGGTGACGTGGAACCCGAACCCTTCGCTGAATCCTCAGCTACTCAATTTTGGCAGGGGTAGTGGCTGCAGCTGAGTAGGAGTTTGTTTGCGACCCTTTGTGTTCCAAAGAAAACGCCAGCCACAGAATTTACTGTCTTACTCACTGGAGACCTTGCAAAAGTGTGGGCCCCAAACTAGGGTTTGGGGAGAGATTTATTCACGTAGGTATTATCTGGTCTCTGTTACCCAGAAAGTCATTTTTAATAAGTCATGCACTCATGACTAATCATTTTCTCCACTTAAAAAAACTTTTTTCCAGGTAGGACATAATAATGGGTCAAGCTACTTATACTTTTCCTGTTTCCCCCTTTTAATGGGAAAAACACGCTCTTTTTCCATATCTAAAATGGAATTGAATGCTTCTTGTAAAATGTACATCTCAGGGAAAAACCCATTGCTATTCTAAACCTGCTTCCTCCTATTCTTCAGTTCCTGGTACGGTGGATGTTGTTTGCGTCTTCTGACTTCTACCCTCTGAGTTGGAGACTCATAATTATTGTTAGTATGTGAGCATGCAGTGTCTGTCTTTAAACTGCTAAGACGGTGTTGCTTTTAAGCGACAGCGATTGTTTTCTTGTTCATGTTTGTGCTGTCTTCTTTGCGTCAGCTCCTAAAATAGAGGGGAGTTGTGTACCTGTTAACAACGTGTTAACAGCATTGTTGGGGTTTTTCAGACAATTTAATTGTACAAGTAAATTATTTTAAGTTAGAGCCTATTCGTTTGAAACAAAGAAAATAGTTTTTACATTTCTAAAAAAAAAAAAAAACTAATAAGTAACTGCCAACAAATGCTAGACTATATACCTGTAAAGTCAGCATTTTAATGTCATTTTCTTCTAGAGCCAGAGTTTAGTAAGTTCTTGGCCTGCTGGGAAGAAATGTAAGGAAGAGAGTGTTGTTAGGTGGGGATTTTTTAACACAAAAATATAAACTTGCCTGACGTGATTTCTCGCCATTTTCTAAGTCACTGAAATGTTTGTTATCTATTTTATTTCAGTAAATCACTTTCTTTTAGCATCCTTCAGATGGTCAAACAGCATGTTGTATCTCTGAGAAATCTCATCTTATTAAAGATTGACTGATGTCCTTCAACATTTCTATGAGCGTTTTTCAACCCACAGAGATCCAGTTAAGATACAGACAAATATCAGGATCTTCTTAGGACCTGTTTGAAATGACATGTTTCAAAGCAGCTCTGTATTAAAAGAGGTCATTCTTTTCTGTTGAACAAGAAATTAAGTGAATGCATTTGGTGTGCTGGGGCTATTCTTCGAATGTTAGAGCAACCTGTTTCATTTTAGGGCCTGGGGTCATTATTCTCCATGGGTGGCACCGCTATCCTCCCAGTGGCATTTGAAAATCCTTGCGAGACTTTGTGGTTGCAGCAAGGACTGGGGGAAAGCTGCTGGCATTTGTAGGGAGAGGGGACTGACCAGCAGGGAGGCTAAACAGTCTAGAGTGCAAGGGGCAGGGCCATGCAAGGAGAAGCTGTTTCCTCCACAATGTCGTTAGTGTAACTGCTGAGAAACAGCGGGAGAAGTCACAGGCTCAGGGAACACAAAGGATCTTTGTGCCTGGCCTGGCCAGCCCCCCACTTCTTCAAGGAAGCATACTGGGGGTCACATCTATTTTCTCAGTGTTTCCCTTTCACCCATGCCCCACATTGCAGCATTTTTCATCAGAAACCACAGGAGCCCAAAATACACTTCCTCATTTCTGAGATGCCTTTCTTAGTCAGGGCTGAAATTAGTTTTCAGTGGACACCCACACTCAGGCACTGTACTAGCAAAGCCTTTTGTTAGAAACTGTCACACTGGTGTTCAGATTGTCCTCTGCCCGAGTTTTGGAAGGGTGGGTGACAAGGGCCAGCAAATAGTCAACACTGCCCGTTGTGCAATGCTGTGATCTCCCTCTGAGAGCAAGAAGCAAACTTGAGGTGACACTGAAACAAGGGGCGGGGGCACTGAGCCTGCTTTCGTAGCTTTGCTTTGCTTTTGCCTCTTGGTTTACTTTCTATGGGGAACATATCCCACTAAGAAGGCTGGTCCAGCCCGCACCATGATGGCAGGCATGGGACTCGGGAGACGTGGTCCCAGAGGCTCTCGCTCCACTGATGGTGAGGAGTAAATGACACAGTAGGCTTTGCAGAAGTGAAGTCAGAAATCAGAGGGCTCCATCTTTCAACCACTCCCTGGCCTTCAAGGATAGATCTTGGAGTTCACGTCATACAGTCTTTAAAAGGCTCTCCTGCCCACAAGGTGCCCTCACTACCCCTCTTCCACGTGCGTCCCTCGCACTGCTGTTTGCTGAGACTTACAGCCCCGTCCCATGTGTGACTTTTACTCCAACCCGAGGCGGGTGCTTCCTGACAGCAGGGCTGGGTCTCCTTTACTTTCTATCTTGGGGACCAGCAGTCTCCTCTGACAAGGAAGAGATTCAGCAAAGGCTCGTTGAGACCAGCCTGGGTGACACAGTGAGACCCTGTCTCAAACAAACAAACAAAAACCAGCAGAGTTTCTGATTCAGTAAATATATATTAGTTTTCTATTGCTGTGTGACAAATTACTACAAATCTAGTGGCTTACAATGCCCATTTCTTAGTTGACAGGTCTGTAGGTCAGAAATCACCATGTGCACAACAGGGTTCTCTGCTCAAGGTTAACAAGGCTGGAACCGGTTCTCTCCTGGGCTGCGTTCCTGTCTGGAGACTCTTGCGGAGAATCTGCTTCTAAGCACATTCAGATCCCCGTGGCCACTCTAGCTCCTTGAGGCCACTCTCAGTCCTTGCCACATGGCCCCCTCCATCTTCAGAATCAGCAACAGAGAATGTCTCTCCCATCCTTTCTCCGACTTCAGAAAGAACCCGGTCCCTTTTAAGTGTTCACCCCACATAATCTCCCAGGGTAATATAACCTAACTGTGGAAACAGAATCCATCACAGAGTCCCGGGATCATGCAAAGCTTGTCCACCAGGGGGCCATTTGAGAATTCAGCCTACCACAATAGGTAGGGCAAGAATTCTGGCAAGTTGCCAAGTAAGGCAGCTACTGCTGCTGTGGCAGCCACAGTCTGAAAAGCACCTACCTATGCACATTCTACAACAACCTTTGACTTAGATTGTTCCCAAATTGCAAATGAGGAAACTGAAGTTCATAGGATTCAGTCTAGAGATAATATTCATAGCACATAGTAACTGGTACCTCGTGGGCACTGACCACTCCGAATGGCTAGCAGGCAACTGACTCTGGCTGTCAGTGCCACTGTGGTCATCTTGGCCAGCACCACCAGTTGACTGAGGACCCCCAGCAAGTAAGGACTGCAGCCAGGGTTCCTGCCCAGGCCCATCTGACACCCAAGCCTGAGCTTTGGCCACTTCACATGCTAGGATTAAAAAGAAAATGTCATCCCTCGAAGCCTAAGTCAGGAGAAGAAGAAATAAAAGGACAGCAGTTTATTGATTCCAAAGCCCAACTTCCTTTGAACATTCTAGCTGCTGGATGTTCTATAAAGCTACCTTTCTCCAGTCTTAAATTTGTATTTGCTTCCTGTTGCTGATGTAACAGATTACCAAACAATTTTAGTGGCTGAAAACAGCACAGATTTATGACTGTACAGTTCTGGAGATCAAACTCCAAAATCAGTCTCAATGGGCTAAAATCAGGTGTCAGCCTGGCTGCGTTACTTCTAGGGCAAAATCCGTTTCGTTGCCTTTTCCCAGGTTCCAAAGACTCCCACTTTCCTTGGCTCATGGCCCCATATCACTCGAATCTCTGCTTCCATCATCCTGTCTCCATCTCCGACTCCAGCCCTGCCATATCCTGCTTATAAAGACACCTTGATTACACTGGGCCCACCCTGGTAATCCATCATCTCCTAGTCTCAAGATCCTTAGCTTAGTCACACCTGCAGAGTCCCTTCTTCCATGTATGGCAACATATTTACAAGCTCCAGGGACTAGGGAGGGGCTGTCATTCAGCCCAGCTCATAGTCTGAGGCCCACACCTATGTGGATCATAACAGTGAACGCTTTCATGGAAACTTCCTATGCACCAAGCCTCAATGTAGGCATTAGGTCAATTTGTGCCACCACCACCACATGAGGTAGGTCCTGTGATTATCCTCTTTACAGATGAAGAATCTGAAGCACATGGGACTTGAGAACCTTGCCCAAGGTCACACAGCTAAGAAATGGAACACCAGGTTCAGACCCAGGTGGCCTGGCTCCAGAGTCCATACTTCTACAACTCTGTTGTACACCTCTCACAGATGTGCAAGTAAAAGGCAGACCCTACATATGTAGATGGCAAGAAGCCCCACACCCACCCATCTCTCCTTCCTCTTACACCCACTGTTCCACTAAGGACCCTGCTTACTCAGGTGACCTCGCCTTCTGAGTCTAATGAGTTACAATCCTTGCCACTTCTGCCCATCGCAGAAATGTTGTTCCAGTTACTATTGCTGCACAACAAGCCACCCAAAACGTAATGGCTGTAAATAACAATAGTCATCTGTTTTGCTTGTGAATCTGCAGTTTGCACAGAGATGATTCTTCTCTCCTCCATGCATCATCCTCTGGGTTTCCCTTGGCTGGCGACTGGAGGGTCCACTCCCAAGTTGTCACACTTATATAGCTGGCAAAAATACCAGCTGCCAGTGAGGAGCTCAGCCAGAGCTCTGGGCCAGCAGCCTCAGTTCGTCTCTGTATGGGCTCTTCATGGGCTGCTTGGGCTTCCTGAAAGCATGGTGGGCAACTGGGTTCCAAGAGGAAGTGCCCCGAGAGAACAAGGCAGAAGGGCATGGCTTTTTATGACCTAAACTTGGTGTCTTTTCCACCATATAGTGTCACTTGAGGCACTCACAAAGGTCCTCCACATTCAAGGGCAGGGGACATACATTCCTTCTCCCAACAGGAATGGCAAGGCTGTAGGAGAGCATGTGGAGTAGGAGACAGTGTTGCAGCCATCTTCAGAGAATTTGTTCTTCCAGAATTGTCTTTATCATAGCTACCTATGACATCCCACCACACCACACATGGCATCCTCCCCACCTCACCTCTGTTTATAGGCACTTTCCAAGCCCAAATTTGGGTGTATGCAGAAACACAAGATTTTGTCCAATGTATTTATTTTTATGTCCTTACCAAAATTTTAAAAATGTGTTGCATGAATAGCATTAAAAAAATTTTTTTTATTTATTTTATTTTTTTTGAGATGGAGTCTCACTCTGTCACCCAGGCTGGAGTGCAGTGGCGCAATCTGAGCTCACTGCAAGCTCCACTTCCTGGGTTCACACCATTCTCCTGCCTCAGCCTCCCGAGTAGCTGGGATTACAGGCACCCGCCACCACGCCTGGCTAGTTTTTTGTGTTTTTAGTAGAGACAGTGTTTCACCGTGTTAGCCAGGATGGTCTCTATCTCCTGACCTTGTGATCCACCCACCTCGGCCTCCCAAAGTGCTGGCATTACAGGCGTGAGCCATCGCTCCCGCCCCGTGAATAGCATTTATTTTTAAAATGAAATATGCAAAGGTAGGATTTCCTAAGAAATCCAGGACATCCGTTAATAGATATTAGCACTAACCCAATGCCATGCAAAAAAATACAAGCCATCAAATTTGTTCAAAATGAGTAAAGTATATATGTCCTTTAATAAAAGCACCTGCTTATTTGATGCCACATGACAGTGGATGATAGTGGA
Organism: Homo sapiens; assembly: GCF_000001405.40. NCBI lineage: Eukaryota > Metazoa > Chordata > Mammalia > Primates > Hominidae > Homo > Homo sapiens. The sequence goes on along the minus strand of NC_000021.9, from coordinate 34,541,445 downwards.
ACGTTAACTAACTAGTATAAGCGCCTACACTGAGCAGATTCTTGTGTAGGTTGATTGGGGAAAGCTTTCCTTATACCTTTTCTTTTTAGGTAGTAATGAGGAAATGCAGAGGTATATCTTTTTCCCACTTATTTAAAGCCTAACCCTATTCTCAAGTCCTTCATCTGTAGGACTTTTTGTAACTGGACCAATTGGAGGTTGAGATGGGATTCTTATATACCTAGCTAGACTTTTCTGATTGCTACGCTCCACTTCTAGTATCCTGAGCTCTGAGTGTCTGTGACACACAAGAGAGATCATTTATATTATCACTGGAGCTGCAGTCTCATCACTCAAGCTTCCATCTTAAGCCCCTGTAGGGACAGAAACTGAGGCTTTTGGAGGCCCTAGTAGACTACTGAGCACCTGGTCATGGCTTAGTATTTCTTGATTGATTTCACTGTGAGCTTTTTTTTCTTTTTGAGACAGAGTCTCGCTCTGTATTCCAGGCTGGAATACAGTGGTGCGATCTCGGCTCACTGCAACCTCCACCTCCCAGGTTCAAGCGGTTCTTCTACCTCAGCCTCCCAAGTAGCTGGGATTACAGGCACCCGCCACCCCGCCCAGCTAATTTTTGTATTTTTAGTAGAGACAGGGTTTCACCATGTTGGTCAGGCTTGTCTCGAACTCCTGACCTCATGATCTGCCCACCTCGGCCTCCCAAAGTGCTGGGATTACAGGAGTGAGCCACCACGCCTGGCCCACTGTGAGCTTTTTGAAGGAATAACCATACCTTCCTCATCTTTATATCTCTAAGGAAGAGTCAGTTACTTGGCTGCATGCATTTGTTCAACAAATGTTTATGAAGGGTTTTAAGGGTTCCAGGGTCTCTGGCTTGGTCTACCCTTAGTTCGGTGAAGGAAATCAATTAAAGTGTGGTAAATACTAAGAACTAGGGGTAATTTTACCCAGCCAAGGAGTTCGAGAAGTCACGTGGGAGATCTTTAACAAATGGTGGTTGAATGAATGGAGACATGAGTGATTTCTTGGAAGTCTGCCCTTAATCCCAGTCAGTCCATGCAAGAATCTGCTCAGTGTAGGTGCTTGAACAATACGTAGGCAGCACCCAGCCCCGGAAGAGCCCACCTGTGCAGAGAATTTTCCCCTGTAACTGACTTACTGCCTGGAATTTTCCCCTTAGCAATGCATTCCTTTGAGATGCAGACTGATCTCCAGAATTTGCTGATTAAATACAAATTCTCTGGGAAGGCCTTATATATTAAACAACTGTCATCATTAATGCTGTAATGGGGAGAAGTTTATTATGTAACCTTCCAGTCTTGTTAGAAAGGAGATTCAGAGGAAGGGGTCATCCAGGGAGAAAGAAAAGGGGCTTGGATGTGATTCTGGGACTGCAAGAAGAATGGGGAAAATAATGCAGGTGAGCAAGGAATAGATGTAGGGACATGGCAGTGACAAGAAACAATTCAGATGAGTGTCCCCTGGCACTCAGACAGCCCTGACTCCAGTGAGAATGGCTCAGCCAACACTACTGATTAAATGAGAATTTCACCAGATAAAGATGGCAGGCAGGAGAGGTAATCAAAGAAAGACAAAATCAGTATTTTCTGGTGAAATCCCTGTTTCTAGGTATGAAATAGGATTCTTTCAATAACTAGCACTCCAAAATGTTAATGGGTTAAAATGAGCAGGTTTAGAGATTGTGCATAACAGATACAGAGCAAATATTAAAAGCCGTGATACCAAACCACTACACAAAAACAGGCAAAGTCGATTTTCTCTCCAACTAACCTTTACCCTTACATATTGTGTCTGTTAACCACGGTTACCTTGACCATTGATATATAGCATCTAGTGAGGGAAGGGGAAAGGAGAAGCTTTTTTGTTATTATAAAAGTAATAAGTGTTCATTGTGGAAATTCATGCTAGAATCTAAATAATCCAAATCCAAATAATCAAGAAGAAAAACACAGGAGTCTTCTAATACTATCACACATATTCTTTCTTTTCACCAAAATGAGAACAATAAACATTGCTTTGTAACCTGGTTTTTTCTCCTAACAGCAAGTCTTGAACATCTTTTCATGTCATTAGTTTTCACCACCTTACTATGAGTGGCTCTATAGTCTACTGAATGAATTTAGCATGTATATTATCTGATCACGGATCTTGATGTATTTTATTTACATAAAACTATATTTTTGCATATTTTATTTGCCTTGCAGGAACATATTTGCATCTAATGTTTGCCCACAGCCATGAGGATTTCTTTAGAATAAATTCCTAGGAGTGAAATTGTTGAGTCAGTATTCGGGATTTGAGTTGATGCGGTTTATACTGAAAGTTTAAACTGTTTGAATTTACCGCTAATCTTACCGATATTCTTCTTGAAGCTCCTTACATGGATGATGAGCTAATGATTTGGAGTGGAATAAGCAGCATTTTTGTAGTGTTCAGTTTAAAGGCTGTCACATTTCTGAGACTTCAGATGATTAACTTAGGGTGCAAGTCTGGAGCCTTCTAATTCCTTGAGCTTGGGCCTTGCGGGTTGGTCGGTTAGCTGGTCGGTGCACTGGTCACAGTGACACACCCCAGGTCACTTCAGAAAAATAGAATTTGTCTCCCAGCCTCCCTTGACAGTCAGCCCTGTTGGGGCAGAGCAAAGCCACCTTGCCCAAGTTCCACCCCCTTCTCAGGGTAGCCCCTTCCCAGAACTGACCAACGTGGGGGTATCAAGGCCCGGTCCTCCTGCTCCGATAAGGGTCGTCTCATCCTCAAAGCTCCCTGTAGAGTCGGCTAGGCTTCCACTAGGACCACTTGGTAGCTTCACTCTCCCTCTGCCCAGTTTCCTTTCCCCTCCCCACCACTCGTCCTAATAACCTCCCCTGCGCAAGAACCTCTGTCTTAGAGTCTGGAAGCGGCCAGTACCCATGGCGGGGAGTGGATGGGGAATTGGCTGGGGAGTTGGCAGTAGCTGTGGTTGATCACAGTATGTGCCACATAATTTCACCTCTACAGAGGACAGTAGAGCCACTGTGTCCTCCCTCAGGATGGAGGAGCCCACGGTGGCTTGGACCAACAGGGAGCGTTTCTTAAATGGGTGAAACAGGCACAATCTTCCCATCATTTTCAACATAAGGAATAAAATGTACCATAGATTTGTACAAGAGCAGTTTAAAATGCTCTCTTCTCCGAATGATCTTTTAAGAAACTATCTTAAAGACCACACTCTGAAAACACCTGGACCTCAGGCTCCTTTCAAATTGTTTTTCTGTGTCTTCGAATGCCATTCCTGACAAAACTTTTTTTGCCTCCATGAATCATGAGCTAATTCTGTAGAAATCTGTAAGTGAATTACAGTTCAGATTCTTCCTCTGTCTTCCTCTGACATGGCCCAATCATTTCTTAATAATTGCTAAAGAAACCAACTGTGGTTTATGTTTGAGCAGAATCAAGATCGTCGCTATAACCATGTCACCACCATTCCCTGGCATTTACAGCATAATTTCAGGAGTGGGAGACAACATTTCACAGATGCCCAGGGAGTCACCCATAGGAATGTGATGTGCCCATACATGGGCCAGATGAAAAAATAAGTACACACACACACACACACACAATTACCATGTGGGAGTGAGGGCCATGCCCTCTCCATGTATAATTCGGTGTAAATTGTTAGGCATAGAACAGCTTGAGCCCCAGAGCTGGGTAAACTTCTCTGCCTGTACGCCTGGCACCTCACACCATGGCTGGCCCTAGCAGGTGACTAATCTGTTTTTGATGAATTACCAAATTAAGCCACAAATTGAAATGCCCTGGGGGCTGGTCAGCCAGCAGCCATCATTGGTGGAGGGGCGAGTAGACCACAGACAGTGATGAGGCCTGGGGTATTTGAAGAGCATGGGTTCCCCAACAAGGGGCATCTGCTCGGCCACAGTGAAATGGAGCTCTGGGCCCAGGGTGGCCACATCTCCCCGGGCCACCACCACCAAAAAGAAGTCAGAAGTTCTATTTCTGTGTGACACCTCCCAATTTTTCAATATTAACAACTAATTTTCCGTCAATGTTAATGGGCTACAGTTCACCAGGAGAAAACTAACTGGGCCATTCTAGGCCTGATGGAAAGGGAACAGCTCTTAGGAATCAGATACTCGGTGCAAAGATGTGTGCCCACATTTTAGTCACTTGACGGGAACACCTAGATTTTCCTGATGAACCAGGTTGGCACAGTTGTTCTCTCTTTGGGTGGACAGAGATAATATCCAAGTTGTGGTGGGGTCTTGCTTGTTCTTTGTATGTAGTTTATTGTTCCTTCAGTATGTTTTGAATCATTGGTGACCTTCATGAAGATGACAGGACATGCTTCCTCGTGTGACTTGTTATCAGGCTTTTAAGTCATCAGCAAAGAATGCAGGCCAAATGCAGAAAGAAAGCGTTTGCAGTGCCCTGTTGGGACTTCTCAACTGCAGACATGGAAACAGGGTGTGTGTATGGTAATGGAAATAGCAGGTAAGAGCACATAACTCACTTTTCTCCCAGCACTTGGTGAAAAAGAAAAAACAAACCAACAACAGAAAACCATTTCTGACCTGCCTCTTGAGTTTTGAAACTGGGTGTGGATACAAACGATCTTTAGCGAAGCCATTCAGAACTGGGTTTTCTGTCTTTATTGAAGAGTTGCAGATTTTGATCTTGCTCATTTTTTTCCCCTTCCCTCCATGACCCTCTCACCTTTACTCCTCCGCTGACATTCAGCCAGCTATTCACCAGGTGCCGGCGTGGTGTGTGCCTGGACCCCTCACTGCGCCAGCCTCCCTGGGAGAATCATCTCCTCTAAGGAGAGTATGGAATGCTGCAGCGGAAGGAAAAGGTTTTCCAGGCAGCATTAACCCTGGAAAGTAGAATTCCTACTTTGCGTGTGAAGGACTGACTTGTTGAGAATGAACCAGCCGTGGGGTTGTGAAAGCTGCTTAGCGCAGGGATGAGGGCTAACCAGACACTGGTGTTCCCTGGGCCTGAGTGACCACAGCCAGCCCACTCCTGGGTGATTGTTCTTCCCCAGGTTTTTGCTGCTGCAGTGCTGTGCCCCTGGCTGAGAATGGCATCAAAGCAGAAATTAAAGTCAGTAATTAAAGCAAGGTGGCTCTGGAAAGAGAGAACAAATAAAGGGTAATTAATTAGGGTGGCTTTGGCCCCAGTAATCTCCAAATAAATGTTGCCTCCCCTAATCCTCATCTGCTGGTCTCCAAGTCATTAAGTAGAGTTTTGATTTGCCTGTGGCTATTTTTTCATCTTAAACATTGCAAGCAGTGCGTTTCCAAGAAGTTACAGTGGGGTGGTTAACCTTTACATATTAAGGAAAGATTGAGGCAATACGGAATAAGAGTTAATGGAATTCTGAGCGCACATGGAATTTAACAAACAAGATGAAATCTAGTATGAACTGTGACCTCAGTCTTAAGATGTACATTTGTACACACTCTTCCTCCCTGTTTTTCCCAATTATTTTATTTTTCTCTTTTCTTTTTTATTCTTTTTTTTTTCTTTATACTTGGATTTTTTTTTTGTTTCTACTGTGTTAACAGATCATGATCACCATTCTGCTAAAAAAAAAGTCTTTAGCATTTTCACCTTTAACAACATGAATATAGAGCAGGCATAATTGCAGCCATCATTTTGGTCACTGGCATAAATCAGCCACTCAGATTTTTTATCTAAGGAATAAAAGTTCTGTGTTATCCCAGAAATACATATTTGTAAACTCTCTTGTAGTAATTCAGGCAAAGTATCAAAAGATACTTCAGCGTTTCTTATTTTTTTTTCAAAGTATCAGAACTGTGCCTGGCTGAAGTTTAATATCAGTTATTGTGTTTTCTTACAGAAAATTAATACTCATTAAACTTCAAAGTGTTTTTTTAAACAATTTCATTATTTCAGATTTAGAATTCTTAGTTGTCATTCTCTGTAGTTGCAGAACCAGCACCTCCCGTATTTTCTCCGGGGCATTCTGGTTAACACCTTCAAAGCCCATCAAAAAAAAAAAAGGTTATGTGTTTTGCTTTATACCACTTCCCTGTGGCCAAGCAAATTTTACCAGTAAGAGAGCAATACTAAGAGAAATACACTCCTGAGCCCATTTCCTGATTGCCCTAAAAGTGAACAAAAATAGAAATTCCTTTAACTATATCAAGAAGAATGTTCTTCTGTTCTCTTTCTTACACTTGCTTATCATGAAAAAGCCTAAAGAAAACTGGGAATTTAATCACACTATTGCTTAAACACATGGTCTCCAAGTGTTTTGGATTATGAACCTCCTTGGTAGAAGATTTTTTAGTACATCTGCCAGTAAAGCATTTTATTTGTAAATTCTATACAAATTCTCCTATATGCTGGATACTTTATGAAACATGCCCTAAAGACAGGTCCTTAAGGTGGACATGCATCCAATTGACTCTGCTCTTCCTCTTGTCATGGGGTTGGTGCTGGAGATCTCTGCAGTGTACCCATAAGAAGAATCCTGGCCCTCAGCAGTGTCCATGTGGTCGGGCCTCCCAGTCTCCATGTGATGGTGCGGGCCAGTGCCTGGCATCCTGCTAGGCCCCCCACAGCAAGGACATAGGAAGCACATCCGGGAATGTGACACCCACAGAGCACACATGTGGCCCTCAAGCACAGTGCTTCCCCTGAGGCCTGTGAGAAATGTCATCACAACCCTACACCACCTCCTGTGACCACAATGAATGGCCTGGCCTTTGCTCAAACCACAGACAAAGGCTGCCCTTCAGTCTGTCACACCAGAAGCCATGGCCTTTTGATGCCCTGGTGAATTCTGGCTCTTGGTTTGCATCAGATGAGCCCCCACTGGTGCAGTTCTCCGAATTTTGGTGTCATTGACTTGCACAAGCTTTTGTCTACATCTCTGGGGAGCTGCAGAATAAGCTGCATTGTCCTCATGAAGCTTTTGTTGTAGTATGAAGATTGCCAAGTCCCAACATGACTATGATGCCAAGCAGACTATGGTGACAGCGGGAGGTGGGAGTCACCAGGTTACAGGTGGGAAAGAACACTTAGTTGGGGGATGGGGGAGCTCCTGGAGGAATTGGACTTAATGATAGGCTTTAAAGGATGAACAAGAGTTCAACAGGCAGGAATGAGACAGGGAGGAGCTGGCTGAGGAGCTTTAGAAAGTGGGTACTGCAGAGGGGGTCCCTGGAGGAGGTATGGACACTGGTTGGAGAAGAAGCTCCCACTGCCCTGCCTACCCCAGCTGTCTCCTCATGGGTACCTTGCTTCCCCCTCGCCCCTTCGCTGTATTCTGAACACAGAAACCAGAGTACTTCTGTAATATGGAAATCATGTCATAACAGACCATGCTAACCTTTGCTCAAACCCCCTTATGGCTCCCACTTCTGTAGAATACAAGCCAGGGTCCTTCCAATGGCTAAAGGTCTCTCTTGTCCTCATTCCCAACCACTTTCTCCATGACCCTCCTCCGCAGCCACCCTGAGCCTCCTTGCTGGGCTTGCAGCATGCCAGATTCTCCTGCCTCAGGGCCTCCACACCTGCTGTTCCCTGGGCCAGAATGCTGTTCCCCAGCATCCAACGGTTCACTCCCCTACCTGCTTCAGGTCCTCATGCACTCGCATGTCCCCTTCTCAAGGATGCCTTCCCTGGCCGGGCTTGCTTTCACCACTTTTCCAGCTTTTCTGCCCCTCCGCGCTGCTCTGTTGCCCACACTCAAGGCTGTCTAAACATACTGTGGATTGTACCCATCTATCTTGTTTTGTGTCTTTTTTCCCCATCTGGAATGTAAGCTCCAAGAGGGCGGGGAGTTTTGTCTGTTTTGTTCATATTTGAATTCCTAGTACCTAGAACAGTGTTTAGACAAATGAATGAATAAATGGAGGGATGCGTGAATGAATGTGAACCAGAAGGCTTAGGTTCAACTTCAGGAGCAAAGGGAAGTCATTGAAGGTTTGTTTTGTTTAAATATAGCATGTTACCTTTTATTTACTTAAAGTGGGGGAAATAAAATCATAATTGCTTTTATTTGATTAAAAAAACCCCAAAATAATAAAAATGGTTTAAAAAAATGAGGTTACACCTAACAGGCAGAGTGAGAATGGAGTGGACAGGGACAGAGGTAGGAAAAGCTTTCTCAGTGTATCCTATTTAAGTATATTTTGGGCCTGGCGCGGTGGCTCACGCCTGTAATCCCAGCACTTTGGGAGGCCAACGCAGGCAGATCATGAGGTCAGGAGATCAAGACCATCCTGGCTAACACGGTGAAACCCCATCTCTACTAAAAATACAAAAAATTAGCCGGGCGTGGTGGCGGGCACCTGTAGTCCCAGCTACTCGGGAGGCTGAGGCAGGAGAATGGCGTGAACCCGGGAGGCGGAGCTTGCAGTGAGCCGAGATAGTGCCACTGCACTCCAGCCTGGGCGACAGAGCAAGACTCCGTCTCAAAAAAAAAAAAAAAGTTTATTTTGTTTTTTATCATATGACTGTATTATCAAATTTTAAAAATATTTGTTTAAATGAGACTGATAAGGTGGGCAGTGGGGGGTTGGAATTTGCAATGTTCGAAAGTAAGATCCAGGAAAACTATCCAAAGTTCTACTCATCTTAGTGGCAGGGTTTACACTTCATTTATCTATTCTTTTCTAGAGTATCTACAATCATATCTATCATGTAAAAGGCTATTCAGTATTTGCTGATCAAATGAATGGATATGTGAATGAGATGACATCTGTCGTCAAATGTATGAATGACTCTTGTGTCAAAGAGGAACTAGTTTTTAGTTCTATGTGATCAAAGTAGAAGCAGTGGATGACAGTGACAGGAAGAAAGACATCAGTTTGTTTCTTTAGCTGGCATTTTTGAGAGACTATTTTGTACCAGCACCAGGACTATCAAGTGGAATAAGATGTGGCTCAAGCCGTCAGGAGGTTCACCGTTTAGAACCAGGGTGTCATCACATAGGTGGTCACCTACTGAAGTGAGCACGGTGCTGGAGACAGACGTAGGAAGTTTGGAGAGTGCTTAACAAACCTTGGACAAGGGTATGAGTGGGTTTGGGGTGACAAACATTTTTTGCTTGGCCAAATTTGGGTCAGGTTTCTGAACCTTTTCCTAGGCTCACCTGTGCACTTCCTTATAAAACCCAGTTTTAGCAAAGAACCCCGCAAAGTCAGTTTAACAGGAACCCCCCCACCCTTAATATCTGATTGGGTTCTTCATCTTCTACCATCCGTCAGGTGATGTCTGATCACCCGGGCCTGTCTTCAGCAAGAATCCTATTAGGTCAGCTTAGCCAGAGTCCTCTTTACCCCGATGCCTCCTCTTAGTAATTTTCCACCACTGACCCTGACACTGCTTCTTGGCCATGCTGTATTCGGAGTTGAGCTCAATCTACCCCCGCCCCCAGCCCCCACTGCAAGACCTGGTTGTGGTGGTCTCTATACCCATCGTGGTGGTCCTGAATAAAGTCTGCCTTGTCGGGCTTCAGCAGGCATCATTGAATAATATTTTTTTAACACGGGGGGTCATTGTTGGCTTCCTGGAGAACGACATGCCTGCACTCAATCTTAAGGAAGGAAAGGAAAGGGGAGAAAGGAGGAATAATCCAGGGAGAGGGAGAGCACGAGCAGAGACTTGGGGAAGAGAAGAGGGGAGTGTGTTTTGAGGCATATAAGCCATTTGTCTTGGAGGAACATAAAAGTGAGAGCAGCACTGGCAGGATATGTGACAAGAAAGACACAAGACGACCTTGAACAGTCTGCCTGGGCTACAGCAGGAACAGTGCTTATCACTGAAGCTTATACAGCGGGAGAGGAACGTGACCGAGCTTGGTCAGCATCAGGGATTTTTATGTGTCAGACTTGCACATTATGTTGGAGTGGTAAGACACAGGCCAAGCGAGGCCAGTTGGGAAGATATTACAGTTGCTGAGGGCTGCCTACCTGCAGCACTATGCACGGTGAAGGATGGGATAGAGAACCTACAGGACTTTCTGTGGACCTGCAGGGCACATAGGAGGACATCCAAGGTGCCCTGGACCACCCAGAGAGATGGGGAAATGAGCTACAGTACCACAGGGCATTGGCCCAAGGCGGGCATAGTTCCTTGGAACAAGCGTGGAATCTGCAATGAAAAGCCCAGAGTGAGTTCCGGCTCTCCTAAACATAGTGTGTGCCACTCTGAACCTCAATATCTTTATCGATGAAATCGGAAATAGAAAGGCAACTGATGTGCTTTAGCCGCCACCTGTGTTTCAGGCATTGTGCTAGGCACTTTGCCACCATCACTAGATGAATCCTCTCCACAACTCTGAATTTGATATTAATCCCTCTTAAAAGTTGAGAATAAGAACCTTCTCCTTAGTTAATAATGCCTTTTAGACCACAAAGTGGTAAAGATGAGGAAGAGAGCAAACCCTTGTGGGGTTGTTTTTTGTTTTGTTTTGTTTTTGTGTAGTAACTTAGGCTGGGGAACAATGCTCCACATTCTATAGGGAATGGTTACACATGTGAAGTAACAGTAAAACTACTTTACCACTTTGGGAGGCCGAGGCGGGTGGATCACGAGGTCAGGAGTTTGAGACCAGCCTGACCAACATGGTGAAACCCCATCTCTACTAAAAATACAAAAATTAGCTGGGCGTGGTGGCAGGCGCCTGTAATCCCAACTACTTGGGAGGCTGAGGCAGGAGAATCGCTTGAACCCAGGAGGCAGAGGTTGCAGTGAGCCAAGATCACGCCATTGCACTCCGGCCTGGGCGACAAGAGCAAAACTGTCTCAAAAAAAAAAAAAAAAAAAAAAAAAAACTATTTCACTATCTTAGAAGCAAAAAACTGAAATAAAATGTAACTGTCATCATTTTCATTCACAAGAGAGCCTTTGCAAGTTGCCTCATTTTTTGCTCAGTGTTGGAAGTCAAAACTCAGTTTCTGTCTTTGGTCAGTTCATGTTGCAGACAGCTTCACAGGGGGCACATTCTTGGTGCAGTTGTCAACTCCTTAGAGTTCATAATGGATGTGCTGAAGTCATCCTAATGATGCTTTCAGAATGCTGTAATGGGAATGATGGAATTCATCATAAACCTTAATTTTTCCTCACTGAAAATGGAAACTTCCTAATGGAAACTGTTTGGAGCCAGAGGAGGCAAATGCAGGTTAAAAAGACTCATTTATGATTTTTATGGTGTGAGTGGAAGAAATGCAAAACTTCTAAAGCTCTCAGTTGACTAAAACATTCATTTACTTTAACTTCTGGGTTCAGTTTTATCATGTTGAGTGCAGGTTTTAGAATGCTTCTCAAGAGCTCTAATGAGACTATATTAGTCCGTTTTCACACTGCTGATAAAGACAAGACATACCCAAGACTGGGAAGAAAAAGAGGTTTAATTGGACTTACAGTTCCACATGGCTGGGGAGGCCTCAGAATCACGGCGGGAGGTGAAAGACACTTCTTACATGGCGGCAGCAAGGGAAAATGATGAGAAAGCAAAAGTGAAAACCCCTGATAAACCCATCAGATCTCGTGAGACTTATTCACTATCACGAGAATAGCACAGGAAAGACTGGCCCCCCATGATTCAATTACCTCCCCCTGGGTCCCTCCCACAATATGTGGGAATTCTGGGAGATACAATTCAAGTTGAGATTTTGGTGGGGACACAGCCCAACCATATCAGAGGTCTTGCTGTGGGTCTTGCTCTGCTTTCTTCAGATCACTGACATCCAACCAGCAAGCAAGAATCAGGAATATACTTGCCTCCAAAACCACAAGGAATATACAAGTAGGAAAGTCAGCTTTTTAAATACTTGCTTTGGATCCGTTTTTATTCTCAGTGGGGAGAATCACTATTTATAAAGTAAATTCATTTGCATAGGACCTTTAGAAATGCAAGTTCACGTATAATAGACATGCAGTCAAAGACAGACTCTCTTAGCAAGAATTGTCAGATAAGCAGATGAGGAGGCATTGATATGAGCATAAGGCAGTCTTACCCTATGGGTACAGGGACAGGTGTCCCAGGAAACCCTGTGCTTTGCCCTGTTGGCCAACCAGAGTGTCCAAGTGCCACTAAGGATTCCTGCTACTCAGCAAGACGCACTTTGGAAACTCAAATCTGCTCCATACCTCTCACATTTTAGCCAAGGAAAACCAAGGTGGCAGATCCTAAGTGCCCTCCCCCTGATCCAGGGCTCTGGTACAATTTGTGAACCAGTGATTTTTTTGCCAGAGAACATGCATTCCAGTCTCCCTACAAAGTGGCAGCCACCATTTTGACCGGCTCTTACTCCTGATCTAAAAATGGAAGTGCTCAAGTTTACTAAATTCAATTCAGATAGATAGAACCGATCAATTCAAAGGCAGATATAGAATTACATGTTTTTGGGCAATCTAGTGAAAGATTTATCATTTCTATGAGCAAAGACAGTTGAATAATCTTCAAATACCTCACCGTTCTTTTTTTTTTTTTCCATCCATATAACGAAATCAAAATTGTATATTCGGGTGAGCCCACACTGTTGTCTCAGATGAACAGAGATGTTTGAGATTTGCCCACAAAATTGAGCTGGAACTTTGTGTCATGATTTTAAAAGAGAAAAGAAGACAGTGAAATCAGCCTCTTGTGTCTAAATTAGCCTCTTCTGTCTCTTCTGATCACCTTTTAATGGAATTTGCCCAGGTGCATGCCAGGAGAAGAGAAAAGGGGGAGACAAAGAGTTGGAGAGGGGGAGGGAACATCAGAGAAGTTCCAAGCCCCTCTGGAGGAGTGGAATGCAGGACTGTGTCTGCTCCCCTCACCTCTGTTTCCCCTTAGCCTCTCCTGCCCACCACCACAATCTTCATGTGCCTGCTGGACAGACAAAGGCTCCCTGTACTGAAAATGCAGGACTGCAAGCATACACATTCCCTCTCGAAGCATCATCCAGGATGACCACTTCCCCTTGGTGTTTGATGCATGTTGCATTGTTCAGTATTCTACACTTTTTTGGAATACATGCGTTTATGTCTTTTCAGGTTGGGAGTTATGGATAATTTGGCAAAGCAAACACCATAACTGGTTTCTTACATAACTCTACAGTTGGCAGCAAGGCACAGTGCGTTGAAATTAAGCAACACTCACTCATCCAAAAGGACTTTGCTTTTCCTTTTTTGGAAGGCTAAATGCCCTGCTTTGTTTCTTCCTCTTGCATGTATTTTAAATTATTGGCTGACTTTAATGATTCTTTGAAGTTAATTTTTAAATGTGAATGGCAGGATTCCATTTAACTTCTGGAAGCTTGAGAGCTGTCCCTGTGTGCCCCTAAATCAGAGAATGCTTAAATAACTTGAGTGCTTTTAGGTGATAATAAAATTGGAGAGAGTGAGAAGAACATAGGACCCAGGCTGCCATAGGGATCTAAACTGGTAAAATACTTAGAAGGTTCAAGAGTTGCAACCTTTTGAAAGAACTAGAGTCAGTCTTGCATCGCAGAGCACTTCTCCAAACCAGGCATCTTCCCTGCATCTTCCCTTTCAATTATAGTGTACATTCTTTCCATTTCTTCTTCCTTTCCTTTTTTTTTTTTTTTTTACATTTAGTTTATGAGTCTTTAAGCAGGACCTCTTAACCCATTTATGCCTAGTGTTCCATTATTGGAACGCTAAGCATGTGGGAGTTATTTATATCCTATTGCTCAAGGTCATTGCCAAGGTCTGATGGCAAAAATTCAAAAAATTGCAACCTCTGGCATAAATGGGTTAATGCTTCTTTGCTCAGTTTCAAAGGCTAGATTGCTCAGTTTCAAAGGCTAGTGTTTTTGTATCCTTTGCCTGAATTCAGTAGTGCTTTGAAAATGATCGAAGTGTTTCATATCCCCAGTTCTCAAATTATAATAATGAAGTTTTCAAATGAAAATCCTAGGATTGTTTTAGGTTCTGTTTGCTCCATTCCACTGTGGGATACAAGTAGAAATTGGGACATTCATCCAATAAAATGTCACTGGGGAAAAAAATTTTAACTACACTTCAAAATGATTCCTCTTTTTGTCCTTTAAAATTTTTATTGACCAAGACAGATTTCAAAATGTTTTCTCTAATACCCCAAAGTGAAACTTTGATTGAGGTTTTCAGGAAATTCCAGGGATCAAGTATGTCACCCGGACTTTGGTTTCCAGGTTTCCCAAAGCCTTGAAATTTCCCTACAGTCTAATTGCTGTTTATTGCCACAGACCTTCATCCTTTTTCTTTTGTAACATTTTCCATCTTAAGAAGGGTCGTCCCATTCGGCCGAGGAGCGTGTTGTCTGAGTAGCTGAATGGAATTACTACCAGTGGAAACTATGCTGCAAGAGAGGTTGATAAAGCAGCTGTGAAGCAAACCTCAGCTGTTTTTTCCATTCTCCCCAAGCAAAGTTAATTAGCATAGGGAAAATGACTAAGGTGTTGACGTCACCTCTTTCCAGTAGAAACTTACACTTTGTCCCTGTCTGCCTGCAAGCATGCAGGACTTGACTCAGGAATTTGCTGTCCAAACAGGATGCTGTGGAAGCTGCACTTTTTTTTTCCCCAGGGAGTGGGGGCTGGCCCTTACTGCTTTATAAGCACCAGCTCAAGAAGGAACCTACAGCCTCTTGGAAAGGAATCTCACTAGGGGCTTGACTGCGTGGGTCTGTAGCGCTTTCACTGTAAGAAAGCAAGATGCATTTTAGAAACTTTAACTACAGTTTTAGCTCCCTGATTGCCTGTGTGGCAAACAGTGATATCTTCAGCGAAAGTGAAACCAGGGTAAGGCTTCTAATATAACGTGATTTTCTTTAGTTTTCAAAGCATTATGCTAACTGGGACTATTAACTGAATACTTGGGAGAATGTGGCTCTCTTGTGGGTTTGGGGGTTTTGAAAGAAATCCAAAGTCTTTCGAGCCTTGAAAATCAAAAGCTGTTGCCTGAGGAATTAACTGAGGAAGGAATTTCTAAAGATCTCAATATTTGACAACATCCAGGCCCCTGAACCAACTCACTAGGAAGGCGAGAGTTGGGGCATCGTGTGTTTTTCATTCTGTGTATGTTGTAAGTGAACTTTTCAGAAAGAGGCCTCTTCTGACAGTGAATAGTGTTTTACTTTTGTAGCCAGCGTTGTGAATAATTTCATTTCGTCTTAGGAAATAAATGTTATAAAGATATTTGTATGTTTGTAGTAATTATGAGGGCCTGGCCTCAAGCTCCCAGATTTCTCTAACAAGAGAAAATGCCGCCAGAGCAAATAATAAAACTGGAGAAATTAAGTGTGAGATCAGTGTGCCTCCTGGGCAGCAGCTCTCTTTGATGGTGATTAATATAATCATTTTAATCACTACACTTTTCTTCTTCATTTGATTAAAATGTAAGTTTTTTCATCAGCAGCTATCCGGCTAATTGAGCTTTAATAATACTGTATAGGAATGAATCCTGTATGCTCTATTTGAGGGGTGGTATTTGTGCCTGGTGGTGTTATATGCTTTATATCCAAAGCCATATTGGGACATGCGAAGGTTTCTTTTTTTAAAAAAAATCAAATGTAACTCCATAATTGTATATAATGCTTATGGGCTCGCACCATAGTGTTTGGACTAGATTGCAGAGCACATTCTATGTTTTTAAAGTACTACAAAGTGAGTTCACTTAACATGAGCCTTATGTGAGTAAAATCACTATTTTTTAAATGAAGTAGAGATGCCATCCAAAAGCTATAATAACTAGGTATCAGTTATTAGAACAAATAAGATTCTTTTATAAGAGAAAGGCATCATAGTAATCTAGATTTTAAAGATAATGTGAATTCTCTTTTGTTCTGGTCCTAAGCCCTGAACCTGTATTCTAAAAATATTCTTCAAAGTCATCTCTCCCAAATTCTGAATCATAACTTCAAAACTAAACAGTGGGTCACAGTGCCTATTGATGAGGTCATACAAAATTCCAAATGTACGAAGACACACTTTTGCCAGAAACTTGCCCGTGCTCAAGAGAGGTGGGGAAAAAGAGTGAGAGGCGGCCAGATGAACTCTACCGTCCGCCAGCTCCGCGTTCCTTCGCACGTGCCTCTGCGGGATCCCTCGTGGGAAAGTCTCAGAAATGTCCCTAAACTGAAGAAAAGCCGGGGAATGCAAGGAGAGCAAGGTCGTAGGTTGTTCCGACTGCTCCTTAACGACCTGCCTGGCAGGGACCGACTACCCTGCTCCTACCCGCAGCCCCATGTGGAGCAGGCATCCACCAGTGCCTCCCCGCGCTTGCTAGCAGTGAACATTCCTGAAGACACTCTCCTCTCTTATCCTGAATCCTCGCTCCCACTGCAGAGACACTGCGCCTTCCATAGGTTCTCCAAGGTCCTCAGTGAGCTCTGTCCGCGCTGCCTACCATCCACACCCTGCGCCATCCCCTTCTTCCTGGCCAGCCCCTTCTGCCTTTCACACGGGCTCCCACAAACTGTCCTAAGTGTTTTTGCCTGGTAAAAAGATTCACAAAACCCGGCGACTAGAAGCCCATGCAGTCTTCCTTGGAGCTTTGACTGTCCACCAGTTAAACTCCCTCTCTGAGGAGTTGCAGTGGCCCCCAGCTGCCCCCACCGACAGCCACACTCCAGGACCCAGCCTAGGGGGCTGTCCCCTGAGCAACCTAAGCTTGTAATCCCCCACCTCGAGCTTTGCATTCTAAGAGCTCAGGACATCTCCTAATTCTCACTAGCCCTATGGCACCAGAGCGAGGTGTGCACAGACACGAAAGCCAGGATGCAGAAAATGGTCCATTTGCAGAACATTAATTTTTAAACCAGTATCATTTTAGAGAGTTAAAAAGTAACAGACTGAGATAAAAGCGATCGTGGAAATTTTTAAAAACTACTTATTTTAAGAAATGCAAAACTTTCTACCAACTTTGTTATTTTTCAAGTCAGTATTTCTTTTTTTCAAATTAGCTGCAGTTCTTTTAAGCCTTAAAGAAATCTTTGATATATGCAACACTGCCCTGAGCTGAACGGTGGGGTTGGAGTTGGCTAGCCGGGGAAGGCTATAGGACAGAGAAAAAAGGGGGGGTGAGTGGGGGAAGGCCATAGGACAGAGAAACATGGGGAGCAAATTACCAAACTGTACCTCCCTGGAAAATGCTCATTCTACTTTTTAAAAAAGTTTGTTACCGTAAGTAGTGTCTATGTATTGGCAACTGTTCTGCTGATTCGATGAATGTAATAAATCATACCTTCTTACCTTCTTGTAAAATCACCTGCATTGGGACTAAAGGCCATAGTCCCCTAAGAGGGGAAAGGCTTTTCTCTAAGAAAGAAGTTAGGAGTTCTTGAAAGGATTGATGATCCACTTCCTCAGTAAAAAATGTATTGAGGAGGCCAGGCACGGTGGCTCATGCCTGTAATCCCAGCACTTTGGGAGGCCGAGGGATCACCTGAGGACAGGAGCTTGAGACCAGCCTTGCCAACATGGCAAAGCCCCGTCTCTACTAAAAATACAAAAATTAGCCAGGTGTGCTGGCAGGCACCTGTAACCCCAGCTACTCGGGAGGCTGAGGCAGGAGAATCACTTGAACCTGGGAGGTGGAGGTTGCAGTGAGCCAAAACTGCACCACTGCACTCCAGCCTGGGTGACAGAGCAAGACTCTGTCTCGAAGAAAAAAAAAAAAGTAATGACATCATCTAGTCAAGGGTCATATGCAGGTAAATTTCAACTCCTTTTATTTTTATTGTTATTTTTCAGGCCAAATTTGAGTCCCTCTTTAGGACGTATGACAAGGACATCACCTTTCAGTATTTTAAGAGCTTCAAACGAGTCAGAATAAACTTCAGCAACCCCTTCTCCGCAGCAGATGCCAGGCTCCAGCTGCATAAGACTGAGTTTCTGGGAAAGGAAATGAAGTTATATTTTGCTCAGGTGAGTTGGGTTCATTGCTATGCATGCTTCTCCCTCCTCCCTCCCTCCCTTTTGTAAAGCAGCTTATACGTTGCTTATGTTATATGCTGACCGGAAACTCTGAGACTTCACCTTGAGAAAGACAAAATTCCTACTCTGAATGTTCAGCGTCTCACTTGTTTTAAGAAGATATCAAGGTGCATTTGAAAGCAACCTCAGACATTGCCCCTGACCTTCCTGGGTTGATAA
Organism: Homo sapiens; assembly: GCF_000001405.40. NCBI lineage: Eukaryota > Metazoa > Chordata > Mammalia > Primates > Hominidae > Homo > Homo sapiens. The sequence goes on along the minus strand of NC_000021.9, from coordinate 34,523,308 downwards.
TGATGGGGGAAAGAAAGCCTTCCCTGTTCACTGGGGAGCTTGCAGGGTGCAGCGGGGTAGGCGTGGCTATGCAAACACCCTAAGGTTTGCGCAGCAGGTTTCCATGAATTTGCTCAAGGGTTGGAGCTCATGACCCACTCTAGACTGAGCAGACCAGAGTGGTTCCCTGCTCATGTGGTGCTGGGGGTACTCAGCAGAGAAACAGGAGTCTGCAGAAGATGCCTGCAAATCAGCCCAGGACTGCCAGGTCTGGCTTGAAAGGAAAATAGGGGATAACCAGACTGGGCGCAGATGCTAAGAAACCCTCTGGTTGGCAGGGTTCCCAGCCCCAGGGCACCCACGGCAGGGAGAGGGGTAGCTGGGGTTGGGCTTGCCTTTTCTCCTGCCCACTACCATTTTGACCCTCCTCTGGGGAACTTAGGACAGGTGACCCACCTTCAAGGCAGCTCCCAGAGTTCCATTTGATGTCCTTAGGGGCTGACAGATTGTCAGGGAAGAAGAGAGGAGCTTCTAGAATGCAGCCAGCTCCTCAGTAAAGCAAGTCCCCCTCAGGCTCTGAGCACCCCCCCAACCCGCCCCCACCACACACACACATACACACATACCTTGCTGGGATGGGAGAGGACCCTGTCCAAAGGCCTCCCCCAGTGGGAGGAAGCTCATCTGACACCACGCCAGAGAGCCAAAGTGTCTTTTCTTCCTCAAAGTGAGGACAGCGAACTTGCTGGGCCCTTCAAGTATAAATAAAGCATTTGGGATCCCCGCCCCACCCCTGACCTTTTTGCCCTGGGAGGCACAGGCTGAGCTTTGACCTTGGGTGCCTAGGCCTTCCTGTGTGAGTACACTCCTTTCTGCACGGGATAAGATTTTATGCAAATAATTACTTAGTACTCCTCTGACCTTTTCTGTTTGTAAAACAATGCATATTCATTGTGAAAACTTGGGGAGGGCAATCTGGAAGTGCAGAGAAAACCTACACCGCGCAGCTTGAGATGTAAGAGCTCTATGGACAGCCCTCTCATCACTGGTCAGCATTTCTAAAACCAAACTAGGATCGTAGGTTATTGTTCCTTATTCTTATTTCTTAAAGTCTCCTGGGAAGTGGCTTTTTTTTTTTTTTCTGGCATCTGATCCAGAGTCCCGGAGAGGGAGGTGCAGAGCTGCTGCTGGGTGGGGAACCCTAGGGGCAGGTGGAGCCCTGGCTCCCTGTCCCTGAGAAGCTGTGTCCTCTCAGAACTGTGGCCTAGGCTTTGGACTTTCAGAGCTTGCCTCTGTGGTATGAGGAGCGGGGAGAGACTGATTCCAAGAGCCCTCCTGACCTCAATGACAGTGACTTAAATTTCCATATATACTAAAGTCACCTCTGCTGATTTTCTGTCCATCTAGGTCAAGCGTAATTATTTGCAGTCCCTGTGCCTGTGACTCCCATAGCCCTGGGAGGGGGCTGTCATCCTATCTGTGCCACAACCAGAGTTCATATGTCCTTTTGCCCTCCCCATTACAGACCATCTTACAATTGGTCCTGGAATCACACCTGTCCTGACGCCTGGACATTGACCTGCCCATCTCCCGGAACTGGCGTTAGGTGCTGTTGCCTCACTGCAGTTCTTCCCTGGCAACAACTGACCTGTGCTTATTTTCTCTCCTCAGACCTTACACATAGGAAGCTCACACCTGGCTCCGCCAAATCCAGACAAGCAGTTTCTGATCTCCCCTCCCGCCTCTCCGCCAGTGGGATGGAAACAAGTGGAAGATGCGACCCCAGTCATAAACTATGATCTCTTATATGCCATCTCCAAGCTGGGGCCAGGTGAGCAGGGCCCTCGGGTGGGAGGGAGGCAGGGGGAGACACAGCTGCTGCCCTGCACCAGGGAGCAGTACCACCACTACCCCCGTAGCTCTCCTGAGCCCATGCCGGCATGTTTTGTGAGCTTCTCTGTATTCTTCTGCGCCACCGTCCCTTGTGCTGGGAGCATGCCTGCCTCTTGGCACCACCTGCAGTGTTAGAGAGACTGCGGCTGATCGTGGGGACCCTGCATCACGCCCCTCCACCCCCCGCAGTGTCCCAGGAATCCATTCCTGTGTCCACTGAGCACAGCCTGCGTGGGAGGCCTGAGCCCCGGCCCCAGGTTCTGTCGCTCCGGATAGGGATGAGTGATTGGACTTTGGAAAGGGAAAATCGATGCCCCCTTTAAGAAATGTTATTTTTAATCAAAATAAATTCTCCCTTTCCTGTGATTCTCACCTGGCCTTCTTAAAGGAAAAGGGAAGGAGAACCATAGGCCATGGTGAGGGAAGGGCCGCGGTCGGGCTGCCCTACCCCAGGGCCTGTGGGCTGGTCCCCTACAGAGCTTGCTAAAGAAAGAGGAAGTTCCCGTCCTCTGGAGGGACAAAAGTGTGAGCACTGCGGGGAGGGGGTAGGTTCCTCAGGCTCTTTGTCCAAAATGTGGGCCTTAACTGGTGGAATTGTGAGCAGTAGATGAGATCATCGAGTGAAAGGCACTTCCATCAGCACCTGGCTCACAGTCAGTGTTCAATGCAGGATTTTTGAAAACCATAAAATGTTGGTGGTTCCTGTCCTGTCCTCTAGGGTTTGGGTGAGGAGGCAGGTGTGAGGGAGAGTCTTGGGGTGAAGAGGTTTGAGCCTTCTCCTGCTCTGTCCGTGGAGCAAGTCAAATAAATGCTGAGACCGTCAGCTCCTCATTTCTCCTTGACCAGCAATCTGATGTTCCCTTGGGTTGAGGGTTTTGTTTTCTTGGTCCATCAGCAGTTTCATATTGAAAAGATTACATTTCTGAAAACATTGTCCAAACGGAAATTCCCTCTGTGGGATAAAGCAAGACTCACATTACTTACTGCTAATTGTGGCGTGAAGGTCAAGATCAGAAATGGCCATTTTGAGGAAGCGTGTGCTCCCCCCACAGCAGCTCCTGGCCCGGGGGCATGAGCATGGCTGAGGGTGTGGAGTCTTCCCCTAGGTTAGGAATGGGAGAAAACAGGGTCTCCACTTGCAAAGAGGTGTCCACAGTTCCAGAGGCAAATGCTGTTAATAAAAATTCTGCATACTCCAGAATATACCACTTCCTTCACCGAGGGCTTATTGGAGAAGGCTTTTTAGGAAATAGACGTAATAAAATCAGTTTGTCCTTGGTTCACTTAACAGTGAGCTTGAGTGAGATTTCATATTTCACCTGTGCTTTTCAACCAACAGGATTGCGGAGATTTTGCAAATTATGGTCCTAAACCCTGAGCTTTCTGGATTTTCGATGATTAGTAGGTAGATAAGAGACTTGCAAAGAGGTAGATTTGTAAGAGGCTCTTAACCAGCATTTTCAGCAATCCATCTGACCTCCCATGCCTGAATTCTCTCTCTCAGAGAGCTGAGCTCCTTTGCCTTTTTCAGTGCAGTTATAATAACATTCCAGTCCCACATGTGATAGAGAAAAGATCACCACCTTCCTTATCAGTAAAAGTACCTTCCAGGTTTAGAGGAGTAACCAGTGTGGCTGGAGGTAGGAAGCTCTCCTGGGCCGCTCTTGTCGGGCGGAAATCACACAGTGGTTGGTGCGGTGCCTCCTCGCTTACCCGAACTGCAAAGAAATCCCAAGCACAGGCCGGGCGCGGTGGCTCATGCCTGTAATCCCAGCACTTTGGAAGGCTGAGGCAGGCGGATCACGAGGTCAGGAGATCAAGACCATCCTGGCCAACATGGTGAAACCTCGTCTCTACTAAAAATACAAAAATTAGCTGAGTATGATGGCATGCGCCTGTAGTCCCAGCTACTTGGGAGGCTGAGGCAGGAGAATCACTTGAACCTGGGAGGCGGAGGTTGCACTGAGCCGAGATCTTGTCACTGCATTCCAGCCTGGGCAACAGGCAAGACTCTGTCTCAAAAAAAAAAAAAAAAAAAAGAAAGAAAGAAAGAAAAAGAAAAAAGAAAAGAAAAGAAATCCCAAGCACAAAGCCCTGGAAGAAAACTGACCATGAGGCCACACCCTGTGGGTGGAGCAGGTTGAAGCAAACCTCCTGCCCCTATTTCAGATCCCTGCCCAGCAGGGCACCAATAACGATGCAGTCTCCATTCTTAAACATCTTTCTAGGTGACATGGGCTGGACAAGCATGTGGTGAGCCGGGTTCTCATTGCCTCGGGCACTCACTCATGCTGTTAGCTCCATGAAGTCAATACCTTTACCGTCTCCTTTACTGAGGAGGGAACTGAGGTGCACAGGGAAGCAGAATAAAGTGCCCATGAGCCCTGGGTACTAAGGAGCCAGGCTCAGAGCTGCCTTCATGAGCACCAGAGATGCACACTCTTCCCGTGGCCAGAGCGGCACCCCAGCGGGAGGCCCCAGTCCCTTCATTCTACATTGCCGGGTTTTTCAGTTGCAGAAAGCTCTCCCCACCCTTGCTGGACCAGAGTGGCCTGAACTTGGCCAACCTGGTAGAACTCAGGCTGACATAGAACAGCAGGACACTCCTGGTCCCGGGGATTAGAAGTTGTTCTAAGGAAAAGATGCCCAGGTCAAAAACGTTTCCAGAGCACCTGGCTCCGTGCAGCCACCCCTGCGTCTGCTGCAGGGCCTCCTGTGGCGCCCTTCCTGGGCGTGCACTGCGACCCTCAAATAGGAGCTGCATGAGGGAGGCCCAGGGTTCTGTTTCCAAATACGTTTCTTCATCCATCTTTTTCCTGAACCGAAGTTTCTCACATTCACACTTGAGGAAATGCTGACAGAAAGGGAGTTCTCTGGGTAGTTTAGATATCTGGTGGACATGTGAAGTATAACTAGAAAAATGCATTCCTTCTATACTTCTCATGTGCCTGGACTCCCAGAATGTTTGACTAAAAACAGAGTCATGCACAATGGAAATCTCTCTTTTTCTGAATGAGCTAGCAAAGAAATACAAACCCAAAATATGTCTGGCTGTGTCTCTCAGCCCAATCGAATGGTCACGAGCAGCTGGCCCAGCAGAGCCCTGAATGCTCTTTTATGTTTGCCTTTTGACTCCCAAGGACTTGTCTGAGTGACCCTGCGATTATTTTCCCTCCTTAGGGGAAAAGTATGAATTGCACGCAGCGACTGACACCACTCCCAGCGTGGTGGTCCATGTATGTGAGAGTGATCAAGAGAAGGAGGAAGAAGAGGAAATGGAAAGAATGAGGAGACCTAAGCCAAAAATTATCCAGACCAGGAGGCCGGAGTACACGCCGATCCACCTCAGCTGAACTGGCACGCGACGAGGACGCATTCCAAATCATACTCACGGGAGGAATCTTTTACTGTGGAGGTGGCTGGTCACGACTTCTTCGGAGGTGGCAGCCGAGATCGGGGTGGCAGAAATCCCAGTTCATGTTGCTCAGAAGAGAATCAAGGCCGTGTCCCCTTGTTCTAATGCTGCACACCAGTTACTGTTCATGGCACCCGGGAATGACTTGGGCCAATCACTGAGTTTGTGGTGATCGCACAAGGACATTTGGGACTGTCTTGAGAAAACAGATAATGATAGTGTTTTGTACTTGTTCTTTTCTGGTAGGTTCTGTCTGTGCCAAGGGCAGGTTGATCAGTGAGCTCAGGAGAGAGCTTCCTGTTTCTAAGTGGCCTGCAGGGGCCACTCTCTACTGGTAGGAAGAGGTACCACAGGAAGCCGCCTAGTGCAGAGAGGTTGTGAAAACAGCAGCAATGCAATGTGGAAATTGTAGCGTTTCCTTTCTTCCCTCATGTTCTCATGTTTGTGCATGTATATTACTGATTTACAAGACTAACCTTTGTTCGTATATAAAGTTACACCGTTGTTGTTTTACATCTTTTGGGAAGCCAGGAAAGCGTTTGGAAAACGTATCACCTTTCCCAGATTCTCGGATTCTCGACTCTTTGCAACAGCACTTGCTTGCGGAACTCTTCCTGGAATGCATTCACTCAGCATCCCCAACCGTGCAACGTGTAACTTGTGCTTTTGCAAAAGAAGTTGATCTGAAATTCCTCTGTAGAATTTAGCTTATACAATTCAGAGAATAGCAGTTTCACTGCCAACTTTTAGTGGGTGAGAAATTTTAGTTTAGGTGTTTGGGATCGGACCTCAGTTTCTGTTGTTTCTTTTATGTGGTGGTTTCTATACATGAATCATAGCCAAAAACTTTTTTGGAAACTGTTGGTTGAGATAGTTGGTTCTTTTACCCCACGAAGACATCAAGATACACTTGTAAATAAAGCTGATAGCATATATTCATACCTGTTGTACACTTGGGTGAAAAGTATGGCAGTGGGAGACTAAGATGTATTAACCTACCTGTGAATCATATGTTGTAGGAAAAGCTGTTCCCATGTCTAACAGGACTTGAATTCAAAGCATGTCAAGTGGATAGTAGATCTGTGGCGATATGAGAGGGATGCAGTGCCTTTCCCCATTCATTCCTGATGGAATTGTTATACTAGGTTAACATTTGTAATTTTTTTCTAGTTGTAATGTGTATGTCTGGTAAATAGGTATTATATTTTGGCCTTACAATACCGTAACAATGTTTGTCATTTTGAAATACTTAATGCCAAGTAACAATGCATGCTTTGGAAATTTGGAAGATGGTTTTATTCTTTGAGAAGCAAATATGTTTGCATTAAATGCTTTGATTGTTCATATCAAGAAATTGATTGAACGTTCTCAAACCCTGTTTACGGTACTTGGTAAGAGGGAGCCGGTTTGGGAGAGACCATTGCATCGCTGTCCAAGTGTTTCTTGTTAAGTGCTTTTAAACTGGAGAGGCTAACCTCAAAATATTTTTTTTAACTGCATTCTATAATAAATGGGCACAGTATGCTCCTTACAGAAAAGTTGTCATTTTATTTCTAGAATAAATCTGTGAACCTTCTAAATTCTGCAGTTTAAAAGGCTTTTAAACCTTTTTAAACATTTTAAATTCAGAAGGAGACATCCTTTGTCAATTTGAGCTTAGAAACTCCTAATTCTGTGCTGTGGTTCATGGAGAGTCCACCACACTAAGAATGCATCACTTGCAAAAGAAGAAAATGGATAAAACTGAAATCAGAACTTCGAGTATTTCGTTTGTACAGGTAGATGCTACTGTGATGAAACCCCTGTTCACCAGCACCTCCACAAAACAGCAATGGTTTTGGTCATTTGAAGAGCTTTCTTTTCTATTAGAAAAGATGTCCATGGAAGATACTAAGTTATCTTCAGAAGATGCATCTGTAAGCCTTCTGTTTAATCTCTGGCAGCTTTTCCCCTGAAAGTCTCATTTCAAATGGTGGTGACCTTCCTGGGAAGCCCACAAAGGCCTAAGTAACCCAGTGTTTATTTGCTGAAATCTAGGAAATGACATTAATCCTGATCAACATTAGCATTAGGCGTTTATCTATGAAAATTCACATGCTACTTTTTTTTCTCTGTCTTGAGAACCATGATCCTGTCATTTCCAAGAGTATTTGCACATTTTCAAGCCATATATGTTCAAGGTTTAATCGTGCTGGAAAATCCACACTTCCACCAAGTTGGTCAAATCTGATTATTGGACAGATTCAGGCATTGACCCCCACTAAGGACAGGCAGGAAATATTTCCAAATAGAGACTCTCAACAGGTCCCCTTAGATAAAGGAGGGAAAAAGTCAGTGGTCCCACTGCCAGTGAAGCCAATAGACCTTAGAATAGAAAATACAAGTCAAGGAAAAGGCTCACTCAGGACAGCCTATTTCTTCTGAGTTGTTCTGTGGAAGCCTCAGCTGAAATTGTAAAACCAATAATGCACAAAGTTTCTGGTTCCCAGGCTGATGGGCCTGAAAGTAATTGAATCATGAATGTGCCCAGGACCCACGCATTGCTTTGTAGGAGAGGGGTTCAGTCAAATGTGAAACAACCGACATTCAACAGGCAGCATCATGCAGGATGCACACTTTGCCATTGATTGAAAGTGTTTCTTCAATAGGCTTTGATAGAATATGTTACTAATCTGATGGGAAACAGCTTAGGGCCATGCAAAAAAAGAAAATCAGCCCCTGGAAATGAGTGGCTAAATCAAAGCGAAGGGCAGTAGAAGGAGAGGAGCGGAGCAATTCATGGAGCTATTCAGACACAAGCTATAAACATTGATTTGAAGTCAGCAGGCATTTGGGATTTTACATTTCCAGAATATTGTGTGTGAATTACTGCCCACAGAAGATTTGGGTTTTCAGAGAGCTTTAATTTTCTGTGAAATGTGCAGAACTCACTACAAAATAAATCGATTTTCTCATATGTTAAGTTGCAGGAGATTAAAAGCACTCTATGGACGTGTTATGATCAAAAGTGAACGCGCAGCCAAAGTCTGTCACACTTCACAGTGCCCGTAGAACCCGCAGAAAGTTTGCCTGGGTATCATAGGTACATATCCAGTAACATTCACCCAAAGGTCAGTGACTCAGGTGGAAGCTGCATACATAATTACCCTAAAAATTATTCAGGAAGAAGGTCCACTATGAATAACAAGTACTCTTCCCTCCTGCCTCTCTGGCCTCCTGATTCTAAAGTAGAACAGGGAGTAGAACGTGGAGGAAACTTTTCAAGTATATCACCACTCTTGGCAATCCTTAATTCACATCTGAAATTCTCACTCCGTGACTCACCGAAAGTTACATGGCAATCAGGTAGATGGATTTGCTTCTCACATACCTCATTTTCTTCCACAATCCTTCCCTGCTGTTCGTGAAAGGTCATTTCAATCATAGCTATGTTTATGAAAGACAGAAGGAAATTATTCACAAGTGATTGAGGTGTGCTGCCTGTGCCCACCGTTTCTCCTTCTTTCAGGATTCTGATGAGGGACTCGGTGACCCTTCTACACAGCGAACGAGTGCCAAGTAGATGCAGTGGCCACTGCTCAAATCCCTCTTTCAAGAGTGTCAGGGCCCTCCTGGCTGACATTTGTACTCTGGCAGCGCAGACTTTTCAGTGTTTTTAACTTACCATGTTGTCTTTTCTCTGCCTAGAAAATGATCTCATTGTCCCAGCCCAGCCCTGCTAACCCCACAATGAGGTCCACGAGGTCCTGCTCACCCCTGTTCAAATTCCAGCAGCTACCTCTGTGCCCAGCCACAGAACATGTTTCTAGGGGCTGCTTTTCTTTTCTTGAGTGGCCCTAAGCTGTTTCTTACCAGATTAGTAATATATTCTATCAAAACCTACTGAAGAAACACTTTCAATCAGTGGCAAAGCGTGCATTCTGCACAGTTCTGCCTGTTGAATGTCGGTCATTTCACATTTTACTGAACCCCTCTCTTACAAAACAACGTGTGGGTCCTGGGCACATTCATGATGCAGTGACTTTCAAACCCATCAGCCTGGGAACCCAGAAACTTCTTGCATTATTGGTCACAATAAGCGCTACTGAAATGATTGACTCTTTAATATTTCTCCTGCAGGTGTCTATTAGGAATGTCTCTTCCCCCTAAGAATCGTTGCCAGCTACTCCCGCTGGGTCTCCCATCATGCCCCCTTCTTTTCCATTGTATGGCATATTTTCTTTTTTATCGTAATTGTTAAATTGTTTGTCTTCCCTGTTGAAACATAATTTGGGTGGAAGTGGGATTCCTGGTAGCCAATGGCTCATAGTAGACGTTCAACACGCAAGTGGATTGGATAGATGGAAGGATAGATGGGTAGATGGAAAGTTGGATGGATGGATGGATGGATGGATGGATGGATGGATGGATGGATGGATAGGGATTTTGGAGGAAGAGGAGTGAGCAGTCACTGAAAAGAATAGAAAAATAATGAGGCTTGCTCCCTCTCCCTAGTCAGAAGAGCCAGTAAGCAGCTTAGAGCTTTAATCCCACAAATTGTCAGGCAGCTGGCGCAAGAACAGGGAAAAAGAGAGAGAGAGAGAGAGAGAGACCCTGTCTGTGGTAGGTTATGGTCATCAGTGAAAAAGAACAAAAACCTTTGTTTTAAAACTCTCCTCAAAACAGATGATTGGCTAGAGGGTGCGGCACAAAGGAACTTGTCAGGGTGATGGAGACATTCTGTATCTGGATTGAGCAATGCAAGAACCTGGGTAAAGACACAGTCATGGTAACAGCTGTATACATCTGTTGAAAACTCATCAAACTTATCATATTTAGAAAGGGTACATTTTGCTTCATGTAAAGTATGCCTCAATAAAGTGTACTTGATTTTAAAATCAGGATAAAGGAAAAAAACATTGATCTTGGATAATGGGCAGGGGTTGGGGAGAAGGTCTTAATTATCATCATATCCTTTTAAAAACGTTTTTCAAGTGTGTGATGCTCTGATGACATTCTTAAGACACAGCAAGGCAAAGCAGTATCCCAAATGAGAGAGTGAGCATTCCAATAAATATTTTCTGTAAGACACTGATATGTCTATGACTATTTGCTAAATTTAAAAATCAACTTGGACCATATTTACTCCCTTAAAGTCTAATAGACGACTAATTTCTTCTATGTTCAGAACAAATATGTTGCTACTTTAAGAACAGCATACATAGGTGTGGTCGGCCCTCTGTGTCTAAGGCTTCTGCATCTGTGGATTCAACCAACAATGGACTGAAAATATTCCAAAAATAAAATAAAATTAATGAAACAACAACAAAAATAAAACAAATAAAAAAATGCCAGGTAACAACTACTTACAAAGCATTTACATAGTATTAGGTGTTAGAAGTAATCAAGAGATGATTTAAATCACCATCTATGATTGGCTGATATGCATAGGTTATATGCAAATACTATGCCACTATATATAAAGGACTTGAACATTCGCAAATTTTGGTATCTGCAGGGGATTCTGGAACCAAACCCCATGGATACCAAGAGACAACTATATATAAAATACTGAAAGAGGCATGGAGAGTGATTTTCAGGCCTCTACCTAAAGCCCTGAATATTAGAAATTACTGAATTTCTTCTCAGGAAGGAAATTACGCCATAAACCAGTGTTGCCACACACCCAGAGAACAAGATGACCCGACGCCCCAGCCTGGTCATGCCACATGAGCTGAGCAGTGGGTAGGCCACTGAGCCAGTGATAGAAATCACAAATTACAAAACGTCAGAGTACTTTCTGGAAATAAGCCTTCCTCTCCAGGGAACAACGCATTTGACACTTGACTGGGATACACTACCGGATCCTCCGAGGGTGATGGTTCTCAAGAAGGCAGAAGCAATGGTGACCAATAGACCTCCTTAAAGGCTGAGCCGCTGGGCACCTTCCTACTCCTCTCGACCGTGCTAGGATGACTGCAGCAGAGTCCCCGAGTCCTTTGATGCAAGGGTCTAGGTGAGTTCGAAGGAGAGCCATACTAGGCCAGGCAGAAAGGCCCATGGTGATGGCTGTCCACCCTGGTCAGGGGAATTCTAGGTTCAGGCCATGCGGCAAGGTCACCTTGAGGGACATGCTTTGCTCTAAGCTCAGCTTAAGTGTGTCTGAACCCCCCTCACTTCTTCCAACTGCAGAAGCACATGGAGAAGGGGGAGAAAGGGTTGCCCACCTCCTAAAATGAGGGCAGCGTGGTGAAGAGCCCCATCATGCCCCACCAAGGTCCTGTGTGCAGGGCAGGGCAGTGCCTATCCAGAAGGCCAGACCTCTAACTGCTGCTCTGTAGGACGTCCGGGCCTCACATGCAGGCTCCTATAAGCTGGCTGTCTTGGCAAGAGGGCCCTGGTACAGCACTGTGTTCATCACAGAAAACCACACCGTACATAATTTGTAACAGACAGAAATGCATTTGGCTCATGGTTCTGGAGACTGGGAACCCAGGATGGAGGGGCCACATCTGGCAAGGGCCTTCTTGCCATGACATGGTGGAAGGTATCACAAGGTTGGGGAAGGAGGGGTGGGCGGGGCGGGAAGAGAGAGAGAGAGAACAAGAGAGAGAGAATCCATTCATAAGGGTGGAGCCCTCATGACTAAACACCTCCCATTAGGTCCCACCTCCCAACACTGTTGCTTTGGGGATTAAGTTTCCAGCTGGCTTTTTTCAAACCTTAGCAACCACCAAACAGACAAGCCCTTCGGCCTGTCCTGGAGGGCGTTGAATGGCATGGCCTGGAGCTCAACCAGGAGAACCGTGCTCAGGAGGAAGAGACCAGAAGGATAACTCAAAAAGTTCTGAGAAGTTCCTAAGACCACCTGAAGAGAAGGAGCCTGCTGCCAATGGTGTGGACACCGCAGTGTGCTTGAGGAGACTTCAGAAACGAGAACTGGTAGGAGAAGGGGGTTGCACAGACCCTTTCCTCAGTTAGGCACCCTCTGCTCCCACCCTCATGCCCACCCTGACATCAGGCTAAGGGAGAGGCGCTCATCCATTGACAGGTGCCAGGCTGTCCTGGGCCTGGCAAACCCTGGCCTTGTACACCCACTCTCCACACGTCTGCCCCCACCCTCCCAGGGGCAGGGCCGGGCTTCCCTGCAGAGACACAGGGCAAAGAGGGAGAGAGAAGGCCTCAGGCCAGGGCATGGCCTAGTGCCTCCCAGCGCCAGGTCCTGACAGCCTGAGAGAGCTGGAATCAAGGAAGGTGATCCTGGGCCCCAGACAGACGTCAGTGAGCTTCAGCCTCTGGTGGCTGCACACCAGCCAGGGCAGCAGCGCCCCCTCCTGCCTGTGTTCAGCTGTGTGGGCTGCAAGAGGACTAAGGAGAGTTTCAAGGAGGCAGGCAGTGGGGGAGGAAGTGTCCCAGGTAGAGGCTGAAGCTTTAAGGAGGATGGGAGGGGAGGCTTCACCCGGAAGGAGCTTTTGGAGCAAGGGCCTGAAGGAAATTGGGGAGAGAGCCTGAGTATCTTTGGTAACTGGGAAGAGAGCATTCCAAGCAAAGGGAAAAGAAGAGAGGCTGTCAGACAAGTGTGCACCCACCATGTCTGGGCACATCGAGAAGGACCCTGTGGCTGGAGGGGAGGAAGGAGGGGAGAATGGAAAGTGAGACCAGAGGTGACCTGACCAGGGCCTTCGGAGCCCCGGTGAGGGGCTCAGCGGGTGGGTGTCATGGGTGTGAAGAGGTAGGTCCCTCATCACCAGTCAGCAAAGCGTTCCCTGGGCTCAGCTGAAGTCCTGCTGGAGTGTGTGCCCCCTGGACTGGAGGGGATGGGATTGGTGGGAATAAAGTTGTGAGTTTGGAGTTGTGGTGAGCAGAGCACGAAGTGAGCCCCCAGCACTGCCACTTCCGCGTGAGGGGTGAACTGGCCCTGCACTCTCTCCCCTTGAGTGTGGGCAGGACAACCCTCTCTGCCTACAACGGCTCAGCACTCGTACTACTGTGGGACAGTGCTTCTGTGATTACGTTCCTTTATAGGAAAAATTGATTTTGCAGATGTAGGTAAGATCTGGACTCGTTTGACTTTGAGTTTATCAAGAAGGATGATTGACAGACACAGTGGCTACTTGAGAGTGGAGGGTGGGAGGAGAAAGAGGATCAGAAAAAAATAACTACTGGGTACTAGGTTTAGTACCTGGGTGACGAAATAATCTGTACAACAAACCCCCATGACACAAGTTTACCCCAATAATGAACCTGCACATGTACTCCTGAACCTAAAATAAAAGTTGAAAAAGGGGCCAGGCGTGGTGGCTCACGCCTGTAATCCCAGCACTTTGGGAGAGGCCGAGGCGGGCGGATCACGAGGTCAGGAGATCGAGACCATCCTGGCTAATGTGGTGAAACCCTGTCTCTACTAAAATTACAAAAAATTAGCCAGGCATGGTGGCAGGCACCTGTAGTCCCAGCTACTGGGGAGGCTGAGGCAGGAGAATGTCATGAACCTGGGAGGCGGAGCTTGCAGTGAGCTGAGACTGGGCCACTACACTCCAGCCTGGGTGACAGAGCGAGACTCTGTCTCAAAAACAAAAAAAAAGTTAAAAAAAAAAAAGAAGGAAGATTATCCTGATGGGCCTGACTCAATCAGGTGAACCCTGAGAGGACACTGGAGGGAGCAGTGGTGTCCCCTGCTGGCCTGGAGCTGCCACAAGGTGAGACTGGGGTGCCATGTGGCCAGGACTTGAGGGCAGCCTCTAGGAGCTGAGGATGGCCCCCGGCCAGCAGCCAGCAAGGAAGAGGACACCTCCGTCCTCCAACCACAAGGAAATGGATTCTACCAACACTACATGTGCTCTGGTGAGTTCTGCATTAGTTCAGATGAGACCACAGCTCTGGCTGTCACCTTGATTTCAACCTGGTGAGACCCTGAGCAGAGGCCCCAGCCAACCCGTACCTGCAGTTCTGACCCATGGAAACCGAGATGATGAATTTGGGTTGTTTTGACCCACAGAAACCAAGGTGATGAATTTGTGGTGTTTTTAAACCTCCACAAAGTAGTGTGAGAAAATACACAGTAGTTGTTTTATACCACTACATTTTTAGGTGGTTTGTTATCACACTGGATAATTAAAACACCAATTTAAATCTTTTCTCAGCTAATTTTGTACCATTAGTGAAGCATAAACACTCCAAACTATACTACTGTAGTAAAGAAAACCACCTGCTTCTATGTGTGAGAACACTTGGGTGAACATATCAATAAAAAGGGTGAAGAAGGGACTCTAGCTGTATTGCATTTTGCATCATTTATATTCACTTCTATGACTATTTTTTGTAATACTGTCCAATGACTGTGTCGTCTCTTTTTGCATGCTTTCTATTAAAAAATAATAGTGAAAATTAAAAAACCCCAGTCTGGGCGCGGTGGCTCATGCCTGTAATTCCAGCACTTTGGGAGGCCGAGGAGGGTGGATCACCTGAGGTCAGGAGTTCAAGACCAGCCTGGCCAATGTGGCAAAACCCCGTCTGTACTAAAAATACAAAAATTAGCCGAGTGTGATGGTGTGCGCCTGTAATCCCAGCTACTCCGGAAGCTGAGACAGGAGAATTGCTTGAATCCAGGAGGTGGAGTTTGCAGTGAGCTGAGATGGCGCCATTGCACTCCAGCCTGGGTGACAGAGCAAGACTCAGTCTAAATAAATAAATAAATAAAATAAAATATAAAACCCAGCCAGTGCAGTGGCTCACGCCTATAATCCCAGCACTTTGGAAAGCCGAGGCGGGCAGATTGCTTGAGCCCAGGAGTTGGAGACCAGCCTAGGCAACATGGTGAAACCTTGCCTCTACAGAAAAAAAAAAAAAAAAGCTAGGAGTGGTGGCATGCACCTATAGTCCCAGCTAATCTGGAGGCTGAGGTGGGAGAATTGCTTGAGCCCAGGAGGCAGAGTTTGTGTTGAGCTGAGATTGCACCACTGCACTCCAGCGTGGACCACAGAGCAAGACCCTGTCTCAAAAAAAAAAAGAACCCAACAGCAACAAACCATCTTGATTGTTCTGAAGTCTTTCAAGAGCAATCACCTCATAAATGTTCTTCCAGAAACACCAGCAAGCATGCATGAAACAAAGCAGCTAACCTAGAACTAAGGTAATGTGTTAAGCTCTTTGTGTGCCTCTGAAGAAAGACAGTGTATAATTCCAGGTAGTGGTGTCGTTATGCATGCTACTTGCTCTAGAAAGCATTCTAAAAGCCAGAGTAGAGGTCTTTGAAATGTTTGCAGAAGCATGCCACGGTTGCTAAGTCACTGGGACCCTCTCACCTCTCATATAAACTCCATTCTTATAATGCAGGGGACCGTTTAAAGCAAAGACATTGCAGTAAGCTGAATGTGACCTGCTCAAAAAACAGTCTCTCTTCTCTAGGTCCTTTCCTGTGCAAGGGACATTCTGGGGTACCCCGTCCCTCAGCCATCATTTAATCCCCCAGGAAAGATATTTGAGGCTGACTCGCAGGTTTGTGGTTATTTCTGTTGTCATTAGAGATGTGCTTTACTTCTTTCAGAAAGAAGTTCTGATGAGCTTACGGGACCTAGCCCCTTGTTTGTTTCACATTCATCCTTGTGTGTTATCCAGTTGTCTCTTAGGAACTTCAGAATTGCATATGAGCGTTTTCCCCTCCAAGCTTCCTGGTCTCAATGATGAGCACGCCTGTCCACACAGTGACTCAAGCTATGGCCATAAAAGGTGTCTCCTGTCTCCCTGTACCCGACTTCAGCCACTCTCAAGTCCTGGCCATTCTCTCTTCTATCTTTAGGAAATACTCTCATACTCCACCCCCAGAGCCATTCTCTTAATTCAGCCCCCATCATTTCTCACTTTATTATAAGCAAAGCTTCCCCCATTCCTTCTCTACGCTACTGTCAGAGCGAGCTTTTGAAAGCATCAAGTCTTCAAGCCTATGTCTGATCATCTTCGAAGACCAGTCTCAGCCTCCTAACATGCATCCATGTACCCTGGAAATTCTTTCTCACCTCCCGTGAAGACTGCAGGCATGACAGGGCGTCTGCAGTTCTCTGGGTGTGCCATGCGTCCCCTACCTCTGTGCCTTCACCTTCGATGCTTTCCTCTGACTTTCCAGCTTCAAATCATTCTTCAGGACCCTTCTTGAGCATCGTGTCCTTTGGGAAGCTTTGCCTGACATCTGCTCAATCCCACCAAGCAGAACTACATGTCTCTGCTCCGGGCTCCTGCAAAGCCACTGCATTCCCCAGCACAACTCTCACCAGACTGCAACAGTTGGCTTCCCTGCCCATCTCCCCAGCTAGTTTGCCAATGAGTTCAATGTATTTGTTTCTGATTTCTCAGCACCTAGCAGAATGCTTGGAATGAAATAGTCACTCAATAAATATTTATTAGATGTATTGCTTATAACTCAATTCAATTCCTTCTTCTTTAACTCTTTGTAGCTGCAGATCTCCCCTGGCAGTGCTAAGCCTGGCACTGTTGAGCAACACCAGGTCTGTCCCTTAGGTAATGGAACCTAAGGCAAAGTGGGTGACGCACATGAATATTTCACAGGGGCTCTTTTCTTGGTGGAGACAATGTAATGTGTTCACATATGGAAACTTGGGCCTGGCTTTCCCCACGTGCTGCCAGGATTGTCAGGATAGATTGGTTCTCATCCTCCATGCCCCCTGGCTGTGTTCAAATTGTGAGCTGCCTGATCTATGGGGCCAGTGGGGTTAAGCTGAAGCAAGAAACCACGGAGTGACAAGAAGACATTTCAAAGACGTGATTGGTCTAGAAACCCAGCAATTTTCCAAAAGCTTGTCCCCGTGGGATCTGTAGGGCCCAACTTGAAGAGCTGGGACAGAGGGGACATTCCTGAGTTCCCGGCCTGCAATATGGCTATAGCCACATAATTCTGAATGCACAATAGCACTTCATTCCCAAGGAATTCTCTGTAGGGACTCAAGAACAAAATAATCTCCTAATGTAGAGCATTTAACATACAAGCGCTTTTACAAGTCACCTGACAGTAGATGTCGAAGTAATTTCAAAATAATGTTCTATTTTAAAAATACTGTAGTTAAAAAACTTTTTCCCCCAGAGTCTATATTGCCTTGCTGTGTCATATAAGTTGCAATGACTTGGAGGCAGGACCTTTGCTTGTCCTGGGAGGTGGGATGACTCTAGAAGATGGCCCACGCCAGGTCTTCTTTAGGATCTAGTCTGGCCTCGTTTGAGCTACAGTAATGCATAAGGGTGTTTGTACTCACTTTATCTCCTTTTATTTCAAGCGAGGGGATCAAGTGTAGAAATCTGCGTGGGCCACTCAGGACACATCCACATGGCAACAGGAGGTGAGCAGCTTGTAGGGATTGCGGTGAGGATGAGAGGACATTTGTTTGCAGCCTGTGTCAGCTGGGCCTGCTCAGGTCTCTAAGACCTGGGCTTCAAGCCCCAATCCCACAGCTTTGGGGATGCCCTAAGCCTGGCATGATGCCCATTGATCCCTGCCTCACACTCTCCCTCCAGCCTCTGCCTCTCTTTTGGTCCACGCCTCCCAGGTAACAAAGTGTTGCTCCCTCATTGCTTTCCAAAAAAAAAAAGGTGATCAAGGTGGTCAGGCGTGGTGGCTCGCGCCTGTAATCTCAGTTCTTTGGGAGGCCGAGGCAAGTGGATCACCTGAGGTCAGGAGTTCCAGACCAGCCTGGCCAACATGGTGAAACCCCATCTCTACTAAAAATACAAAAGATTAGTCGGGTGTGGTGTCGGGTGCCTGTAATCCCAGCTACTTGGGAGGCTGAGGCAGAAGAATTGCTTGAACCCAGGAGGCGGAGGTTGCAGTGAGCCGAGATCACGCCATTGCACTCCAGCCTGGGTGACAGAGCAAGACTCTGTCTCAAAATAAATAAATAAATAGGAAAGACAGAAGATCTGTGTTCTTAGTTTTTGTTTAGTTCTTAATGCCTTAACTGAGATATAACTTGCATGTATACAATTCGCCCATTTAATGTGTATGATCAATGGTTTTTGGTCTATTCACAGATATGTGCAACCATCACTTCGGTCAGTTTTAGAACATTTTCATCACCTCCAAACAAAACTCCAAACCCTTTAGCTGTCACCTCCCATCTTCCTGCCCCTGCCCCCACCTCGCAAGCTGAGCCCTAAGTTCCCACTAATCTTCTTTCTGTTTCTATAGATTT
This sequence comes from Homo sapiens, assembly GCF_000001405.40. Classification (NCBI taxonomy): domain Eukaryota; kingdom Metazoa; phylum Chordata; class Mammalia; order Primates; family Hominidae; genus Homo; species Homo sapiens. Next base: position 34,504,846 of record NC_000021.9, on the reverse strand, counting down.
CCCTATTCTGGACTTTCATATGAATGAATCACATAACAGGAGGTCTTTTGTGACTGGCTTCTTTCACTTAGCCTAACATACTTGAGGTTCATCCATGGTATATCAAGTATAAGTACTTCATCCCTTTTCATGACTAATATTCCATTGTCTGGATAGACCACATTGTGTCAGTTCATTCATCAGTTGATGAACATTTGGGTTTTGGCTACTATGAATAATGCTGCTATGCACATTTGTGTCCAAGTGTCCATGTGGACATGTACTTTCATTTCTCTCAGGGTATATATGTAGGAGTGGAATTGCTGAGTCCTGTGATAGCTCTGTGTTTAACATTTGGGGACCTGTTTTCCAAGGCAGCTGTACCGTTTTACATTGCCACCAGCAGCGTAGGAGTGTTCTGATCTCTCCACATCCTCCCAATACTTGTTCTCAGCCTTTTGTATTCTGGCCACCCTGGAGAGTATGAAGTGGTTTCTTATTGGGGTTTGGATTTGCATTTCCCTGATCACTAGAGATGTCAAGGATCTTTTCCTGTACTTATTGGCTATTAGGTTTGGTTTGAGAGGAAGGGTCTCATCCTGTGCAACATCCTACCTTCTCACTCTCCCAACTCCTCTTCCTCAACCTCTACCCTCTGGAATCCCTCAAACACACACCCGAGTCCAAAGTGTTCTCCCTCCACGACGGAGTGGTTGTCCTTTCCTCCGAAGGCCCTGTGCCCATTGATGTGGGGCCTAGGGACTGGGGATCTTTCCCATGTGAGCTCAGCTGACAGAGGCAGGACTTCACACACCAGCTGTTTAGGTGAACATTTCTCCATCTTCTCACATCTGTGTGACCGGACATGGGGGATGGTGCTTACTAGTGGGTAGCTGTGGGCATGTACATGTATTTGAATGTGTGTGCTTACTGGTTTGGGGTGCTACAAATTCACAAGGTGAGGTGCGCCTCCAAAAATTCAGAGGGAAGAAAAGGGTTTGGTGGCATATGTTGAAATTCTGGACCCCCAAACAGCCTACCTTTCATAAGAATCTACTTTGTTTAGAGTAAAACAGGTGGTTTCTAAAAAAGAAGGAAACTTTGAATGATGAGAAACTCACCCATGGCTGATGGCAGCTATAATATTGTGAAATACATATTTGGTCTTCATCCATGTTTCCTGATATACAGTTGAAGTCTCCAGAGTGATGAGTGTCTTTTGTATGCTAATGAGTAATGGGTGGATGAGTCCTCTAGGTAACTTCAGGATGGGAACTGGTCGTCCATAGACCAAGGCATGATTAGAGGGTTAGGACTTACAGCCCCACTTCCAAACTCCAGGGTGGGGAGAGAGGCTGAAAGTTAAGCTGATCACCAATGGCCCATGATGTAGTCAGTCATGCCTATATAATGAAGCTTCCATAAAAACCCAAAAGGGCTGAGTTTTGGGAGCTCTGGACAGCTGAACATGTGGAGCTTCCTGGAGGGTGGTCCCTAGGAGGGCATGGGAGCTTCTCAGCCCTTCCCACATACCTCATCCTGTGCCTCCCTTTCAGCTGGCTGTTTATTTTACCCTTTGTAATGTCCCTTATCATAAGGGATAAACATAAGCAAAGTGTTTCCCTGAATTCTGTGAGCTGCTCTAACAAATTAATTGAACCCAAGGAGGGGGTTGTAGGAACCTCAATTTGTAGCTGGTTGGTCAAAGGCACAGGTCACATCCTAGGGCTTGCAATTGGTGTGCAAGGTTGGGGAGAGTCTTATAGGACTAAGCCCTCACCCTGTGGGATTTGATGACATCTTTGGGTAGTTAGCATCAGAATTGAATTGAATTGCAGGACACCTCATTGGTGTGTGCTGCAGAATTGCTTTACTGATACGTGTGGGAAAAATCCCCATCTATCTGGTGCCAAAAGTGTGGTGCTGAGTGGTGAATGAGAACAAAGAGTAGGGAAAGCACTGTAGGCTTATGCTATCTCTAATAGAAGTCATGGTGAGCTCAGAGACTCTAAAGCCATGCTTAAGGGAAACTGCTGTGACTTAAAAAGAGTGTTGTGACCTCTGATCATGTGTCATTACCAGCCTTGGCTGAATTACAGGCTCAGGCCAGTTGCCTTAGCATGTCTTTGCACTTCACATGTGTCCACAGAGAACAACGGACAGTAAGTCTCCAATGCACTCATGTTGACTGATGGAGGAACAAATAGGTCAAGTCATCAGGTGGAGTCAGGTGAGTGAGTGCAGGTGCTGGAGATAGGCTCTCCTAATCATAGCCCAAGGTGAGCTCCATCCAGGTAGGCACAAGAGGGAATTATTAGGAATGACAAGGGCTCTAACGTAAGTCCACACCCATATAAAGGACAGGACATGTCTTGGGATGAAAAGCCAATCTAGGTTTTGGCTTTTATTCCTGATTGGTGTCAGAAGGTGAGAAACTAAAAAGCTGGGTGAATTTGGCAAATAGGCAAGTCATTTTCAGGCCAGTTCCTTCATCTGTTGGAATCATTCATTCATTTATTCACTCATTCTCTGAACAGTTACTGAGTACCAGCTAGGTGCCTGACACAGTGCTAAATACTAGTTATAGAGATGAATTGAAGTCCTTATAATCCAGTCAGGACTGGATTAGGAACCAAAAGGAAGGAGTAGACTACCCTTCTACCAAAGGGGGCCCAAGAAAAGCTCTATTAGCAAGGTGATGCTAATGTTGATTGTTGACAGATGGAAAGGTCTCTGATACATAGACCAAAAAAGGCAAGGTATTTTAGAGAGCTGGCACAACAGCAAAAGCATGCATGAATGCAGTCCATCTCCTCTGTCCCCAATACCCATGACATCAACATTCCTACACTAAGGTATGGGACTCCCAGGTCCCCACCCACTGGTTGGTGACAACACCAAGTTCAAAGCCCACCTTGGAGTCTAGTGATTCCCCAGGGCATACAGACAATGGTGCACATTGTTACTACAGTCCAGAGTGTAGCTGAGGTGCACCTTGACTGGAGATTAGCAGATGTCATTCTTTAACCTGCAGAAGTCCTGGACATTCAGCTGCAGAGTGAATGGGGGCCTGCTAGGGGTGAGATCATAGTATGGGGCTGGGTTCTTGTGTCTGGGCTTGTTTCTGGGCGCTGGCCTGGGGCCCATGTACTTAGAGCTTTGTTTTGTCTATCAACCCTTACACCCTCAGGTTCTGCTGGTTCTTCTCCCATACGCTAACCAACCACCACCTCTTGGACCCAAAAACTATAAACCTTCTCATCCACCTCTATCCTGCCCTTAGGGTCCTGCAAATCTATTTCTAGGTCCTAAAACCAATAGGGATGATATCATACTCTTTATCAGACAACTGAGCATCTACTTCTAAAATAATAGCAATGCTTGAGATGTGGGCATAAAAGTGTCTTCTCAGACTGATGGGTCACTGTCCCCACTTCCATGCTTGAAACCCCATCTCCATTCTCAATGGAGCCATGAATGTATACCTCAAGTTCTACTAGAAGAGTTGCCTGTCATCTTCTGCCTGAAGCAGACTGCTTCTGTGTTTAAGAAGGTGGAGACCCTTTTTCTATCAGTTTTCCTTTGAGCAGTAACTTACTATAGTGGATAACCTTGACTTACCCGGTCCTACTCTCTGCTGTAAAATGTACATAAGTAGAGTCCCTCAACCCTCTTCATGAGATTTCGGATGGTTCCAATGGTCAGCTCTTTTATGCTGATTGAGAAGTCCAACTTGCATAGCAGTGCAGCTTCATACCTGGCATTATACACACGCTTAATCCCACTTTTGCTGAAGAAAGAGACAGCATTGGCAGGCAGAACAAGTCCTGTAGCTTTGGGACAAAAGTGGCTGAGTCTTGAGTCTTGTCCCCAAAGGTCTTACCTTCCTTATCCACTCCAAAGCAGAAGTTGGCATGCAGTTGAGGCAACTAACCAAATATCGAGAGATAGGAGTTTTTCAGGTGTCCACCAATGGGAAACTGGTTGAAATGAATTTGAGTGAATTATGGTAGAGTCACATAGTGAAGTGCTATGCAGCCATAAGAAAGAAGAATAAAAAATGCCTGCCATTAACCACTATGGAATAATATCCAAGATATATTGTTAGTAGAAAAGGCCAAATACAGACAGTGCATATATGGTGTTATTTTTTGAAAAATAAGATTATATATGTGTGTACATATACATATTTGCTTATTGTAAAGAAACACTGGAAAGATAAGCCAAAAACCAATAAAAATGATTAACCATACAAGTGGGTAGGAATGGTGTAGAGGGATAGGGCTGGAAGAAAGAATTCTCTGTACTTTCAAAAATAGTTTTGACTTTTGAACCATGTAAGTGTTTTACATTATGCAAAACATAAATGAAATAAAAAAGATCAGAGAAAGCAGTCCAAAATTGTACACACAAAGAAATGAGGCCAACTATATATCAAACTGATAACATGGCAAAAAGAATCATTTTAAGAAACTGTCAAACGTGGCACTTGGGCTGCACAGCCTTAGTTGGATACTCTCTGGGAACAGAAAGTGTTACAAATAAGCTTTGCCCTTACTGGATTTATTGTTTGTAACAAAGCTATTATTATCATTTTGAGACTGCTATGTGAATGTTTTTGGATAGAACAAGAAAGTACTGTGTGTATATATATTAATCATATGTATGTGTATATATATGTATGTTATACAAACATGTTTTTAGGAAACATAATTTCCTTTGAAGGGGAAAATAGATACAATTATTAAATAAAATAAAGTTAAATAATAATTCAGTAATGTTAAATTTAAATTATAAATATCGGTGTCTTTGGGAAGCTTGAGCCCAGGAGTTCAAGACCAACCTGGGCAACATTGTGAGACCTTGTCTCTATAAAAAATAAAAATAAATTGCCAGGTTTTAAGAGGAAGATGACAGATAGGAGACAGGGCTACTGTTCAGCTCCCACTTGAATGGACAGACAGAGGAGTATGTGGAGACACAAAGCATGAACTTTTGTTCTAAGAACGACCACAGGAACGTACCAGGAAAACCAAAATAATTCACTGATCCTTTTAAAGAAGTGGCACACCGCTGCAAATTCCACAAGACAGGCAAAAAACTGTGCATTCCCAAAGTGTGAGAGGGAGAAAACCTGCCTCCAAGCACATATCCCCAATGGGGAACCTGAAAATCCAGATTACAGGAGAAGGATTTAACCGTATCTACAGCTGAAATGGATTTAGTACAAAATATTTTCTATAAAAGTAGAAGCAGCAGTGGGAAGAGCCTTGTAGACATTCCCATGCTCCAGCTTTAGCCCGGGGAAGCCATCTCTGACTCTATCTCACAGGGGTCCTTGAGAGAGGCAGCCAGTAGAATTAGCAGGGGCCACAGGGTGAAAGAAGCTTCCAAGTGAGCTTTGTAATAATTTCAACTGGGTGCAAATTCTCTTGAACAGAATCCGGAGGGCAAAAGGGAACTGCTACAGATAGGAGTGCAAAGCTGTGGCCAACAGGATGGGCAGACAGGGAAGGGCAAGGCCCGAAAGCTGTGCTTGCTTTCTCAGCAGGGAAGCTTATAGCCTGGGGCAAGGTCTGAGTCCAGAGCATAAGCTGCCCAGAGATAAACTTGGTGCTGTTAGTGGGATACAGAAGGAGCAAGATCGGCCCCACCAACTGTGTGGGAGCTGGGTGAGGCCTATTGCTTTCCCCTACTTCCCTGGTGACCTATATAATGCAACAGACGCAGCCATAATACCCCTTGGAACATAGCCCCATTGGCCTGAGAACCACATTCTCACCCCCGACAGTGGCTGTGGCAAGCCTTGCTCAAGGAGAGTCTGAGCCCAGACATGCCAAACTCTGCCCCCACATGATGGATATTTCTCTACCTGCCCTGGTAGTTGATCACAAAAGACATAAATTTTGGGGAGCTTTATGGCCCCACCCATCACCTGAGAAACCCAAATACTAATCCTGGCCAAATTCGGGCAAGCTTAGATCCCTCTACTACTACTGCAGCTGGTGTTCTCTTGAAAGCACCATCTCTTGGCTGGAGGCCAAGCAGCTCAGGACATTACAACAACTCATGACGGAATAACCCTGCTTCAAGGAAAGAGAAAACAACAGCTAATTCCACTGCCTGCAACATCCTGGCTAACCAGAGGTCTTGAATCTGTCCATGTGACAACTTCACTGTTAACATAACAAGCATTTGAGAAAGCCGTCACACTAAAGATATCTACAACCAAAGGCTCTCAGAGAGTCTACTTCATTCCCTGGCCACCTCCACGAGAGCAGGTGCTGGTAGCTATGGCTAGGAGACCTGAAAATGGATCACGTCACAGGACTCTTTGCAGACATTCCGCAGCACCAGCCCAGAGCCTGGTAACCCCACTGGGTGGCTAGACCCAGAAGAACAATTACAATTACTGCAGTCTGGCTCCCAGGAAGCCCCATCCCTAGGGGAAGGGGGAGAGCACCACATCAAGGGTCACCTGTGGGACAAAAGAATGTGAACAGCAGCCCTTGAGTTCCAGATCTTTCCATTGAAATATTCTCTTTGGTGAGCTCAAAGCTGACCAAATGAGAAGGAATCTGAAAATTAATTCTGGTAATATGACAAAACAAGGTTCTATAACACCCCTGAAAGATCACACTAGCTTCCCAGCAATGCATCCAAACCCAGAAGAAATCTAAATTGCCAGATAAAGAATTCAGAAGGTTGGTTATTAAGCTACTCAAGGAGATACCAGAAAAAGGTGAAAATGAACTTAAAGAAATTAAAAAGACAATACAGGATATGGATGAAAATTCTCCAGATAAATAGATATCATAAAGAAAAAACAGTCATAATTTCTGGAAATGGAAGACACACTTAGAGAAAGATAAAATGCACTGGAAAGTGTCAACAATAGATTAGAACAAGCAGACGAAAGAACTTCAGAGCTCGAAGGCAAGACTTTTGAATGAACCCAATCAGATAAAAACCAAAAAAAAGAAAAAAAAAGAATTTAAAAAATGAACAAAGCCCCCAAGAAATTTGGGATTATGTTAAACTGCCAAACCTAAGAATAATTGGTGTTCTTGAGTAAAAAGAGAAATCTAAAAGTGTGGAACTTATTTGAGGGAACAATTGAGGAAAACTTCCCTGGCCTTGCTAGAGACCTAGATATCAAACAAGCTCAAAGAATACCTGGGAAATTCATTGCAAATAGATCATCATCTAGGCATGTAGTCATCAGATTATCTAAAGTCAAGATGAAGGAAAGACTCTTAAGAGCTGTGAGGCAAAAGCATCAAGTAACCTATAAAGGAAAACCTATCAGATTAACAGCAGATTTCTCAGCAGAAACCCTATAAGCAAGAAGGAATTGGGGTCTTATCTTTAGCCTCCTCAAACAAAATAATTGTTAACCAAGAATTTTGTATCCAGGAAAATTAAGCTTCATAAATGAAAGAGAGATAAAGTCTTTTTCAGACAAATAAATGCTGAGATAATTTGCCACTCCCAAGCCAGCACCACAAGAAATGCTAAAAGGAGTTCTAAATCTTTAAACGAAACCTCAAAATACACCAAGATAGAACTTCCTTAAAGCATAAATCTCACAGGGCCTATAAAACAATACAAATAGAAAAAACAAACAACAACAACAACAGAAAAGTTATTCAGGCAACAACTAGCACAATGAATAGAACAGTACCTCACATCTCAGCACTAAAGTTGAATGTAAATGGCTTAAATGCTCCACTTAAAAGATACAGAATGGAAGAATAGATAAAAATCCATCAACCAAGTATCTGCCATCTTCAAGAGACTCACCAGACACATAAGGACTCACATAAACTTAAGGTAAAGGAATGGAAACAGATACTCCATGCAAATGGACACCAAAAGCAAGCAGGAGTAGCTATTCTTATATCAGACAAAACAGACTTTAACACAACAACAATTTAAAAAGACAAAGGGGGACATTATATAATGATAAAAGGATTGCTGCAACAGGAAAATATCACAATCCTAAATATATATGCACCCAACACTGGAGCTCTCAAATTTCTAAAACAATTATTACCAGACCTAAGAAATTAGATAGATGGCAACATGATAATAGTGGGGGATTTCAATACTCCACTGACAGCACTAGATGGATCATCAAGACAGGAAGTCAACAAAGAAACAATGAACTTAAACTATACCCTAGAACAAATGGACTTAACAGATATTTACAGAACATTCTACTCAACAACTGCAGAATAAACATTCTTTTCGTCAGCACATGGAATATTCTCCAAGATAGACCATATGATAGGCCACAAAAAACATCTCAATAAATTTAAGAAAACTGAAATTATACCAACTACCCTTTCAGACCGTGTGGAATAAAACTGGAAATGAACTCCAAAAGGAACCCTCAAAACTACACAAATACATGGAAATTAAGTAATCTGCTCCTGAATGACCTTTGGGTCAACCATGAAATCAAGACAGAAATTTAAACAGTATTTGAACTGGGTCAGGTGTGGTGGCTCACTCCTGTAATCCCAGCACTTTGGGAGGCCAAGGCGGGTGGATCACGAGGTCAGGAGATCAAGACCATCCTGGCTAACACGGTGAAACCCTGTCTCTACTAAAAATAGAAAAAATTAGACGGGAGTGGTGGCAGGCGCCTGTAGTCTCAGCTACTCAGGAAGCTGAGGCAGGAGAATGGTGTGAACCTGGGAGGCGGAGCTTGCACTGAGCCGAGATGAGCCACTGCACTCCAGCCTGGGCCACAGAGTGAGACTCCATCTAAAAAAGAAAAAAAAAAGTATTTGAGCTGAACCTCTGGGATACAGAAAAAGCAGTGCTAAGAAAAATTTCATAGCATTAAATGCCTACATGAAAATGTCTGAAAGAGCACAAATAGACAATCTAAGGTCACACCCTCAAGGAACTAGAGAAACAAGAACAAACTAAACTCAAACCCAGCAGAAGAAAAGAAATAACAAAGATCATAGCAGAACTAAATGAAATGTAAACAACAACATTAACAAAAAGATAAGTGAAACAAAAAAGATGATTCTTTGAAAAGATAAACAAAATTGATAGACCATTAGCGAGATTAACCAAGAAAAGGAGAGAGAAGATCCAAATAAGCTCAATTAGAAACAAAACAGAAGCTATTACAACTGACACCACAGAAATACAAAAGATCATGCAAGGCTACTATGAATACCTTTACACACACAAACTAGAAAATGTAGAAGAATGGATAAATTCCTGGAAATATACAACCCTCCTATATTAAATCAGGAATAAACAGAAACTTTGAACAGACCAATAACAAGTAGCAAGATAAAAACAATAATACAAAAATTCCCAACAAAAAAAAAAGTCCAGGACCAGATGGATTCACAGCTAAATTCTATCAGCTATTCAAAGAATTGGTACCAATCTTACTGAAACTATTCCAAAAGATAGAGAAAGAGGGACTCATCCTTAAATCATTCTGTGAAACCAGTATCATCCTAATGCCAAAACTAGGAAAGGACATAACAAAAAGAAAAACTACAGACCAATATCCCTGATGAACATAGGTGCAAAAATCCTCAACAAAATATTAGCTAACCGAATCCAACAGCATATCAAAAAAGATAATACACCATGATCAAGTAGTGTATTAAGATATAAAGATATATCATCATGTATAAAGATAAACACCATGATCAAGTGGGTTTCATACAAGGGATGCAAGGATGGTTTAACATACATGAGTCAATAAATGTGATACATCACATAAACAGAATTAAAAACTAAAATCATGTGATCATCTCAATAGATGCAGGAAAAGCATTTGACAAAATCCAGCATCTTTTTATGATTAAAACCCTCAGCAAAATTGGCATAGAAGGGACACACCTTAAGGTAATAAAAGCCGTCTATGACAAACCCACAGCCAACATTATACTGAATAGGGAAAAGTTGAAATCATTCCCCCTGAGAATTGGAACAAGACAAGGATGCCTACTTTCACCACTTCTATTCAACATAGTACTGGAAGTCCTAGACAGAGCAGTAAGACAAGAAAAAGAAATAAAGGGCATCTAAATCAATAAAGAGGAAGTCAAACTGCTGTTCACCAGTGATATGATTGTATACCTAGAAAACCCTAAAGACTCATCCAGAAAGCTTCTAGATCTGATAAATGAATTCAGTAAAGTTTCGGAATACAAAATCAATGTACACAAATCAGTAACACTGCTATATACCAACAATGACCAAGCTGAGAATCAAATCAAGAACTCAACCCCTTTTACAAAAGCTGCAATAATAATAATAATAAAGTACTTAGGAATATACCTAACCAAGGAGGTGAAAGATCTCTACAAGGAAAACTACAAAACACTGCTGAAAGAAATCTTAGACAACACAAACAAATGAAAACACATCTCATGTTGATGGATGGGTAGAATCAATATTGTGCAAATGACCAGACTGCCAAAAGCAATCTACAAATTCAATGCAATTCCCATCAAAATACCATCATCATTCTTCACAGAACTAGAAAAAAAAATCCTAAAATTCATATGGAACAAAAAAAGAGCCCACATAGCTGAAACAAGACTAAGCAAAAAGAACAAATCTGGAGGTATCATATTACCTGACTTCAAACTATACTATAAGGGTATAGTTACCAAAACAGCATGGTACTTGTATAAAAATAGTCATGTAGACCAGTAGAACAGAATAGAGAACCCAGAAATAAAGCCAAATATTTACAGCCTATGGATCTTCGACAAAGCAAACAAAAACATAAAGTGGGGAAAGGACACCCTGTTCAACAAATGGTGCTGGGATAATTGGCAAGCCACATGTAAAAGAATGAAACTGGATCCTCATCTGTCTCCTTATACAAAAATCAACTCAAGATGGATCAAAGACTTAAAACTAAGACCTGAAACCATAACAATTCTAGAAGATAACATTGGCAAAACTCTTCTAGACATTGGCTTAGGCAAAGTGTTCATGACCAAGAACCCAAAAGCAAATGTAACAAAGACAAAGATAAATATATGGGACCTAATTAAACTAAATAGCTTCTGCACAACAAAAGAAACAATCAGCAGAGTAAACAGACAACCCACAGAGGGGGAGAAAATCTTCATAAACTATTCATCCAACAAAGAACTAATATCCAGAATCTACAAGGAACTCAAATCAGCAACAAAACAAAACAAAACAAAAAATAATACCCTCAAAAAAGTGGGCAAAGGAAATGAATACACAATTCTCAAAAGAAGAAATACAAATGGCCAATAAACATATAAAAAAAGCTTGACATCGCTAATTATCAGGGAAATGCAAATCGAAACCACAATGAGAACCACGTTACTCCTGCAAGAATGGCCATAATTAAAAAATAAAAAAATAACAGATGTTGGCATAGATGTGGTGAAAAGGAACACTTACACTGCTGGTAGGAATGCAAACTACTGCAACCACTATGGAAAACAGTGCGGAAATTCCTTTAAAAACTAAAAGTAGAACTACCATTTGATCCAACAGTTCCACTACTGGGGACCTACTCAGAGGAAAAGAAGTCATTATACAAAAAAGACACTTACACATGCATGTTTATAGCAGCAAAATTCACAATTACAAAAATATGGAACCAGCCTAAATGCCCATCAACCAATGAGTGGACAAAGAAAATGTGGCATATATACACCATGGAATACCACTCAGCCTTAAGAAGGAACAAAATAATGGCATTCACAGCAACAGTAACCTGGATGGAGTTGGAGACCATTATTCAAAGTGAAGTAACTCAAGAATAGAAAACCAAACATTGTATGTTCTCACTTATAAGTGGGAGCTAAGCTATGAGGACGCAAAGGCATAAGAATGATATAATGGACTTTGGGGACTCAGGGGGAAGGGTGGGAGGGGGTTGAGGGAAAAAAAGGCTACACATTGGGTACAGTGTACACTGCTTGGGTGACAGGTTCACCAAAACATCAGAAATCACCACTAAAGAACTTATCCAAGTAACCAAACATGACCAGTTCCCCAAAAACTATTGAAATAAAAAAAAACAAGAAATGTCAGTGTGAATTCATAAGTACACGTATGTATGTGTGTGTCTGTAATTAATTTCAGTCAAAGAGCCTAGAAGTCATAACATTGTAATAGCAATGGGCACACCTCATGCCTTGAACTTGGTATCTAAGTACCATTCCCCAGGAAAGGGAACCAGGGATCCTCATTGAACCGGCTGATTACAAGTCAAAAGCAGGTAAATTACAAGTTGAGCCTAGGACACCTTATTGTACCAGAAAATAAGGAAATCACGGACTAATGGGATCATGTCAAACGAACAGCAGAGGCAGCTTGAAGAGGGTCCCACCGGCCAAATTGAGATTAAGTATCAGAAATAATAATGATGGCAGTTGACATTGAGTTATAAAGAAATCCATGAATTCACAGTGATACTCAAAAAAAAAGAAAAAGGAACAGAGAGAGAAAAGAGAACTCTTCTTTAGGGAAGACTTCCTCCAATAAATGTAGAAAAAAGATATACATTTATTGCAACCCTCAAAGAAGAAATAGATTCAGGGAAGCACCTTCAGTGGATGCCAAACCTTATTGGGTGAAAGGTTGTTGAGGAACAGGATGTCAAAGTATAATTCAACAAATTACAGTATTTACTAATTTTGAGAAGGAAAATGCACGTTTACTATGAAAGATACGGTGACTGTCACCTTCCCTAAATTATCAAAGTGAGCAATGCCAGCAGGGATGGGCTGTCATCATGTGTCCTGATGGGATCCATCTGTTGTATTAGTTAGGGTTCTCTAGAGGGGCAGAACTAATGGAATGAATATATATATATGAGTTTATTAAGTATTAACTCACATAATCACAAGGTCCCACAATAAGCTATCTGCAGGCTGAGGAGCAAGGAGAGCCAGTCTCTGAGAGCAGGGAGATCCAAACTGAAGAACTTGTAGTCCGATGTTTGAGGGCAGGAAGCATCCAGCACGAGACAAAGATGTAGGCTGGGAGGCTGGGACAGTCTCTTTTCACATTTTCTGCCTGCTTATATTCTAGCTGCACTAGCAGCTAATGGTGCCCACCCAGATTAAGAGTGGGTCTGCCTTTCCCACCCTTCTGACTCAGACGTTAATCTCCTTTGGCAACAACCTCACAAACAAACCCAGGATCAATACTTTGTATCCTTCAATCCAATCGGGTTGACACTCAGTATTAACCATCACACCTGTGAAGGATTCTTCTCATGAGCCCAGTTCAGCCTTTAGATCCACATCCAGTTACAGGAAATACAGAGGAGAGAAGGACAAGTCAAGGAGGCCCTGACGAAGCTGTCTGACAAAGCTAGAATGAGGGATGTTCTACAAGACAGTTGAGCCAAACTCCAAAAAGTCATCACAAATTCAAAAAAAAAACAAAACCTAAACTTAAAACCTCTGTAAGGTCATCTGATTGGAAGGACTCACATAAAATTGCAAAGGACGCTGTCTTCTCTTTGCTAGTTGAACCCGCTACTACATGTGCCTCTCCATACTGTTCTAGACCAGCGTTTATCATGTTTCACAGCCTCTCTTGGTCCCAATGATGGAGATCCCCGTTCCTCTCCACTATGTTCATCAACCAATTTGGTGTTCTCTTGAAGGGTAGGAAGGTCTCAACAGAGACTGTTGGCTCTTGTTAGGGGTGCCTTTTTTTTTTTTTTTTTTTTTTTTTTAAGATGGAGTCTCGGACTATTGCCCTGGCTGGAGTGCAGTGGCACAGTCTCGGCTCCCTGCAACCTCCACCTCACAGGTTCAAGCAATTCGCCTGCCTCAGCCTCCGTAGTAGCTGGGATTACAGGCACCCACCACCACTCCCAGCTAATTTTTATGTGTGTGTGTGTGTGTGTGTTTTTAGCAGAGACGGGGTTACACTATGTTGGCCAGGCTGGTCTCGAACTCCTGACCTTGTGATCCACCCACCTCAGCCTCCCAAAGTGCTGGGATTACAGGAGTGAGCCACCGCGCCCAGCCGTTTAGGGGTGCTTTTATATGGGAGAAACAGCCTGGTTGCACATAAATTTAAAACAACTAAGGCAAGCACCCATATGTAATGAGAATCTCCACTCCTTTCTGTCCAAAGGCTGAGTGCACCAGAATACTTCAATCTGAGAAAGAAAAAAAACCTTTATCTGAGGAATGTGAGCCCTTTAAATCATCAGGCCCAGAAAGGCATTTAAAATGTGACCACAATCAGGTCTCACTCTCCCTGGAACTGAATAATGACCTCTTGAAGCCACTTGCTATGTGGGCTGCAGATGAATGCCAAGTTGCAACAATGTATAGCCAATCACTAACCAATGTTATTTCTGTAAACTAATGAAAATTCCTGATGAGCAGCTTTCGTAATTGCTTCTCTCATGATTCTTCCTTTTTTCTTTAAAAACTTGAGGCTCTTCTTTGTCCTCCAGAGCACTCCCCAAGGCAACTTGGAAGTGCATCCATGGCTGCAGCTCTCAACCTTGGCCCAAATAAACTCTCTATATTAATTCTGCCTTTGCTTCTTCCTTTTAGGTTGACATTTCCATCTCTAGAGACTGGATACTCTCCCTCCTGACAGGTGCCTGATGACTCTCTTGTATTTAGAAGTGGCCCTTCCTATCTCTGGCATATTTCCTCCCCAAGGGTGGGGTGTTCCTGGGATGATGTTGAGGTATGCTAGGACTTGCTGCTGTTGCGGAAATTTAAAATAAAATCTGCCAATCTAGAAAACCTGTCCAAAAATATACGAAATGAAAAAAAGTGTTATTATTACATATGCATTAAACCAGATTGCAACACACATCAAAAGCAATCCACTAAAGAAATTGCAAAGACAGAAAAAATGTATCACCCTCTTACATAGCCAGGCAGATAGAATCTATTACATATGTGTTAATTGCACTCATCCAAAGGAAGAAGAAAACTCTCATATGCTACAACTTGTAGCCAGACTCCTAGGCAAAGCTCCCAGAGAGACAGGAGACAGGGCACCATCCATCTTAATGTTCACATTTCAAAGAGATGGCTCCGAGGCCCCCGAGAAGCACATTCCTGGGAAGCCAAAGTGGCAAAGGGCTTGTTTAGCTTTCAGAAAGGTTTATATACCTCCCAAAGAGACAGAGAAAGGATTATAAAGGAAATACTCTAAGAAAAGGGAGGGAGGGACTTCTCTTTGCCTTTTGGCACCAGGGAAAATTCAATTTCTTTTTACTTGTACTTACCCTTATACTGCCTAGGAAATTAAGGAGAAGTTGAGGGTCCACTGAGTGGCAGGGCTGCCAGAGAATGGTTTCCCAGCCCAGTGCTGGAAGAGCTCCTATCTCCCAGGCGAGCTGGACCTCCCTTTCCCTGCCACTGACTCTTCCTCCTCCTGAGCTACTGGCCAGCCCTGGAGCGGCTGTCTCATAAGCTCTTACAAATGAGATGGAGCAGGGACCCCTCTTAGGGGCCTGGTCTCCCCAGCACCAAACAGAGGAATTAAAAAATCTTGAGTTTCTTAAAGGGAAATTCCAGGCACCTAGCTAGCCTGAGAAGTAAATGAACAACTTGATAAGCAAGAGAGTAATAGTAGCTTAAAACAATAATCATGGAAGTGAGAATCATGGGATGTTTGGCTCCCTGTAAAAACTAAAGATAACATCTTTTTTTGTTTGTTTGATTTTGTTTTGTTTTGAGACAGGGTCTCACTCTGTTGCCCAGGCTGGAGTGCAGTGGTGCAATCATGACTCACTGCATCCTTGATCTGAGGGCTCAAGCAATCCTCCCATCTCAGCTCTGTCAGTAGCTGGGACCACAGGCACATGCCACCACAACTTGTTAATTTTTGTATTTTTTTTTTTTTTTGTAGAGGCAGGGTTTCGTCATGTTGCCCACACTGGTCAAACTACTAGGCTCGAGCAATCTGCCTACCACAGTCTCCCAAAGTATTGAGATTACAGTCGTAAGCCACCATGCCCAGCCAAAGATAGCATCTTAAAGATAGCAGCAGGAGACAGACAAATTCCCAGGCAGATTGGGGTGGGTCCCCCATGAAACCCAACCTCCAAGCCAAAGACAGCCTGAAGCCTGAAAACCAGGCTGTCAGTTCTGGATGGAGTCCATGACCAGAATGAGAACTTCTATTTTCATTTGCCTGCTCTTTCCCAATTGGTTCTTTCTGAATAATGCTTTTTAACCAATCAAGTGTTGCCTTTTCCAAGGCTATGGATAGCTGACACCTCCCACATTCTGAGCCCATAAAAACTGGAGAGACTCAGCCACACATTGAGACTACCTACCTTCAGCTCCCCTCTCTGCTGAGAGCTGTTTTGTTGCTCAATAAAGCTCTTCTCTGCCTTGCTCACTCTCCAGTTGTCAGCATAATCTCATTCTTCATGGACATGGGACAAGAACCCAGGACCCACCAAACAGTGGGTGCAAAAGTAGCTGCTGTAACACTGTAGCCCTCCCACCCTCCGCCAGTGCTGGGCATCCGTCCCACGTGATGGGAAATGGCAGCAGGGCCGGGCCTTCCCAGGAGCCACAAGCTAGAGCAGGGCAGCAGGACTGAATGAGCTGTTAACATACCCCCATTTTCTGCACTGTGAGTGGCGGGAAGGAGAAAAGAGCTGCAACCCTTCTGGACATCTAGACCTCAGAGCTTCTGGAGCCAGTGCTGTGACATGATGTAACACCCCCTTTGGGGCTTCACAGGTGCTGGCATCTCCAAGTTTTTGGGTGCCACTGTGTTCCCCTAGTCTGGATGCCAGCACCTGGAGCTGCTCATTCCATTGCAGCAGCTGATGCACCTGACTGTGCACAGTAACTGGACCCTGCAAACTTGCCACTCCACACCTGGCTCACCTGTGGTGGCTGGTAGGGTGAGCTGGGTGCAGCCTGCTGGGCCAACTGGATGGAGCAAGGCCAGAGGCCAGCTCAGAGCTGAGTGAGGCCCAGGCAGGGGTGCAGCCAGCTGCAGAGGTCTCTGGCTGGTGAAGTGGCACCCCAAAAAAGTCCTGTGCCATTAACATATGTCCCAGAGTTGTTTCAGAAACCTGGACCCCCACCAATGGATCCACCAAATGGATCCACTGACACATAGACTTCAGATAAAGAGGAATTGAGGACTGAATTCTGACTGCCATTCTTTGTTCTAAATTTCTCCCTGGGGAGCCTGGAGGAAGTCACACCCATGAGCCAGAGCTGACATTCTTTTCTACTGATCCCACAGTTTTAGACAAAGCTTTGCCTCACCTATGACCTGTGGGCCCACTTCAAGATGTTCCACCTTTCTAGGTTAAACCAATGTATAACCTCCATGATTTCTTATTTTGCCTGTAACCTCTGCCTCCTGCCTTTAAAACCCTTACCTGTGGCCGGGCACAGTGGCTTATGCCTATAATCACAGCACTTTGGGAGGCCGAGGCGGGTGGATTGCCTGAGGTCAGGAGTTTGAGACCATCCTGGCCAACATGGTTAAACCCCGTCTCTACTAAAAATACAAAAATTAGCCGGGTGTGGTGGCAGGCACCTGAAGTCCCAGCTATTCAGGAGGCTGAGGCAGAAGAATCACTTGAACCCAGGAGGTGGAGCTTAAAGTGAGCCAAGATTGTGCCACTGCCCTCCAGCCTTGGCGACAGAGCGAGACTCCGTCTCAAAAAAAACAGAACAAAACAAAAAGCAAAACAAAAAAAATGACGAGTTAATGGGTGCAGCACACCAACATGGCACATGTATACATATGTAACAAACCTGCCCATTGTGCACATGTACCCTAGAACTTAAATAAAAATACATATATATATTAAAAAAAAAAAAACCCTTACCTGCAAGCTATTGTGGAGGTCAGGAGTTAAGTGTTAGATGCCCGATCCTCCTTGCTTGGTATCCAGTTTGGTTTCATAATATAAGTGTGTTGCAGGGGAATCTTTTCCTCTACCCATCTTAGGTTTTCCAACTGAAACCTTATAAGTTAGACTGGCCAAAGACTGATTAACAAGAGAAAAACAAGTCTACTTACAAGTTCGTTGTCTGTGTACACACAGGAACACTAAGAGGTGAGTAACCCAAAGGGGTGGTTAGACTGGGGGTTAAATACCATCTTAGGCTAAAACAAAAAAGAAGGGGTTGGGGCTTCTGTGTAGGGGAGGCAACTTATGAGAAGTTAACCAGGAAAAGGATGGTAAACAAGAGGTGTTTAGTAAGATTTGTTGTGCAGAATTAAGTCTGCCCTTTCTCCTCTGATGAGTAGTTAAGAGTCTTCTTCCTGGGAGAAGGAGACACCTCTACAATCCTTTACAAAAGGAAAACTTAGACTCTGTTTTTAGACCTTTCGTGCATCTGCTGGTTCTCAATAGCCTTCAGCTCAAAATAATTATATGCCAAAGAGGCATATTTGGGGTGGCATATTCTAGTACACTTAGCAAGCAACATCCTAGACTCAGGTTTCCACATTTTCTTTCCCCATCTCCACTGCCATCTCTCCCTCTGAAACCTATCGTATGCACTATGGACCCCAGCCTTGGAAACACAATAGGCCTTCTTATTTTTGACCCTTAAATGCAAAAGACTGACTACCACAAGTGGAGAGTAGGAGAAAGAATTCAAGCCTCAAGGCAAGTTCCTACATCTCTCCTTAGATCTGATGAGATTAGAACACAGCTTACTCTCCGACAGGGGTTCAGGAATCTGCAAATAGTTCAAGGAGTCACCAGGTCCTGGGAAACAAAACTAAAACTCTAGACACCTGGGACCCAGCCCAGACTGACTAAACCAGAGCAGGGCAGTTTTTAAAGCTCCCCAGGATCCTCAAGTGCAGCCAAGGTTGAGAGCCACCAGCCAGAGGAAGAACAGAAGAGGAATTTTTTATGTGTTGTTAAGGAGTCCAGACTGGAAGCCTCTGAAGCTTTGTAGAGGAGAAGAATAGTAAGATTAGTCATTTTGAAAGATCCTCTGGCAGCTGGCCATGTGGAGGGTGCATAGGAAAGGAACAAAGAGAGGAGATGGGTTACGAGATGGTTAGGTTAATGCAGGTGAGAGCCATCTGGGCTTGAGCCAACATAGGGGTTGGAGGAGTAGGAAGATGGGAATAAATCTGAGAAAGGCGAAGGTGGGGATTCAACCTCACCATCAAGCAAGGTTATGCTTTCCACTTTTTTTTTTTTTTGAAAAGGAGTTTTGCTCTTGTTGCCCAAGCTGGAGTGCAGTGGCAAGATCTCGGCTCACTGACCTCAGCCTTCCAGGTTCAAGCAATTCTCCTGCCTCAGCCTCTCAAGTAGCTGGGATTAGAGGCACCTACCACCACATCTGGCTAATGTTTGTATTTTTAGTAGAGACGGGGTTTCACCATGTTGGTCAGGCTGGTCTCGAACTCCTGACCTCATGATCTGCCTGCCTCGGCCTACCAAAGTACTGGGATTACAGGTGTGAGCCACCGTGCCTGGCCACTTTCCACTTTTCTCTGCTCTCCAGTTTCTGCTGTCTTTAAGGCAGTTCCCAGAAGAACTGGAGTTTATGTTCACACCAAGCAGAGCAGCAGTGTCTCCTCATCTTTGAGGGCCAGAGACATCTGCTTGCATCACTCAGCAAAGGCAACTATTAGTGCTAAGTAATTCTAACAGGGCTATGTTAGGGTACAGAGTTTCTTGGCACTTTTTAAAAATAATTTTAATTTTTGTACATAATAGGTGTATATATTTATGGAGAACCTGAGATGTTTTGATGCAAGCATGCAATGTGAAATAAGCACATCATAAGAAAGGGGTATTCACCCCCTCAAGCATTTATCCTTTGTGTCGCAAACAATCCAAGTATACTCTTTTAGTTATTTTAAGTGTACAATTAACTTCTTATTGACTATAGGCACCCTGTTGTGTTCTCAAACAGTAGGTCTTCTTCATTCTTTCTAGTTATTTTTTGCATGCATTAACCATCCCCATCTCTCCCCACCCACCCACCAGCCCCCGAATAGCTTTCCCAGCCTCTGATAACTATCCTTCTACTCTCTATATCCATGTGTTCAATTATTTTGATTTTTAGATCTCACAAATAAGTGAGAACATGCAATGTTTGTCTTTCTGTGCCTGGCTTATTTCACTTAACATGATGTCTTCCATGTCCATCCATGTTGTTGTAAATGACAGGATCTCAGTCTTTTTAAGGGGTGAATAGTACTGCATTGTGTGGATGTATCACATTTTCTTTATCCATTCATCTGTTGATGGACACTTAGGTTGCTTCCAAATCTTAACTATCGTAAACAGTGCTGCAAAAAACATGGAAGTGCAGATATCTCCTCAAGATATTGATTTCCTTTCTTTTGGGTATATGTCCAACAGTGGGATGGCTAGATCATATGATGGGTACTTTTATCTATTCTCAACTTCACAAATGTTTGTCACATAGTTACCTTACTAAGGTAAAAGAAAAGCAAATTTATGATAATTTGATTATTAAACAATTTCTGCTCATGATTAACATTCTTGTAGCTAACTTAAAGTTTCTGGGAAGGAATACTGGAGATTAAACTCAGGGATTGATTTTTTTTTTTTTCCGTTTTTGTCCCTCTTTCCTAACAGTCTTCAAAGGAGAACGACCCATTTCCCAATTTACTTGATAGAAGTCCCTAAACTCG
Source organism: Homo sapiens (assembly GCF_000001405.40). Taxonomy (NCBI): domain Eukaryota; kingdom Metazoa; phylum Chordata; class Mammalia; order Primates; family Hominidae; genus Homo; species Homo sapiens. The sequence continues at coordinate 34,484,221 of NC_000021.9, read as the reverse complement.
GAGCATCGAGTGTGAGGCTTTGGAGCTGCAAGTGCCTGAGCTTGGATTTCAGGTTAATTGTGGTCTCAGATGCTGCCATCTAACCAATCTAAGAATCCCATGTTGGGCTGGAAAATGCGTCTGGAGAGTAGGGGACGGTATTTGCTGCTCAGTTGTTAGGTATGATATGCTGTGCCCCCTAGAGGCATTAAAAGTTTCTCTTCCTAGCTGACCCTGTTAGTTCCTATTTCACCATTGCCTGAAGCCACAGGAAAATGTTTCCTGTGTCTGAGAATTCAGCAACAATGATGGCTACGTCTCTTTTTCACCTGGAAAAGCTTCACCTACTTTGACATCCTCATCTTATCAGACATTTTAGCAGCATTTGCTTCAGTGAACCACCCCTTTCTTGTTGGGACTTTATCTTCCTAAGTTCTGGGATGATGATATTGTCTTAGTTTCCCTCCTCTCTCTAGCTGCTCCTTTCAATCTCCTTTTCGGCTTTTTTCTCCCAAGAGACTAAATATACAAATGGACAATGGCCACATGATATATAAATAGAACTATGACTCACAGCTTGCAGCTACCTGCCAGGAACCCAACCCCTTTATCTACAATAAACAACCGGAAGCCAGCCTGCTATAAGTCAGACTCATAGAAAGCCGGACTGCTATCTCTAGTAACAATTCAGGAAGTTAAATAATAATATCCATAACAGTTGGCCCACAATGACCAGGACTTGATTAATAACTGACAGCTCCCCTAATTTTTGTCTTCACTTTAATTTTAGGACCAACCAGAGAAAACCAAATATGCATCCCTAGCCAATTCCATGGGACACCCTGCCCCTAATTAGCTCACCTAGGGCTTCGCCATGCCAACAGACTCCCATCAGGGTGCACCTGCAGCCTTCCCTTCCTTTCCACTGTGAAAGAAAACAAAATCGCAGGACCCTAAACTCACTATGCCAAAGGGAAAGTTAAGCTTGGGAACTGAGTCATGCAATACTGCCTTTCTTTTGTTCTCAAATAGCTGTAATTTCAAAACCCTGTGTCATAACGTCATACATAAGCCAGGTTCCCACAAAGATAGGAGGCCACATATCTCCCCAGATGGCCTTCTTCACAAATTGCTCACAAGGAAATTCTGTGTGAGCCCTAAATCTTATAGGATACATATCCCCCCTATAAGCTAGCCCCGAAACTGAGTTCTGTTCAATCTCACCCTAACAATGTCAATTACAAGTTTATCTTCACAGGTAAGAGGACAAGGACAAGACCAGAAATCATCCCTTCATCCACCCTGAGATAAATGCATCATTGACTTTTCCCCATACTTCCTCTTTTCACGTGTTTGCTTTATTTTATGTAAAATGCCAATTTACTGAGCGTTAATCAGAACCTCACAATAATGTTACCATTTGCCTCACTGCCCACCCTCCCTCGCTTTTTTCCCTCCTGTCTGTTCTTTGCCTTTTCGACACTGAATTCCCAAAACCCTCTTTGGAAAGCACAGGTCATAGATGTTCCTGTGACTCGAGTTTTTCCCAGGCACATTCTCAGCCTTGGCGAAATAAACCGCTATCAATTGAGACACCTGCCTCTGTCAGTTTTTGGTTAACATCACTGTCAAACTTTCCCACTCTTGCCTTGGAGTCTCTACCAAAATGTAAGTGATGGTGACGACTCCCTTGTTACAGTATACCCTGAATATATAGCTTTTGTTTTCCTTATGTGGTTGGCCTTTATTATTTATGTTCCTGCTCCTCTATGAAACTCTAACCATCCCAGGACTTGATCCTCAGACCTCTCTTCTCTAACTACCCTCCTCCAGGGTGGGGGGGCCCCATTGGGTCCCATGGCATGAAGCAACATCAATATGCTGGTGACATCCAAGTGTATATCTTTCCAGTCTGACTCCTCTTTGAGCTCCAGATTCCACATACCTGGTCACATCTAGACTTGGATTTTTTTTTTTTTTTTTGAAATGAGGTCTTGCTCTGTCACCATGGCTGGAGTGCAGTGGCATAATCATAGCTTGCTACAGCCTCAACCTCCCAGGCTCAAGCCATCCTCCCACCTCAACCTCCCAAGTAGCTGGGACTACAGGCATTTACCATTACAGCCAGCTAATTTTTAAATGTTTTTTTGTAGAGATGAGGTCCCACTATGATGCCCAGGCTGGTCTCAAATTCTTGGACTGATGCGATCCTCTCATCTCAGCCTCCCGAAGTGCTGGAATTACAGGCATGAGCCACCTCACCAGGCCTAGACTTGGATTGTGAAAGGCATCTCAACCATGACACATTCCAAAGGCAAACTTCTTGATTGAACCCGCAACTTTGCTTAGCCAGCCCCATTTCTCCACCATGCTTTCTACCCTAGTTAATGGTGCCAGCCTTCACACAGCTGCTCAAACCGGCCCTGGCTGTTCTTGATTCTTCTTCTGGCCTCTTGGACTCCGCCATGTTATTCAGAGCCATTTGGTGACTTCTGACAGCTCTGCCTCAAAATGCTTCTCAGATCTGTTTCTCTCCTTCTTTCCCCTCTACAGCCAGACTGGTTCAAGCCCCATCACATCTCATGTGGACCATGTGGGTGCTCAGTGCATGCTATGGAGTGAATCAGCAGTGGGGTTGTTTCCTCATTGACCTCCAATATCTGACTGTTCTCAGTGGTTCTAAAGAGTCCTGTCAGCAAATGTAATTTATCTTCAAGGAAACTTTGGGATTACATGTCTTTTTTTTTTTTTTTTTTTTTTTTGAGACGGAGTCTCTCTCTGTCACCCAGGCCGGACTGCGGACTGCAGTGGCGTAATCTCGGCTCACTGCAAGCTCCGCTTCCCGGGTTCACGCCATTCTCCTGCCTCAGCCTCCCAAGTAGCTGGGACTACAGGCACCCGCCACCGCGCCCAGCTAATTTTTTGTATTTTTAGTAGAGACGGGGTTTCACCTTGTTAGCCAGGATGGTCTCGATCTCCTGACCTCATGATCCACCCGCCTCGGCCTCCCAAAGTGTACATGTCTTGAAAGATATGAGATTAACAAGGTGGGGCTGGTGAAATGCAAAGGTCATTAGTCTTCGAGTTAGAACCACTTTTAAAAGAAGCCAACGGCTTCAAAGACTAATGATCTATGGGTTCATTCATCCTCAGCAACACAAAGGATAAGTATTGATGGCAAAATGCTTGTTAATTCTCCTAGGCTGTTATTGCACTATACAATATTAGTTACATGTTCTTATAGAGCACACACTCGTGTGTGTGTATACATATATATGTATTTCAAAACTAGAAGCAGTTATAGAGAAATGTCATGGTTACCCTTGTAGCTGAACCCAACTGTATCACAACTTAACATTTTGCAATATGTTTTTTGGATTTTTAAATATATATACATGCAACAGTATAGGTAGAAGTTGGTCAGGCATGGTGGCTCATGCCTATAATCCCAGCACTTTGGGAGACCAAAGCAGGTGGATCACCTGAGGTCAGGAGTTCGAGACCAGCTTGGCTAACAAGGCAAAACTCCATCTCTACAAAAAATACAGGTGTGGTGGTGTGCGCCTGTAGTCTCAGCTACTCGGGAGGCTGAGGCAGGAGAATCACTTGAATCTGGGAGGCAGAGCTTGCAGTGAGTCGCAATCATGCGACCGCACTCCAGCCTGGGCAATAGAGTGAGACTCTGTCTCAAAAAAAAAAAAAAAAGTGAGTCCCCCTCCTCAATTTCATTTTCTTTCCTCTCTTTGCAGAGATAACTGCTATCATGAATTTGGTATTTATAATCTCAAGTGTGTTTTGATACTTAGGCTAAATTTTGTAAGCCCATAAATAAGAACATAGTTTGTTTTACAGAAGGTACGTATAAAAAAAGTAGTCTATTTTAGTTATTATTTGACAAATTACTTTTTTAACATTCAACATTGCTTTGTTTATTTATTTGTTCATTTATTTATTTTGAGATGGAGTCTTGCTCTGTCACCCAGGCTGAAGTGCAATGGCACGATCTTGGCTCACTGCAATCTGTGCCTCCCGGGTTCAAGCGATTCTCCTGCCTCAGCCTCCTGAGTAGCTGGGATTACAGGCGCCCGCCACCATGCCTGGCTAATTTTTGTATTTTTTTTTTGAGACAGAGTCTTACTCTGTTGCCCAGAGCTGAAGTGCAATGGTGAGATCTTGGCTCACTGCAACCTCTGCCTCTTGGGTTCAAGCAATTCACCTGCCTCAGCCTCCTGAGTAGCTGGGATTACAGGCCCATGCCACCACGCCTGGCTAATTTTTGTATTTTTAGTAGGGACAGGGTTTCACCATGTTGGCCAGGCTGGTCTCAAACTCCTGACCTCGTGCTCTGCCCGCCTCGGCCTCCCAAAGTGCCAGGATTACAGGCATGATAATTTTTGTATTTTTTAATAGAGACGGGGTTTCACCATGTTGGTCAGGCTGGTCTCAAACTCCTGACCTCAGGTGATCCGCCCACCTCGGCCTCCCAAAGTGCTGGGATTACAGGCATGATAATTTTTGTAATTTTTAGTAGAGATGGGGTTTCACCGTGTTGGTCAGGCTGGTCTCAAACTCTTGACCTCAGGTGATCCGCCCACCTCGGCCTCCCAAAGTGATGGGATGACAGGCATGAGCCACTGCACCCGGACATATTTTTAAATTTTTTTAATCAACATTGCTTTTTAGATTGATCCATGTTGATATACACAGTTCTGATTCATTCTTGTTTTTATCATTAAGTTTATTGAATTGTACAGAAAAGTGCACAGATTATGAGTGTCATTTCAATTAATTTTCATAAATTAATACTTATTAATTTAAGGAAACAAAAATATAACCACCAATTGGATTTGAGATCGAATGTTAATAGTACCCCAGAAGCCCCTCATGTGACATCATCCAGTCAACGTCTGTTCCACTTCCCCCAGTGAAACAATTTCCTAAGCTCTCGCGCCATCGCTGCCAGTTTGCAAACTCTTTATGAATGGAGTTGGAGCTTGCAGGCTGTGTCTGGCTTCTTCTGCTCAATTTTATACTCAAGAGACTAATCTTTGCTTTTTTTGTGTAGTAGTGAGCAGTTTGCTTATTTAAATTTTTTAAAATAGATTTTATTTTCTACAGCAGTTTCAGATTTTTAGAAACGTTGAGAAGATGGCACAGAGAGTTTCTTTTTTATTATTATTATACTTTAAGTTCTAGGGTACATGTGCACAATGTGCAGGTTTGTTATATATGTATACATGTGCCATGTTGGTGTGCTGCATCCATTAACTCTTCATTTACATTAGGTGTATCCCCTAATGCTATCCCTCCCCCCATCCCCCCCGCCAACAACAGGCCCTGGTTATGTGATGTTCCCCTTCCTGTGTCCAAGTGTTTTCATTGTTCAATTCTTTCAATATACTTCACATCCAGTTTCCCCTATTATCGATATCTTACATTTGTTACAATGAAACAAATAATGACCTGTTATTAACAAAAGTTCATAATTTTGTTCTTTCAGTCTTTACTTAATGTCTTTTCCTTCTGTTCCAGAATCCCACATTAGATTTAGTTGTCATGTCTCTTTAGGCACCTGCTGTCTGTGGCAGTTTCTCCGACTTTCCTTCTTTAGATGCATTGAGGGTTCTGAGGACTGCTTAGGTATTTTGTAGAATGTCCCACTTTTGGAATTTGCCTGATATTTTTCTCATTAGAAAACTGGGGTTGTAAGTTATTGGAAAGAAAATCACAGAGGTGAAGTGCTATTTTCATCCCGTGATATCAAGCGTACCTACTGTCAGCATGATTTATGAGTGCGGAAGGTAGCCTTGGTCGCCTGCCTGAGTGGCGCTTGTCAGGGTCCTCCACTGTAAATTTACTCTTTTTCTCCCCTTTTCTATATTGTACACTTTGGGAGGAAGTCATTATGTACAGCTCACACTGAAGGAATGGGGAGTTTGATTCCTTCTTCTTGAAGACAGAGTACCTGTGTAAAATATATGGAATTCTTTTGTAAGAGAGATTTGTCTCTGCTTCCTCATTTATTAATATATTTAACCATGTATTTATACCATGCATATTTACTTTATACTGTAGGTTATAATCCAATACTACTTTATTACCGCAAAGTGTTCCAGCTTTGGCCATTGGGAACTCTTTTAGCTGGCATCTGTGCTCCTTTGACAGACCCTGATCAATGTTTTGTTTGGTCCTGTTTTGTTCTTGAGCACCTCCTTACTTTCTGGCACTACCAGATGCTTTAGGCTCATCTTGGATATTTCCTGTCCCAGTCTTAGAAACAGCCACTTCTCCAAAGAATCCTGGTTCGTTTAAATGGAGAATAGTATTAGAAACCAAGATACGGTGCTGTGCACGTTTGCTGTTACTGGGATGTCATTTCTTTCAGGCTGTTTCAGGGACAGAGCAAGAAACACACATGTTTATACTATATCATGTATATATGCATATCTATAAATACTTCTATAGATAACCATCAGCCTCTCTATTGAGCTAAATATGAGTCCACACTGCTCTCTCCAACTCAAATCCATCACTGCATGAATGATTCTTTCTCCTCCTGCTTTTTGATAAACAGCCACTCCAGTGGTGAGAAACCTGGCTTCTACCATCTGCCATCCATTCATGTAATTGTTCCATTCCAGTATAAATACATAGCAATAACAGAATTGTTAACCAGTACCTCTATGGGAAACAATTTTTTCAACTAGAGTACAGTGCTCACATGCAGTTCCCTTTGCCTTTAATCTTATAAGCCTCACTTATTTCCAAAATACTTCAGTATTCTTCTCTTCCCCTCCCCGACCCATCCCTTCAGTGAGAGTGTTTCCTATATTTGTAATACAGTTAGATTCTCTTCTCATGGTCTGCATTCTCTCTTGGGATCCCCCAACCTCTTAAATAATTTTTCAAAATTTGCATTCATTAAGGTTCACCTTTGGTTGCATAGGCAATGCAACGCAATATCTTATATCCACCATTTAAATAATTCTACTGCCCTAAAATTTTACATTACAATAATCTTACTGCCCTAAAAATTACCTGCAGTTCACCTATTCACCCTCTACCCTCCACCTTAACCCTGGAACTCACTGATCACTTTCGAGTCTCTACAGTTTTGCATTTTCCAGACTATTATGTAATTGGAATCATATAATATGTAGCCTTTGCATACTGGCTTCTTTATATATATATATGTATTTTATTACACTTTAAGTTCTAGGGTACATGTGCACAACGTGCAGGTTTGTTACATATGTATACATGTGCCATGTTGGTGTGCTGCACCCATTAACTCGTCATTTACATTAGGTATATCTCCTAATGCTATCCCTCCCCCCCTCCACCCCACAACAGGCCCCGGTGTGTGATGTTCCCCTTCCTGTGTCCAAGTGTTCTCATTGTTCAATTCCCACCTATGAGTGAGAACATGCAGTGTTTGTTTTTCTGTCCTTGCGATAGTTTGCCGAGAATGATGGTTTCCAGCTTCATCCATGACCCTACAAAGGACATGAACTCATCATTTTTATGGTTGCATAGTTTACTGGGTATATACCCAAAGGAATATAAATCATGCTGCTATAAACATACTGGCTTCTTTCACTTAGCAGTATGCATTTAAGATTCCTCCACAACTTTTCATAGCTCAATACTCATTTCTTTTTATTGCAGAATTATATTCCGTATTCCACTATATAGATGTACCACAACTTGTTTATTCATTCAGCTGTTGAACAGAATCTTAGTTGCTTCCAGTTTTTGGCAATTATGAATAAATCTGCTTTAAACATTTACATGCAGATTTTTTTATGCGAACATAAGTTTTCAAATCAATTGGATAAGTATCTAGGAGCACAGCAGATGGATTCTGTACTAAGACTATATTTAGTTCTGTAAGAGGCAGCCAAACTGTCTTTCAAAGTGGCTGCACCATTCTGCATTCCCACCAGCGATGAGCAAGAGTTCCTGTTGCTCTGCCTCTCTGTCATCATTTGGTATTGTCAGGCTTTTGGATTTTAACCATTCTCATAGGTGTGTAGTGGCATCTTGCTATTGTTTTAACTTGGAACTCTCTAATGACAAATTAATTATTTATTCATTTGTTTATTTATTTTAAAGATGAGCTCTCACTATGTTGCCCAGTCTGGAGTGCAGTGGCCGTTCACAGGCACATCATAGCCTACAATAGCTTCAAACTCCTGGTTTCAAGGGGCCCTCCTGCCTCAGCCTTCTGAGGAGCTGGTGCTGCTGTGCCCAGCCGTAAATTATGATGGGCATCTTTCTATCTGCCATTCTATGAATCTTCCTTGGTGATCTGTCTCTTCAGATCTTTAGCCCACTTTAAAATTGCATTACTTGCTTTCTTGTTTTTTTAAGAGTTTCTTGTGTATTTTGGATACAAGTTCCCGTATCACATAGGTGGTTTGCAAATATTTTCTCCCAATCTGTGCCTTGTCTTTTGATTCCCTTAACAGTATTTTTCACAGAACATAGTATTTTAATTTTAATCAAGTATAATTTATAAATTTTTTTCATGAATCATGCTTTTTGGCTTGTATTTTAAAACTCATCACTAAATTCAAGGTTACATTGATTTTCTGCTTTTTTTTTTCTGGAAATCTGAAAATATTGTATTTTACATTGAGATCCATGATCTATTTCAGTTAGTTTTTGTGAAAGGTGTAAGATCTGAGTCTAGATTTGTTTTCTTATACGTGGCTGTCCAATTGTTATGCACCATTTGTTGAAAACACTGCCCTTACTCCATTGAATTGTCTTTGGTTCTTTATCAAAGAGAATTGACTATAGTATATTTGTGAGAGTCCTCTTCTGGCCTGTCTATTCTGTTCCACTGACCTAAGTGTCTATTCTTTCACCAGTACTGTGGTGTCTTCCTTGCTGGAGCTTTATATTAAGTCTTGAAGTCAGTAGTGTCAGCCTTCAACTCTGTTCTTCAATACTGTATTGGCTATTTTATGTCTTTTGCTTTTTTATATAAACTTCAGAATCAGTTTGTTGATATGCACAAAGTAGCTTGCTGGAATTTGGGGAGATTATGTTGAATCTATAGATCAAGTTACAGTGAATTGTCTTTTAAATAACATTGAGTCTTCCAATCCAAGGACATGAAATATCTCTCCATTTGTTTTCATTTGATTTGATTTCTTTCATCAGAGTTTTATAGTTTTCTGCATATAGATCCTGTATATGTTTTTGTAGATTTCTACCTGAGAATTAATGTCTTTCCTTCTTTCTTTGGTACTATTGTAAATGATATTGTGCTTTTAAATTTGTATTTTTAATTGTTCATTGATAGTATATAAGAAAGCCATTGGCTTTCCTGTATCAACCTTGTATTCTGCAACCTTGCTATAATATAATCACTATTATGGACTGAATTTGTCCCTCCACAAATTTCATATGTTGAAACCCTAATCCCCAGTACCCTAGAATGTGACTGCATTTGGAGATGTGGACTTTAAAAAGTGATTAAGTTAAAATAAGGCCTCTAGGGTGGACCCTAATTCAATCTGACTGGTGTCCCTCTAAGAAGATGAGACAAACAGAAAGAGACACCAGGGATTTTCATACACAGAGAAAAGGCCATGTGAGGACACAGCAAAAATGTGGCCATCTGCAAGAGGAGGAGAGAGGCCTCAGGAGAAATCAAACCTGCTGACACCCTGACCTTGAACTTCTAGCCTCCAAAACTATGAGAAAATAAATTTAAGTCATTTAACTCACCCAGTCTGTTGTATTTTGTTATTGGCAGTCTTAGTAAACTAATAAAATCACTTATTAGTTCCAAGAAATTTTAGTTAATTCTTGGGATTTTCTAAATAGACAATCATGTCATTTGTGAAAAAGACAGTTTTATTTTTTCCTTCCCAACTTGTATGTCTTTTATTTCCTTTTCTTGTTTTTTAACACAAGCTAGAACTTCCAGTATAATGTTGAATAGGAGTTGTGAGAGGGACATCTTGGTCTAATTCCTGATCTTAAGGAGAAAACATTCAGTTTCTCACCATCAAGGATGATGTTAGCTGTAGGTTTTTGTAGATGTGCTTTATGAAGTTGAATTCCTAGTTTGCTGAGAGTTTTCATCATGAATGGGTTTGGATTTTGTCATGCTTTTTCTTCATCAATTGATATAATCATATGATTTTTTTCTTCAGCCTGTTGGTGTGGTGGGTTCCATTAACTGACTCTCAAATGTTAAACCAGCCTTCCATACCTGAAATAAATCTCACTCATTTGTGATGTATAATTCTTTTTGTACATTATTGTATTTGATTTGTTAATATTTTGTTGTGAATTTTTGCATCCACATTCATGAGAGATATTAGTCTGTAGTTTCCCTTTATTGTAATGTCTGCTCTTGGTATTAGGATAATGTTAGCCTCATATAATGAATTAGGAAGTGTTTCCTCTGCTTCTATTTTCTGAAAGAGACTACAGAGAATTAATATCACTTATTTTAAAAGTGTTAGATAGAATTTACCAGGGAAACCAGGTTAGCTTGGTGCTTTCTTTTTGGAAGTCTATTAATTATTGATTCAATTTATCTAATAAATATGGGCCTATTCAGATCTATTTTTCCTTGTGTGAGTTTTGGTAGTTTGGGTCTTTCAAAGAATTGGTCCATTTCATCAAAGTTCTTCAAAATTGTGAGCATAATGTTGTTTTCAGTATTTTTAAATGATCATTTTGTTGTTCATGTGATCAGTAGTGATGACTCTCTTTCATATCTAATGTTGGTAATTTGTGTCTCCCGTTTTTTGTTCTTAGCCTGACTAGAAGTTTGTCAATTTTATTGATGTTTTCAAAGAACCAGCTTTTGTCTTTGTCGATTTTCTTCACTTATTTCCTATTTTTAATTAATTTTTCTTATTTCTTTTTTTTTCTATTTGCTTTAGGCTTAAGTTGTTCTTCTTCAGTTTTCCATGCTGAAAGCTGATTGTTAATTTTAGATCTTTCCTCATTTCTAACATATGCATTTAATGCTACAACTTTTCCTCTAAACACTGCTTTTGCTGCATCTCACAAATTTTGACAACACGTATTTTTATTTTCATTTAGTTCAAAATATTTTAAAGTTTACCTTGAGATTTCTTCTTTGACTCATGTGTTATTAGGTATATTGTTCAACCTCCAAGTAGTTGGGGATTTTTCCTGTTATCTTTCTGTCATTGATTTCTAGTTTTCATTCCATTGTGGTCTGAGGGCAGACATAGGATGATTTTGATTCTTCTAAATTTGCCAAGTGTATTTTATGACGCAGAATGTGGTCTATCTTGGTGAGTGTTCCATATGAGCTTGAGAAGAATGTGTATTCTGCTGTTGTTGGATGACGTTTTAGATGAATCAGATCCAGTTGATTGATGGTGCTGCTGAATTCAACTATGTTCGCACTGATTTTTAGCATGCTGTATCTGTCTGTTTCTGTTAAAGTAGTGTTGAATAGTGGATTCATCTATTTCTCCTCAAGTTTTACCAACTCTGTAATGTTTCTGTTTGTTACACTTGTCTATGGACTTATTATTTCTTATGCTTTTTAGATTAATGAAGTATTTTTCTTTGTTTCATATTTCCCCATTATTATTTATACATTCTTTCATTATTTTAGTTAAAACATTAGAGATTACAGAACGCTCCTTGAATTATTAGAGCCTTTATTTTGCCTTCATTTTTAAAGGACATTTTCATTAGGTATAGAATTCTAGGTGGGTAGTTATTTTCTTTCAGCACTTTAAAGATGCCATTTAATTTTCTATAGTATTCAATCTTCCTTTTGAGAAATGAGATACAGTATCTATCTTATTGGTGATTCCTGTATATCTTTTTCCCCTCTGTCTGATTGTAAGATTTTCTCTTTATTTTTTGTTTTCAGCATTTTAATATGATGCACTAAGAAATTCTGATTTTCCTTAAAGTAATTTTTCTTGAAGTTTTAAATACTTCTTTCACCCATGGCTTCATTTTTAAAATCAGTTTTTGGAAAATTCTCAGTCCCTATCTCTTCAAATATCACTTCTGCTCTGTTCACTTTCTTCTGTACTTCTCAGCCTCTAACTGCACTTCTCTTAATCCTTTTCCTTACATCTCTTATACTCTTTTTTTGTATTTTTCATTATTTTTCTCTTGTGTTTCACCCTGAATATTTTTAACTGACTTACATTCTAATTCATAAATAATTTCTTCAGCTGTGTCTAATATGTTAGTAAATCCATCTATTGAACTGATACTTTTTATAGATTCCAGTTTTATGATGAAGCTCTATTCATAAATTGACTTTGGAAGTTCATGTTTTTTTTCTAGAAAAATATATATCTTATTTAAATCTTCAAATTGTGTTCCTTGAGTAGCTTTTCATCTAGTAGCTCTTCTCTCCTTTTTCATTTTCATTTTTGCTAATTTTTGTTTTTAAAATTTTGTTTAATCTACTTTCTTTAGTTTATTTCATATGTCTCCTTTTTTTAGTTAAACTTATTTTCTATCATTTTTCTTTTCAAAAATTCATTTAATGCTGTCAATTTACCTCTAAGAACCACATTAGCTGCATCCCAGAAACTTTCATATATAGTATTTTCTATGGCATTTAGTATTTTATTGTTTCTAAAATGTTTTCTTCTCTAACCAATGGGTTAAGTAGACATGTACTTGGTTTTTGGTTTTCAGATATGTGAAGATTTATTGACCATAAATTTACTGCTGATTTATAACCTAACTGCATTTTGATCATAGAGCCAAGCACGTATGTAAAACTAATATTTAAAATGTTCTTGAGACTTCTTTCATGATCTAGTACATGGCCAAATGGTAAAAAAAGTTCCGTGAACACTTGTTAAAAAAATGCATATTGTTTATTGGTTGGGTGTAGTGCTCTCTCTATATATATATTTAATGAACTTTGTTAATTTCATCACTCAAATATTCTATATGCTTACTATGTTGGGGAGGGCAGATCTACCAGTTGCTGAGAGAAGTGTGTTAAATGGCTCCCTACAACTCAGTTCCCCTTAAGGGAATTGATAAGATAGATAGATATATCAATGTCTTATAAATCTGCCAGGATTGCTTTATATTTGCTGAGTCTGTATAGTTAACTACATACCCATAATTGTAATATTTTCCTAGCAGACTGTTTCCTTTTATTAAATTGGGTGATCTTTGTATACTATTAATCACCTGAATTTTTACTTTGTCTTGTGTTAATATTGCTACCTTAGATTTCTGTGTGTTAGCCTTTGCTTAGTATTTTTTTATTACTTAATTTTCAACTTTTCAATTTGGTTTTACTTCAAATGTATATCTTGTAAGCAGCATATAATTAGATTTTATTTTGTTATTCAATGTAATCATTGTAGTCTTTTGTGTGCTTATTCTATTTAAAGATATTATGATTATTGATGTACCTGCATATATTTTTACCATGTTACATTTTGATTTTTATTTCACAACTTTTTCTCTTAAAGTATTTTTCCCTCCTATTTCTCATTGGTGTGAGAAACCATTCTATTTTCCCTTTTATTTACACAAAAGAATATATTTTGTTGCTTTGCAACTTATAGATTACTTATATCCTTTTTGTAATTATCTATAAAATTTTAGCATACTTAGTAAACTATGAATTTCCTACAAAATTTCTGTTGTTAAATATTTCTGTTTTCTTCCCGATCACATCAAGGACCCAGAAAACTTTCTTTCTGTGGACTTTCACCCATTTAACTCATCTTATTCTTTAAAAAATTCCAAATCTAATTATTATTATTTTGTTAATTTAATGGCTATTAAAATTATTAATATTGTTTATCAGTTTCAGTAATTATTATTTTACCTTTCAAAATTTTTATTTTATTTTTAATTGACTACCATTTAATACTGACTTTCACACATTCCCTTCTGTCCTCTTTTCTTATGGCTGAAGTACAACCGTTAGTATTAATAGGATACATTTTAGCAAATGTGAATTGTTTTCATCTATGAAATTCTGAAAATCTCTTTAGTTTGTACTGAAACAATTGTGCATTTCTATGTAAAAACATAATCCTAATCTTTCCTTTATCTTTTATAAAAAATTCAACTTGAATTGGATCATAAATTACAGGTACATTTGGTTACAAAATGCACAGATCAACCCATCACGTAGGTATTAAGCCCAGCATCCATTAGCTATTCTTCCTGATGCTCTCTCTCCCCCTTCCCTGACAGGCCCCAGTGTGTGTTATTCCCCTCACGTGGCCATGTGTTCTTGTCATTCAGCTCCCACTTATAAATGAGATCATGCAGTGTTTGGTTTTCTGTTCCTGCATTAGTTTGCTGAGGATAACGGCTTCCAGCTCCATCGGTGTCCCTGCAAAGGACATAATCTCTTTCCTTTTTATGGCTGCATAGTATTCCATGGTGTATATGTACCACATTTTCTTTATCCAGTCTAGCATTTAGGTTGATTCCATGTCTTTACTATTATGAATCATGCTGCAATGAACATATGCATGTCTTTAGAATACAATGATTTGTATTCCTATTACACATATAATAGGAATAGCATGTTTTGTATTCCTATTTTATGTATATATAATAGAATGATATATATACCCAGTAAAGGGATTGCTGGGCCAAATGGTATTTCTGCCTCTAGATCTTTGAGAAATCGCCACACTGTCCTCCATAATGGTTGAACTAATTTATATTCCCACCAATAGGGTAAAAGCATTCATTTTTATCTGCAATCTCACCAGCATCTGTTGTTTCTTGACTTTTTAATAATAGCCATTCTGATGGGAGTGAGATGGTAGCTGATGGTGGTTTTCATTTGCATTTCTCTAATGATCGGTGATGTTGAGCTTTTTTTCATTTGTTTGTTGGCTGCATGAATGTCTTCTTTTGAGAAGTGTCTGTTCATGTCGTTTCCCCACTTTTTAATGTTACAAAATGCTCCTTTAGCTCAGTGACGTTCATTATTAGCCACCTTCTGAAGCCTACTTCTGTCATTTCAGCCATCTCAGCCTCAGCCTAGTTCCATGCCCTTGCTGGAAAGGTGTTGCAGTCATTTGGAGGAGAAGAGGCACTCTGGCTTTTTGAGTTTTCAGCGTTTTTGTATTGATTCTGATCTGTGTGGGCTTATCAACCTTTGATTTTCGAGGTTGCTCACCTTTGAATGGGGTTTTCCTGGTTGATGTTGTCGGTGGTGCTTTCTGTTTGTTTGTTTGTTTTTCTTTTATCAGTCAGGTCACTCTTCCGCAGGGCTGCTGTGGTTTGCTCAGGGTCTGCTCCAGACCCTAGTTGCCTTGGTTTTTCCCATACCCGGAGGTATCACCAGTGAAGTCTGCAAAACAGCAAGATGGCAGCCTGCTCATTTTTCTCCATCCCAGGAATGTACTGACATGTTGCCTGCCTGATCGCTCCTGTGGGAGGTCTCTGGAGACCCCTGTTGGGAGGTCTCACCCAGTCAGGAGGAACGGGATCAGGGGCCCACTTAAAGAAGCAGTCTGGCTGCTTTTTGTTAGAGCAGGTGTAGCGGGTGTGCTGCATTGAGGGGACCCTTCCTCCAGACCGCCTGAACTCTCCAGAGCCAGCAGGCTGGAAAGACTGAGTCCACTGAACTGCAGCGACGTCGGCCACCCCTTCTCATGGGGGTCTCCGTCCCAGGAGAGAGCAGAGTATTTTCCATATAACCCTGGCTGGAGCTGCTGAAATTCCCACAGGGAGGCCCCACCCAGTGAGGAGGATTGGATCGGGGTCCCACTTAAAGAAGCAGTCTGGCCACGATCTGGCACAGCACCTGTGCTACACGTTGTGGGAGACTCCTCCTTGTCCAGACTGTCTGGACTCCCCGGAGCTGGCAGGCTAGAATGGCTGAGTCAACTGAACCGCAGAGATGGTGGCTGCCTCTACCCACGAGAGCTCAGTCCATCTCAGGCTGACTCCAGGCTGTCACCACTGGCTGGCAAAAATTACAGTGGGCCTTAACCTGTGAGGTGCTGTGTAAACGGGGCCTGCAAAGCAATGCTGGTTGGCTCCCTGGGTTCAGCCCCCTTCCTGGGGGAATAGATGAATGGATCTCCTGCCTTGCTGGGATTCCTTGGGCTGGAGTATGTAAAATTCCTGGGTCTTTGTGTGTGCCTGAGTGGCCGCTCTGCCACGACTCTGCACAGCTCTGTGTGTCGGACCCAAGGCCCCGGTGGCATGGGCTCATGAAGGGATCTCCCGATCTGCGGGTTGCGAAGATCCATGGGAGAAGCATGGTTTTCCGGGTGGTGTCGCACACTCACTCACCTCTTCCCTTTGCTGGGGTGGGGCTTCCTTTGGCTCCGTGCCGCTCTCGGGTGGACCATTTTCCCAGCCTGCTTTTCTTCATTCTCCATAGGTCTAGTTGTCTGACTAGTCCGAGTGGGGCCGAGAATCTGGATATTTTAGTTGAAGGTGCTGAATTCACTGGCTGTTTTCATTCCTCTCCATGAGAGCCGCGGACTGCAGCAGCAGCTAATCGGCCATCTTGGCCCCTCAACCTTATTTTTCTAAAACCTTGGTCCCTAGGCAGCAGTGAGGCACTGTCTTTCTTTCGGGGCCCCACCCTAGTTCCTGACTTTAAGCAAGTACTTGGTTCCTGTCTGCCATCTTGGGTGGGGCGTCTTGGATTTGCCCAGCAGAGGCCAAACTCCCTGCTGATTTTAGACAAAGAGCCCAGTAGGTCAGAGGCTTCTGGCAGTGTCTCTTCTGCTTCTGTTGAGCCAGACATCTCTTTTTAGCTTTCTATTTTTATACCTACCTGTCATGGCTTTGTGTTCAGAGCTGAGAGATCGATCAAAGCATGAACTCATTGAGCTGTCTTGCCCAGAATGTTCTTCCCTATCTTTCTTATTTTCAATTCACTGCCTTGTTGCAGAGGGATTTAAAGAAGCTGTTTTACTTCATCACGCTGACACTGAGTCAAACAGAGCGGGCATTCTTCTCATCTGAGTGACAAATGAGAAAAACAAGAAATAAAGAGCTAAAAGTACCTCAGCTCAGGTTTAGTGGTTGGAAGGCTAGCTGCAGAGCCTGAGTCCCATGCAGGGGTGCAGACCCCCATCTCAGTTTAGTCTTTGGGCCACTCTTGCTGCCAAGAGAAATGGGACACTGAGCAATCATGGCATTTGTCAGAGATAATTCCCTTGCCTAGTTACCCATTGCTTATGATTCTTTGGGCATCTTGTGACTTCTAGAAGGACAAATCAGAGGAGAAAAGGTCTGATCTTCTTTCGTGGCAACAGATTTTAATTTAGATACTGTCATTCACACTTATTCCTCCTGCTTACCTTCCTAGTCCAAATTTCCAGGCCCCCAACATTCCACTGAATTCAATTAGACTGATGAAATGTTCACTTAGCTCTGTTGTGCTCAGGCACCCCCAGGTGGTAGAAGGTGGTTTACAATTAGTCCAGGAAGTGGGGGATCCCCAAAATCATGGATAGATGAGTCACCAGTTATCCACGTGAGAAATACCTGTGAACCCCTTTTTATGTACTGGGCAACTTTCTGGTCACAGTAGAGAGCTGAAAGGCCAATCATTTGATAGAATTTGTTCCTTGGGAGCTTACAGCATAGAAGAGCTGATGTGGTCATCAACGGCCAATATGTGAGGTGGAAAATGACGTAGAAAATTGAACACCCAAAGAAAGATGGAAGAGGATCTGACTGGGTCAGGAAATCAGCCTGGAAACTTGTCAGATTCCTAGAAAAAGTTGATTCAGGCTGAGCTTTGCTGGGGGCTTCAAGGATGAAAAAAGAGGAATAGTTCTAAGAGCAATGTGGGTCCCAAGGTGGTGGTCAGAGGGGCCACCCTGCTGCTGTTGGAGCCTATACATCTGTCCCAGCAGGCAGAGATCACCTCTGCCAGGAAGTCTTTGGAGATGTGGGTGGGGGATGTGTTGGTGAGAGGAGGGGTGTTAGGCATTTTAGCTCTGCCCTGCATGGTGGGCAATTTTGGACATACATTTGATTAATGCCTTATACCCTGTCTGTATAGAGACTCAGTAAATACTGAATTGAACTGACTAGACACCAAAGGCTTATTGAGAAAAAAATTAAGGAAAGAGGTCTAAGTTCAGATTAGACCATTACTTAGAATAAGAATTCAATTTGAAAATCATGGTTGTCATCAAAATATTTTATACTTAAGCATTTTTTTTTGAAATTTGCTTTTCTAAAGATTTTATTTGAATATGTTTCCTCTCATCCTTCTTTGAGTCATGCTGGATACTCCCTCTGCTATATCCATTTATTCATTTAATGCCCATAGAGGACCATGCCAACCCACATCCATCCAGACTTCCAGGCCTAAGGTTCTGGTTGAAATGACACAGAAACCATGGCAATGGCTATGGACAGTCCTGTTTCTAGAAGGTGACCTTCACACACATTCCCACAAAGGCTGCCTGTGCTTGTTTTAAATTCAGGGTTACCAATATCCTTCCATTTCAGGGACTTCAACCACAAGAGTTCTTCTATGTTATCAGGAATTGGAGGTACACCAAAATAATATCAAATATGCAAGGAACTAAAGAGATGCTAATCTCATTCCTGCATCTCCTGGTTCTCTGGCTGGGTAAAACACCCAGCATATTGTTACCTTTGCGATTAAAAAATCCACAGCATTTAAAAGGATTATACCTATGTCTTCGTAAACTAGGCTGACTGAGGTTTAAAAAAAAAACATAAAGGCAATGTTTATCTTTAAATATCAAACATTGTGCGAGTAGATTTAGTGTTCTTTCCTACCCATGAATAACATTCCAGACTGTAATTAATTTATCCATGTTCCTATCAGCACAACATTATTCTGGGACAAAAAGGGGGTGGAGAGTGACAGAGGGGGTAGGAACACTGTTATTTCTTTTGGAAAAGCTTTCTTAATTGGATTTGTGCTCTTTTCATAACAATTTGAAGGTTGTGGTTATTTGTCAACTTCAAGGGCAGCTGTAATGCCCAAACTGTGGGTCTACAGCCAACTGTGTCTCATCTTCCCTGGGTGACTTGAGGGTGTTGTGAATTAGTGCCAATGACCTCAAGACCTGGGCAGAGGCAACCTAAATGACCACATTAATGGACAGTCTTGCTATCCACCAGTCAGGCAGCATTCAGTGGCATTTTTTGGGCACAGTACACAGTAGACCCATGAAATTGATGCTACACAGTTGAGTTTGTCTAATGGAGAAAACAGTCCTTCCCCTAAATCAGGGGTTCCTAATGTGGCAGCCACGAATTGCCTAGCATATCAGGGGTCTAGAGAGCTCTTGAATTGTAGAACAAATGTTGCACATGTGTGCATTGGGGTAGGTGGGGGCAGGATGGTGGAGGAGAGCCATAAGTTTTTCTCTAATTCCCAAGAAGAATCTGAAAAAAATTAATAACCATTGCTCTAAAATGATAAACAGAACATACATGTCTGACACAGCCAAAAAGCACTTGCAACACAACTAATTAGCAAGGTCAAAGCAATTCAGTGAGGAAAGGAGTTCTCACGTATGCCAAGGGAAGAAACAGCCAGGTAAGGGGCTTTGCGGAAAATAGGTCCTGGAACAGAGTAACAAACCCTACACCTACAGAACCAGGCAAGCCGTTCAGCACAGGAGCCTGCTGAGTGTCCTTGTGGAGGAGAATGTGGAGTAGCGGGGCCTGTGGTAAACTCTGGTTTGCATTTTGTGTAGGAAACAGACAGCATCAGCATCAGTTTCTGCCAGTTGGCTACTCTGCCACAAGTGGGCATGATGTTTCTAGATCCCCTGAATTTTGTTGAAGATGAGAGCTCTCAATTTTTAAATCTTAAAAGTGAATTCAAAATTAAACAAATAGACCCTATGCTTAGAGGCTCAGAGCTGGTCAGGGTGCCCATTGTCATACCTTTGCTGGGGATCTGAGATTTGAAAAAGTCCTGGATCCCGTTCAGTGGCAGGCATCAGCCTGTGCTGTGTAAAGCTGGAAACAGAGGCTAGACCCGTGAAGAAGTGTCTAGAAGGGGGAAAGGTGAGTCATGTACAGTGAATGGAGGCACCTTGGCTGCTGGTCTAGAAGCTCTGTTAGAGGGGCAAGTAGTGGGGAATGAAGTCGGTGAGCTGGAACATCCTGCAGGGCTCCAAACAGGTTGTGGCTGGTTTCTTTTTGGAACCAGAGCAATCCTCTAGGAAGTCTTAGGAGAATGCCAGGAGGCCACACACAGCGCTTGGGAGGGATGCTTCTCATGTATAGCACTTATTCCCAGGCAAAGAGAGTCCTGGGAGGAAACTGACACAGGCTACCTGTGACCAAGCAAATCAGACAGGGAAATGTTGGTCAAAGAAGGAGGACAGAAGAGACTGGGGAGCAACAAATGGCTCTCAGAAGACATGAATGTGTTAAGCCACCCATGTGGGATGGGGATCAACCTGTGGACAGCACCGGCAGGGGCGGGTGTTGACACACCAGATGGTTGGGTGGGGTCTCTTTCAGCATTCTGTTCCCCATCACCTGTCACTGGCGGGGGCAGGATAGGGACTTCAGGACCCCTGGACCCCTTAGACTTTCTCATGGGGGGGAAATAGTATGCTTTTAGCATACAGCAACACTCCGTTTGTGCTCTGCTGCTGCTAAAGAAAGATTGTTTGCCTTTAGGGGTGTGTCTTGCTGAAGATCCAGAAGCCCCAGGGCAATGAGAGTTGTCCCTGAGGATAGTAGAAACCACAGGGTAAAGGAGTGAAAAAGCAACAAAGGGCAGGGCACAATGGCTCACGCCTGTAATCCCAAAACTTTGGGAGGCCAAGGCAGGAGGATCACTGGAGGCCAGAAGTTCAAGACCAGCCTGAGACTCCCATCCCTACAAAAAGACTTTTTAAATTAGCCAAGGCATGGTGGTGTACAACTGTAGTTCCAGCTACTCACGAGGCTGAGCGGGGAGAATGTCTTGAGCCAGGAGTTCGAGGTTGCAATGAGCAATGGTCGCACCACTGCACTCCAGCCTGGGCAGCGGAGTTAGACCTTGTCTAAGAAAAAAAAAGGCAACAAAAGAGGGGCCAAAGGGCAAGGAATGCCCCCAGGCTAACACAGGGGCATCTGGACACCAACTGAAGGGCAGCCAGAGGGAAGAGTGAAGAACTGTCCACATGACCCTTCATCCTAGATGGGTTACACTGCAGATCTGTTCTTTCTGGTAACAGGCTGAGCCTTTCTTCTTCCACTATCCTGTGAGCAGAGTTAGGAACAAAAGCAGGACATTCAACTTTCAAGTTAAGACTTGAGATTTTCCTAAGAAAGGATGAGAAGTGGCTGGAGCTTTGGCTTTGATGTCACATGCAGTGAGGTGGGAGCTCATGGAAAATGAAGATAAACCCACTGAGAGGGGCAGGGAGCCATGCTCGCAACCCATCTAGCAAAAGGACCAAGAAAAAAAGAGGAGGGAAGAAAGAGAAATAGAGACAGAAGTGACCCAAGGACTATATGGGCTATCATTCTGTTATCATCATTATTTCAAGATCAATCATACCTATAAAATGGAGAGAGGCAAGAATGAAAGAGTGAAGAGAGAAGGAAGAAGAAGAAAACAGGAAAAAAAAAAGAGGAAACCATTTCAAGTGCATCAAGGATAACAAAATACACTCTTTCTCATCTGTAATCATGTCTTTTCATTTCAAATAGAAAATAACAACTACAGCATCATCATAATAAAATAATTCATCATATGTGGGATAGAGAGGAAGAGGAGACATAAGAACAGCATCACTTACATAAGCCTTTAGTTTCTGACAGTGCTTCCATTTATACTGTCTTCACCATAACCAGCTGACAGATGGGTAGGCATTGTTCCACACTCTGATGAGAATAATGCTCCCTCCAGCTGATCTGGGCTGCTCCACACATGTTTACCTGGTCTATGAATTGTTACTAAAAGGGTTACACATCAATGTTTGGTGGGACAAACATTTTGCTTCAATCCATTATCCATTTGGAGATGTAGGCAGGAGGATCCTGCATATGTACAGCATGACCTTGAGGAGAAGAATCCAGGGAATTTTCAGATAAAGTTTATGTAATTTTCCTTAAATATTAAAGTACATAGAGTTTGATATGGTTTGGCTGTGTCCCCACCCAAATCTCATCTTGAATTGTAATCCAAATTGTAATCCCCACATGTTGCAGGAGGGACTTTGTGGGAAGTGATTGGATCATGGAGGCGGTTCTTCCATGCTGTTTTCATGATAATGAGTGAGTTCTCACGAGATCTGATGGTTTTATACGGGGCTTTTCCTTCCACTTTGCTCTGCACTTCTCTCTCCTGCTGCCATGTAAAGAAGGACATGTTTGCTTCCCCTTCGGCCATGATTGTAAGTTCCTGAGGCCTCAGCCATGCTGAACTGTGAATCAATTAAGACTTTTTCCTTTATAAATTACCCAGTTTCAGGCAGTTCTTTATAACAGTGTGAGAACAGACTAATACAGAGTTGTTGCAAAACAAAAAAGGAAGGAAAACATGAAGTAGCATAAATAAGATAATAAATCTCCAATAGGCCTACCACTAATAGACAATGTTAACATGGTGGTTGGTGTGCTTCCTTATAGATTTTGGGAATAATGCCTGGCATCTCATATTTACAATTTAAGGCCTTGAGTTTTGTGGGGTTTTTGTTTTGTTTTCTGTTTTTGTATTTTTCACGTAACATGATAATATAAAGATCTCCCCTGTTGGGTTTTTGTTTGTTTGTTTGTTTTGAGTCAGAGCTTCACTCTTGTCGCCCAGGCTGGAGTGCAGTGGCGTGACCTTGGCTCACTGCAACCTCCGCCTCCTGGGTTCAAGTGAATCTCTTGCCTCAGACTCCCAAGTAGCTGGGATTACAGGTGCCCACCACCACGCCCAGCTAAATTTTTGTGTTTTTAGTAGAGACAGGTTTCACCATGTTGGCCAGGCTGGTCTTGAACTCCTAACCTCAGGTGACCCACCCACCTTGGCCTCCCAAAGTGCTGGAATTACAGGTGTAAGCCACTGTGCCCGGCCCCATGTTGTTATAAATTATTTGTAAACATTTTAAGGACTCCACATAATATTCTACTATGTAGAATAATATCATATGTACTACAATTTAATTACCTATATTTTCTATTTTTGGATGTTTAGATTCTAGTTATTGCAAGTAAAAACACAAAGAACTTTTACATGCATAAGGATTTTTCTACAGCTCTGATCCTTTCCATAGAATAAATAGATTTCAGTCTGGGCACGCTGACTCACACCTGTAATCCCAGCACTTTGGGAGGCCGAGGCGGGTGGATCACCTGAAGTCAGGAGTTCGAGACCAGCCTGGCCAACATGGCGAAACTCCGTCTCTACTAAAAATAACAAAAAATCAGCAGGGTATGGTGGCCGGTGCCTGTAATCCCAGCAACTCGGGAGGCTGAGGCAGGAGAATCGCTTGAACCAGGGAGGTGGAGGTTGCAGTGAGCCGAGATCGTGCCATTGCACTCCAGCCGGGGCGACAGGGTGAGACTCCGTCTCAGAAAAAAAAGAAAAAAAAAAAAAGAATAAATAGATTTCACACAGTGCAATTTCATGTCATAGGCTATGAACATTTCAGGACTTTCCAACGTGGCCATGTGGGTTCATTTTGCACCCACACTGTAGGGCAATGCTGGTTCTGCCTGGTGCACAGGACACATCGGTGCACCCCTTGGAGGGCCTCCAATCACCCTCGTCCCCATGAGAACACCGAGGTCGAAGCCCAGGAAGAAGTGACCTGCCAAGGAAGACCATGGAGGCAGTGACCCTAGAGAATGTCTTCTAGTCCTAGGTCAGGAACCTGCCTCTGCGACCCGCCTGCAGAGCAGGAGCCTGGAGCCTGGACGTCATTCCCTAGAAGGTTCATGGGATTGTCTTTTGGGGACTGCCCCTTCTCCTCTTGCCTGCCAAGCTGGTGAGCAACGCTATGAAATTTGCTGGGAAGTCACCTGCATCATTGCATGGTTTGCTCTCTGGACAAGGACGGCTCGGGCTGAAAGGCCCCAAGGACGTTAGGGTGTGCTCGCCAAGGCTCGGGTGCCTCCAGCGACTGTCTGCCGCTCCGGGCCCCCTCCTGTCTGGTCCACAGCTGCACCCCCAGCTCAGGGCTGCACACCCAGTAAGTGGGTGCTTCATAAATGTTTGCCTAATAGGTGTGTGGCCACAGCTGGGGTGCGGGACGAGGCTAGAAAGAGTCGTCGGGAGCGGAGGTTGAGCGGTCTTTGGAGGATTATGTTCAGAGATATTTGAAGGCCCGCACGTCCGAGGGTGGGGTGGTTCCCAGACGGCCTTTCTCCTGGCTGCAGTGGCTTCCCCCCTGGCAACCTCAAACTCCCGCAGGAAGGTAGGTAGATCTGTCCGTTGGTCGGCTTTCTCGATCCTAATGCAAACCTTCTGCCGGCCTTGAGCCTCTCCGACAGGATCTAAAACGCTTCCCTACGCGCGTTGGTGTTGGTCTGGGGTGCAGAGTGTGGAGGACCCGGGGGGGCCGGGGCTGGTCTGGGGTGGTCCCGGGGAACCCTGGGCTGGGCCGTGCGTGTGGGCGGAGTGGGGCGGGACGCCTGGCGGCTCTGGGAGGCCCCGCCCGCCCCCATCCCTGTGCAGCGCTCAGGCCCTTAGAAGGTGCCGCCCCGGGGCGGGGCTGTCTGTGGCCTCAGCGCTCGGCAGGCGCGCACTCAGCTCCACACCCGGCTCTCTCGGCATCTCAGACCCGGGTAAGTTAGGGTCTCCCACCTCCGCGGCCCTCTTCCGGGGCGCAAGTGGCCTAGTCGGGCAACCCCGGGGGGCTCCTGGAACCTGCGTCTCCGGACGCGCAGCGGGCGCGCTTCAGGCTGGAAGCGCCGAGACCCCCAGAGTGGGAGACGGGATAGGATGATCAGCCTCTCCCCTCCTTTCCTTCTGCCATTCTCACTTACTTATACAACAAACGCATAGGAAAGCATCTCACCAACACAGAACAACGAAAACATTCCTCCATTATTAAGTTATAGACATTCTTGTATAGTATTTGGAAAACACTTACATGCAACTTTCAAAAGAAAAGAAAATCAAAACCACTCACGGGACCTGAGTCCCCACTTTTTTTCAAAGACCTTCAGCTTTTTGGGGGGACCAGCTCTTGGGCCTTGGCATCTCCCTGAGGAAAGGGCATGGGACGCGGAGAATATTACTGATATCTGATCTTGATTGTGGTAATGGGAAAAGTGGGAAACTTTAGAAGAAAGTTGACTAAGTAGCAGAGACGTGCGCATGTGCCCAATCTATTGCATAATGCTTTGCCCCCCGGATTTGTCACATTGCTCTATGTGAATTGACAGTTCATTTGAGTCCACATTTAGATTAAGAAGGAGGTTCCAGCTCCATTAAGGAAGGACCTTGTCAATAACCATAGCTGTCATGTATGGTCCAGGTGGTGGGGACTTTGCTGAGTTCACACAGTTGCTTAAATTCAGCCGTGACTCTGATTTCCAATCACCAGGAAAAATCCCTCTGCTTTCTCTGGCCAGTTTCACACAATCATCAGGTGAGCCGAGGATCCATTGGAGGAAGGCATTATCTGTATCCAGAGGAAATAGCCAAGGATATTCAGGTAGGACCTGCTTTTGATAGGTTATTGGAAAATGATTTGTTTTGAAAATAAAGCTCACTTAGAAGACATCAGAGGGACTCATTGCTGTCGTCTTAAATCTCTGAGGGTGAGACAGCTCCTGTGTGGTTTCGCTCTTTCTGGTAGTTGAAAGGAACACTTATTATTCATGCGTTCACGCATGCCTGCCTGCATTCGCTGAATGTTTATTGCACTCCTGCCATATGCCACACACTGTTCTAGTGGCCTGGGATGCAATGAAGAACAACCCATGCAAAGATCCCTGCCCGCAATAGCTTACATTTTGGTGGGAAAGACAAACGTTGAACAATCAACATCACAGTTAAGAAAACTTTATTATATTAGAAGGTGATAAGGACTCTGGGAAAGCGGGAGGAAAAAAAGGTTAAGAGTTTGTGCTCTACTATTAATAGTCACTGACTGCCAAAATTTTTTTTTAGAAATAAGGTGGGTTACACACACACACACGCGCACACACACACACATATATATATAGAGTAAATCTTAATAAACAAAATGAATAACAAAAATATGTTAATAATATAAATATAAATAAATAATATAAAATTTAATATATAAAAACATACTACATTGCAAGAGGTTTTCCTCTGATTACTCAATAATCTATTTCCAGAGCATAGTATACTTTATCAATTATTCACTCACTTTCCCATTGTAGTGGTATTGAATCTAATACTTTGCTTCCCACTTAATTCAGGAAAACCTTATTGAAACATTCTGGGTGCTGGAGTGGGGACAAAGGTGAGCAAGATGGTCTCTGTCCTTTGGGACCTCCTGGGAGAAAATGCCCAGATAAGTCTACAAATGATTAGAAGTTAGAATATGACCAGCACTGTAGGAAAGATATATACAAGGGGTCAAAGAAGGGGAGAGGATTCTGGATCAGGGTCAGACACAGTGTGGATATGAGCTGGCATTTGAAGGGCCAGTAGGATTTTAACAAGGGAATATGGTGGGAATGCCTCACCTACAGCGAGAACAGCAAACATAAAACAAGAGGCCAGGCACGGTGGCTCACGCCTGTAATCCTAGCACTTTGGGAGGCCAAGGCAGGTGGATCGCTTCAGCCCAGGCATGTTGAGCCTGGGCAACATGGTGAAACCCCGTCTCTACTAAAAATACAAAAATTAACCAGGCATAGTGGCATGCACCTGTAAACCCAACTACTTAGGAGGCTGAGGCAGGAGAATCACTTGAACCCAGGAGGCGGAGGAGGTTGTAGTAAGTCAAGATCGCGCCACTGCACTCCAGCCTGAGTGACAGAGCGAGGCTTGGTCTCTAAAATAAAATAAAATAAAGCAAGAGCTAGGAAGGCTGGGGGCTGATTCCATGCTGCACAAAGACCTGGGATATATACTCAGGGTAGATTCCATCATTCTCACTGTTCAGGTGAGGAAACTGAGGCTCCCCAGATTTATGTCATTTGCTGAAGATGAGAGTCCTTCCTTCCCTCCTGATGTGTGACTTCAGCTGTCATTCATTATCCATCCCCAAACGCCCACCCATGTTTTCATATTGAGTTTGATGGAGTCTCCTCACCAGCTCGCTGGCCTGACTCTCTGAGTATTCAGTGTTTATATTTCCATCCTTCACACCCCAGACTCTCTCTCCATCACCCATAGAGAGGTCTGGGAAGCTCCTGGTAAAAGCACCAGACTCAAGCCACACCCCACATCCCCCTGGGAGGTGGCAGGAAACACTTTCCTAATCAGAGAGGACAGTCTGATTCTGGGCCTCTGGACGGTTGCATTCTGATTCCTTGAGCGACCCTGGCCACCTTAGTACCCACTGACTCTGGGGATAGGGGAAGGATAGAAGACCAGACAAAGCCAGCCAAGTGTCGGGAAGCATCTGGTGGCCCTGGGTGGCTTCTTTTCTGCTAGGAGGGAAACATGTTTCCAAAATTTGGACATAGTGTTGTGATAAAGATGAAAACAATAGACAGTTGGTTCCAAGGACAATTGACTCAGAATTCTTGTCTCAATAAGATCATATTCACCAAAATGAGGCTTATCCATCATTGCTTTTACCCTAATTCTGCTTCTTAAACCAAATGAGGCCAAATGATGATGTTAAGACTGGATGCTCTTTCGAAGAAATGCATAAGGAGTCCTGTCGAGCGTGATAAAAAAACCCAGAGTCAACCTAGGGAAGTAAGTTAAGGAGCCCTCTAGTTTATCTAGGATTGACCTGGGGCTGGAACCCAGATTCCTGAGCTCTGACTCCGACATTCCTGTCTCCTCTACTCACCCCTAGAATCTATTCCTTTTAGAAGAAAGCTTGGAGTCAGCCACAAGAACCTTACCCAGTCACTAAAGGCTTAAGAAAGAATGATCAGGAACTGGGGGAATTTGCTAATAATAACAAAAGAATGAGAGGGGTGCACTCAGGGCAGGGGGCTTGAAGAACGGCTCCTCTGTTTACGACACACTCAACAGGGGTGTGAGGTCACAGTGATGAGAGGCCCAAACTTGTGGCCTCCCCGTGAACAAATGCCCTACACATCTCCCCTGCAGGATCAATGGGACAGGGCTCAATATTGGGAGGAAGGCTGTAGTATTTACTTGGCAAGCCTGCTGTCTACAGCCTGCCCAGTTTATGCACGGGTAGGCCACAGTTGGTCTTAGAAATAAAGGCTTTGGAAAATTAAAAAAAAGAAAGAATGAGAGTTTCCCATGCTGGGAAAGCTTCTGTTCTGAAAGCTTCCAGGCTGTTATCAGTGCTGATAGGCGACACAGCCGGAGCACGTGGGAGAAGTCAGAAGAGGTGGTGTGTGCCCAGAGCAGCGAGGCGCCACCCACTGCCCTCTTCTCCCCTGGGTTCAGCTGGGGGCCTTACGGAACTCCAGGGTGCTGGAGGCCCCGTTGGTCTCCATTTGCAGGTGTCTCGCTCAGCGCAGCTGCCCAGAGCCCTGTGTCCTGAGTGATTTCCAGTAGATTAGCAGCTCTGGGTCTAAGCTTTTAAGAAAAAAAAAAAATTGCACTACCCTTCAGTAGGGGCAGCATTCACATCTCACACCCAGGCAGAAGCAGAAACGGCCAGGAATCCACCCCACTTTCTGGGCCTGACAAGGCCACAGTTTGAGAACGTTCAGCACAGGCCAAGCATCAGATGGATTTTGAACATCTCTGGCTCCTACCATTTCTGCCTCCACCATCCCTTTACTCACTGTGCAAGCTACAAAAGCTGAGGGGACAGGAACAAGGATGATTTCTGATGGCATATTTAGGTAAGAAGCCAACCCCCATGTGCATGGATCCAATGCTATCTGATAAAAGTGGCCTATTCCTCAGCTGTTTTGAGCCTGCTTCCTCTGTACAAGGTCCTGGGAATTGCTCTTTTCTATACTAATAATATGTGAGTCAATTGCTAACAGATGACATTTTAGATATATTTTTGGTTGGTTGTTTTTGTTTCTTTTTTTTTTTTTTTAAGTTCCAGGGAACATGTGCAGGATGTGCAGGTTTGTTACAGACATAAATATGTGCCATGATGGTTTGCGGCACCTGTCAACCCATCATCTAGGTGTTAAGCCCAGCGTGCATTAGCTCTTTTCCCTAATGCTCTTCCCCACCCACCTTTCCCCGACAAGCCCCAGTGTGTGTTGTTCCCCTCCCTGTGTCCATGTGTTCTCACTGTTCAGCTCCCACTTATAAGTGAGAATATGCGGTGTTTGGTTTTCTGCTCCTGCGTTAGTTTGCTGAGGATATGTACTTCTGATAGGAGAGATTACTTTTGGCAAGCCATCTCATCTCTAAGGAGCCCCGTTTTCTGAAAATTCAGATTGTTGGATCAGTTGCTCTCCCACTCTGTTTGAGTCCAACTGTCTGAAAGTGCAGCCACGGGGCATGTGGGTGCTTTGGCATCACGTATCATAGAAATGAACCTAGAGAATCTGATATAAAATCCCAAATGACATGCAGATCCAGACTGTCATTTACACCATGCTGACTATTACGGAGACATTGCCAAACTCATTTTGAGACTCGTTACACAAAAATACCATGGCGACCCAGCCTAGCAGGCATTGGGGGTGTGGAGGACATTTAGCAAAAGCAATGCAATAAATTACATGTGAAGTTTTAAAAAAATTCTTTAAAAATATAGGGTTGTCATTTGAAAGGCAGTTAATTAGCTGGACTTAAGCTCTGACAGGAGAATTGTAATTGAAGGCACCAGCGTGTGTGAGACTGGGGACAGCTGAGGTTACACTGAAGACTGGAGAGTTTCTTTCTGCAATTTCTTTTCAGACTGTATCAGAGGCAAACAAGGCCAAAAAAGAAAATGTAAAAAACAAACAAGATTTGAAAAACAGTCAGTGAGATCATATTTCTATATTTTTGCAAAATTCTTCCAGGTACCCTGCAGCACAAAAGGCCATTGGTCATTTTCCTAGGGTCCCACACCACAGCCCAGTGGTTCTCAATCTTGGCTACAAATTAGGATCATTTGGGAGGTTTCTAAAAAGTCTCTGAGTCAGGCAGGAACCCAGACCAAAGACATTAAAATCTCTAGGGGTGAGATCCAGGAACCATTATTTTCTAAAAGCTCCCCCGGTGATTCCAATAGATCACCAAGCAGGGCCTCCAGACCAGCAGTATTAGCACCACGTGGGAATGTGTTAGGAATGCAGATTCCCAGGCCCGCTCCAGTTCTACCAAATCAGAAACTCTGAAAATAGAGCCCAGCAATCTGCATTTTTTTTTGAGACAGAGTCTCGCTGTGTCACCCAGGCAGGAGTGCAATGGCACAATCTTGGCTCACTGCAACCTCCACCTCCTGGGTTCAAGTGATTCTCCTGCCTCAGCCTCCCAAATAGCTGGGAATACAGGTGCCCGCCACCACGCCTGTCTTATTTTTGTATTTTTAGTAGAGACGGGGTTTCAGTATGTTGGCCAGGCTGGTGTCAAACTCCTGACATCAAGTGATCCACCTGCTTTGGCCTCCCAAAGTGCTGGGATTACAGGAGCAATCTGCATTTTAACAAGGTCATTCTAAAGCATTCTAAAGAACAAGGCTGAGGATGGTTTGGGCTTGGGAGGTTTTCAAAGCAGATGTTTTTGGTTGCTTCTTTGGACATAAGAAAGTCCATCTGGATCTAAGTAACAAGCCTTCTCAGTGAACTCACTATTATGAATTAATTGCAGATGTAACTCTTAATTTGCTGTATGGATTTATCAGTTTTAAACCAATTAACTTGTGGATCTTCAAATGTCGCCTGCCATAATTCTACCTTCACATGGTCATGAAGTTGGAAAGACTCTCTAACAGTGATTGGTGGCAGAATTATTTGCCAATTGTGATCATTCTGGGTTTTTGGAAATTACATCATAGTATCAGGTCCAGGTCTGTCTGTTTTCTGGGGCAGGGTTTTATGCATTCATAAGTGGTTTCGGGTCATTTAAAAAGAAATGGTTGAGCGTTGAGTTTGGATCTGTTACCAAACAATTCCTGCCTACCCCGATGGTTAGAATGGGGCTAAATGCTAGTTTTGTACAAGAACAAGGACCTGAATCTCTTGAGCCCAGGCAGCTTAACCCCTGACAGATCTCTGCACAGACTCAAAAGCCTAGAAACCAGGAAAGGCCACAAACAATCTTTGATTCTCATTCATGTCTGATCTCTCCACAACGTAGAGAAGACAGCTGCCATGGTCAGCCACAGGAAAGCCAAGCCTAAACCCCCAAAGCCCCAAATCCTTGGGCAGCAATTTCTTAATGAGGTAGAAAAACCAATAAACTCCTACCCAGGACCACTGAGTGTGCACCTGCCATGTGCCACATGCTGTCAGCCACTCTACACACCTGCTCAGTGATTCAACAGCCCGCAAATGTCAGTGGTGTTTCTCGCTACTTTGGAAAGAAAAAAAAAAAAAACTTGACTGAACAATTCTAAGGAAACTGTCCAGGATCATGTGGCCAGGAAGTAGCAAAGCTAGAATCCAAACCTGTGGCGGCAGTGGAATCCCAAAATCTGAGCTCTTTCTGCTCCTCACTCCTGCCTTCTGAGACTGTGGTTCAGGGTGGGAGATGACTGCCCTTCTGGAAAAGGGAGTCAGTTAGAGCTTCGGAGACAGCTCATTGGCATCTGTTCATTGGAGTAAGCAGGTTATAAAGAGTCAAGCCCCACTGGTCAAAAGGTATTAAGTTCTGGTGGCATCTATTCGATAAACATTCATGGGCAGCTCCTGTGTGGTTGCGTGCCCAGCACCAGGCTGGATGGCAGGGCAGGGATGGGATAAGGGGCCTGGAGATCCTGACCATGATGAGGTTAGCAGGGGTCATGGTGTGCACAGTGCTGATCCAGCCCCATGTATCAGAGCAGGCTTCGGGAAGGAGGTGAGAGCTGGGCTGAATTTTAAGCATGAGTAGGCATTGCTGAGAAGTTTCATGGGCCAAGAAGAAGGCGCAGTCTGAGCTGGAGACGCACAATGTGTAGAGGCTCCGGGGCCAGCAGGGACCATGGAGCATAGGGTCTGGGCACAGTGGCAACAGTGGAATTGGAGAGGGATGCATAGACTCTCAAATTTAGGGCCTGTATCCATGCAGAAGACCAGGAGTTTCACCCTGAAGGCAGGGAGGAGCCAAGGAAGGCCTTCAAGATGGGAACTGCCATGATGAGATTGCAGTCATCAGTGAGAGTGATGCAGATTTTGGAGTGAGTGGTGTTGCCACTCAGCTCAATGAGGCAGGGGCCAGTCTCTGACAGGACAGGGTGGAGTGTTAACTTTAAGGAGCCTGGGGATGGCCAAAGGGAACCATCTCCTTAGCAGGTCACTGGACGCATGGCTCTGGAGCTTAAAGAGAGCCCTGGGTCATGGCCATGCAGGTGAGCCTGGAGCAGGTGCAGTCACCCTGGGAGAGAGGAGAGTAGGAAGAGAAGAGAGCAGGTAACAGAACTCTGAGACACAGCCAGAGTTCAGAGATGGGTAGAGGAAGAGGGGCCTCGGAAAGGTGCCAGATGTCTTCAGCTGGTGCTGGGTTCAGGGTATGTTTTACAATTAAACCAATTCAATGAAGAAATAGCTCTGGGTCTAAGCTGGAGAGGAGCTAGGTTTCTGAGGTTATTTGTCCTACACAAGATGATGTGCAATGTCACAGTCCCCATCCTGGCTGGGAAAGACAGCGCCGTCCCGGCAAGTGTTGGAATTTGTCTTTCCATAGCGATTCTGGCCATAAACTGTCTTCCCAAATACATCCTTCACCTGTAGTTACAACAGTCCCCCCGAGGCCATGTTCTACTCCAGGCCATGTTCTACTCAGCTACTTTAAGCTCCTAAGAAGTGAGCAGGGGACAAGCAGGGTGGCTCATGCCTGTAATCCCAGCAATTTGGGGGGCCGAGGTGGGCGGATCCTGTAAGCCCAGGAGTTCAAGACCAGCCTCGGCAACATAGGGCAACCTCACCTCTGCAAAAAATACGAAAATTAGCCAGTCATGGTGGTGCATACCTATAGTCCCATCTACTCTGGAGGGTAGGGTAGGAGGATCACCTGAGTCCAGGAGGTTGAGGCTGCAGTGAGCCAAGATTGTGCCACTGTACTCCAGCCTGAGTGACAAGAGTGAGACCCTGTCTCAATAAAACAGAAAAAGAAAGAACTGAGTGGGAGCACTTACGTGTGATAAGCTCCCAGTGGCCCCCTCTGGCTTGAGTTTGGAATGTGACATCAACAACTTGGCCTCGGAGCTTTTGTTTCCCAGCAGGAACTGGGGGTAGAGGCTGGCATTTGCTCAAACCTAAATAAATAAATAAATAAATAAATAAAAACAAGACCTGTTTTTTTTCAGCTTACCAATGATCTCAAGGTCACCTAGATGGGGTTTCCACAGCAAACCAAACCCCTGACAGAATCTTACAGCTACTTGGAGACAATTTTTCCAATTCCCAGGCCCACTCTGAGTATACAGGGACAGTGATATCAAGATTAAACGATAGGGAAAATGTCACTTTCTGCATAGCCAGAGAGTAGTGAATGGAAATAAAAGGCAATCCATGTACCATTGCTCAATCAAGAGAGGGCATTGTGTAGACCCAAGACGGCACATACCATGGACTAGGGAGCATGTGAGCTCACCCCTCTCACCTGAGGTTTTAAGATTGTGTACGTGTGTGTGCCTGTGTGTGGGCAGGGAGGGAAAAACATAGCACAAGCTACAACACTGGCCTCTTCGAGGGGAGCTCTCTGTGAAATCTCCCTAGACATTCTGAAGTCCACCACGTGACAGCATAGATTTTTCATTCAGATGAATGTAACTGTTCATAGAGAGATGCTCTGTGGTGAAACAGACCACCAATTGCACGTTGCTTCCAAGGGCAACCAGTCTGACTAGTCTTGCATAAGCTGCCAGGAACTAGTTGTATGAGATGCGTGATTTTTTTTAGGTCCATAGGAGGTCAAGGATGGGGATATTTGTCTCCCCCTTGTTTATGGAGTCAGCAGCCACAGCAGTGTCCATCTCTGGGGGAGAAGGCAGAGAAAAGAAGTGGGTGTTCACCATGGGTTGTATACAAACATTGGAAGCAAGGGAATGCACACACCCAGCACCGCAAGTGAGCCACAAAAGCACAGTCATGAGGAAAAAGAAGGAGACTGAATGAGTTGGATGACCTGATACCATTTAGGTAAACCAAAATGCACACATGCAACCCCATACGCCACAATATGCAGCAATGCATATTAAAGAAGCTCATTCTGATGGTCACCTATAGGGGTGGAGATTGGAGTGGTGGATGGAAATAGAAGGGAATCAATGTATCCATTCATCTATCAAGAGAAGGCATTGCACAGACCCAAGATGGCACATGCCATGGCCTGTGGAGTGTCAGCTCACCCCTCTCACCTGAGATTTTAAAATTGTATACGTGTGTGTGCGTACGTGTGGGTTTTGGCCAATACGTACTTTTTGATTTGGGGTTGCATTTTTCCTTTAAGAGGTGTGCCTGGGAAGTTTGAGCTGCAGCAGTGGAACCTTAATGCCCAGGATGATCCTGTCTAACACCACAGCGGTGACGCCCTTTCTGACCAAGCTGTGGCAGGAGACAGTTCAGCAGGGTGGCAACATGTCGGGCCTGGCCCGCAGGTCCCCCCGCAGCAGTGACGGCAAGCTGGAGGCCCTCTACGTCCTCATGGTACTGGGATTCTTCGGCTTCTTCACCCTGGGCATCATGCTGAGCTACATCCGCTCCAAGAAGCTGGAGCACTCGAACGACCCATTCAACGTCTACATCGAGTCCGATGCCTGGCAAGAGAAGGACAAGGCCTATGTCCAGGCCCGGGTCCTGGAGAGCTACAGGTCGTGCTATGTCGTTGAAAACCATCTGGCCATAGAACAACCCAACACACACCTTCCTGAGACGAAGCCTTCCCCATGAACCCCACCACTGGCTAAAACTGGACACATCCTGCCTGGCAACCTGATTTTCTAATCACATTCCTCTCATACTCTTTATTGTGATGGATACCACTGGATTTCTTTTTGGCTGTTGTAAGGGGTGAGGGGTGGATTAATGACACTGTTTCACTGTTTCTCTAAAATCACGTTCTTTTGTGATAGACTGTCAGTGGTTCCCCCATATCTGTCCCTGCCTTGCTAAATTTAGCAGAATCCCTGAGGACATGGCCTCTGAGAATAGCAGCTGCATTTCCCAGACTCCCTTGCAGCTAGCAAGGTTGTGTGACTAAGCCCTGGCCAGTAGGCATGGAAGTGAAGACTGTAATGTCCAAGTAATCCTTGGAAAGAAAAGAACGTGCCCTTAACTAACTTTGTCCTGCTTCCCAGTGGCTGGATGTGGAGGAGGTGGAGAGCAGTTATGAGACTGGGAAAGAACGGGGCACTCAAAGAGCCACACACATCTGGGCCTGGGCGACGTGGATCCTCCTTACCACCCACCAGGCCAGATTTACAGGAGAGAGAAATCCACTCCACTCTTCCTTAAGCCACTGTTATTCTGATCTCTGTTAAGGTCGCAGAATCAATGCCCTTACTGATACACCTACCTTATAGGACTGAACCTAAAGGCATGACATTTCCATACTTGTCACAAGCACACACTGATTCTGCCCTTGTCACTTCTGTGCTCACTCTTGTGGCTCTATCCTCCTCCTGCCCTTCCGCCTTCCACTCCTCCCTTGCACCCATCCTGCACACATCTCCCTGAAAACACACAGGCACATACACTCATATACATAGACACACATACACACCTCAATCTAGAAAGAACTTGCTTTGTACAGGGCTGAGATGGAGGAGAAAAAAATGCCCCCTTCAGAATGCATACCAAGGGGAAGGTGCTCGGTCACTGTGGGAGCAGGGAAAGGTGCCCCCACTCCCCGAGAGCCAGGGGAAGGAGTGGCTCTGGGCAGAGAGGGACACATAGCACTGGGGTGGCAGGTCCTTTTGAGGTGATGGGCCGGTTTTGTGAGATGAATTGTATCCCCCAAAAAGACAGGTACCTTCAATGTGACCTAATTGGGAAATAGAGTCTTTGCAGATGATCTAGTTGAGATGAGGTCATTGGGGTGGGCCCTCACCCAATATGACTGGAGTCCTTATCGGAAGAGGGAAATTCAGACACAGATGCATAGGGAGGACACCATGCCGTGACAGAGGCAGAGGGTGCAGTGACACAGCCACAAACCAAGGAAGGCCGAGGATGGATGCGCATCCCCATCCCAAGAAGTCGGGAAGAAGCCAGGAAGGCTCCTCTCCCACAGGTTTCAGAGGAAGCACAGCCCTGCTTGAATTCAAACTTTTGGCCTCCAGAACTGTGAGTCAGTACCTGTTGTTGAAGCCACCCAGCTTAGGATACTCTGGCAGCCTACTGCCATACAGTATTGGGATACTATAGTGAGCCCATGCAGCACCTCTCACCCACCCAGAGATGGAGCTGCTCTGCCTTCCAGCGGGGCACCCGGAGGGCTGCCCCAGCAGATAGAGAGGGCCTCCGTTCTGCCACCTGCCTTGAAAGGGTCTCCAGCTGCCATATGTAGCATTGGAGTCCTCTGCAATGCGACATCCTGAAAGCTCAGCTGCCTGGGCATTCCTGAAGAGTATGGAATATTTAAATGAAACATATTTTTTTAAAACCTGCGCATAAGATAAAAGCAGCCCGTGTGCATCTTGGGCCATCCTCAAATGGACAGACTTGGTCTTGTGAGGTTCCAGTCCTTGTTTCACATAATAAACACTGGCATGGCTCAGCCCCTGAGTTACCACAGTCCTTGAGATGAGTGGTTCTTTGGGTTACAAAGTCCTCTGAAAGTCTAGTGAGAGCTGTGATCTTTGCCCCACCCGAATAATGCATATGGACACCACACCTTGCCTGCCGTGTCCAGGATTCATGACCAGTAGCAGCCCAGCTATGCCTGCCACGTCTCACGGCCCCTGTGTAAGCCAGACCCTTCTTAGGCAGTTGCATATTCCCAGACTGAGGCAGGGCAGGTTTGCAGAGAGAGACCCAGAGTGCACGTGACCCGCAGTGTGATCCCTGGCACGCACTGACTTTGATATTCCAGGCACACGGACTGGCTATTTATCACCACTTCTTTTTCCCCACTAAGATTCCTGTGCCTTTTAAGGCAGAGGGAGATCCCTATGGCGTTAGTCTTCCCAGGCCTTAAAGGGCCCTTGTCTTCACTCACAAACCTCTTATCTCTTCTTCTCCTTCCTCTACATTTTAAAGGGGGAGAGGGAAAAGTAACCGGGAGACAAATTGAGCCACATATTTTCAGACACTTGTTACCATATTTTAAAATCTGGCTTCACATACACAGAGTCTTTGCTATGCACCATGTACTGTTCTAAGCTTCTTAAAAATAGAATCTCAATTATTATTTTGCAGGCAATACTCTATGCATTCATTAGCTAGGACAACAATGCATTTGCAGTAGTGAGATTTCGCTAAAAAATTAAAGCCATTTACTATGATCTGTGATGTGTGTTCTTAATATCACTATGATACTTCTAGAAGATGGTTATCAGTTCTTACAATGCTTTGATGAGGCAGCCCCACGGACTTGGGAATAAGGAAAGTAAGATTGCATGTGGATAATTAAACTCTGCCATCAACACACAGCGTGTCAGAACAGAGAGATGTGGGTCCCTCTGATGTCTGCAGATAGAAAGCAAGTGAAGCCCTAGGTGGAGACAATGGCGAACAGTGGCACCTCCTGCCTTGTAAAGGGGAGGCTGCTGTCAACTCCTCGCATTTGCAGCCAGCAGCGAATATGGGCACAGTCTAGACGGAGCAGGGAATGTGGACACCATCTAGACAGAGCAGGGAGTATGGGCACCGTCTGGATGGAGCAGGGAATGTGGGCACTGTCTAGACAGAGCAGGGAATGTGAGCACCGTCCAGACAGAGCAGGGAATGTGGGCACCGTCCGGACGGAGCAGGGAATGTGGGCACTGTCTAGACAGAGGAGGGAATGTGGGCACCGTCCAGATGGAGCAGGGAATGTGGGCACCATCTGGACAGAGCAGGGAATGTGGGCACCGTCCGGACGGAGCAGGGAATGTGGGCACCGTCCGGACGGAGCAGGGAATGTGGGCACCGTCCGGATGGAGCAGGGAATGTGGGCACCGTCCGGACGGAGCAGGGAATGTGGGCACCATCTAGACAGAGCAGGGAATGTGGGCACTGTCTGGACGGAGCAGGGAATGTGGGCACCATCTAGACACAGCAGGGAATGTGGGCACTGTCTGGACGGAGCAGGAAATGTGGGCACCGTCCAGACACAGCAGGGAATGTGGGCACCTTCCGGACGGAGGAGGGAATGTGGGCACTGTCCGGACAGATCAGGGAATGTGGGCACCGTCCAGACAGAGCAGGGAATGTGGGCACCGTCTGGACAGAGCAGGGAATGTGGGCACCATCCAGATGGAGCAGGGAATGTAGGCACTGTCTGGACAGATCAGGGTATGTCGGCACCATCTAGACAGAGCAGGGAATGTGGGCACCATCTAGACAGAGCAGGGAATGCGGGCACCATCGGATGAACTTCTAGGTATTGTTGGAGAAGCTGTGAACTCTTCTAATGTTTGCACATTGGCAACTAATTTACTTTTTAAAACTTGAGTGGGTCAAACGAAATATAACCCTGAGCTGGATTCTTCCCAGAGACCACTGATTAACTGCCTGTGCTTTACAGAAAAAGAATAGCTCCCAGGCAGGCCCATGCCACACCTGACAGAAGCATAAACAGACTCAGGGCTAGGGTGTGGTGGCTCACGCCTGTAATCCCAACACTTTGGGAGGCCTAGGCGGGTGGATCACCTGAGGTCAGGAGTTTGAGACCAGCCTGGCCAACATGGCGAAACCCCATTTCTACTAAAAGTACAAAAATTAGCTGGGTGTGGTGGTGGGTGCCTGTAATCCCAGCCACTTGGGAGCCTGAAGTGGGAGAATCGCTTGAACCCGGGAGGTGGAGGTTGCAGTGAGCCAAGAGTGTGCCACTGCACTCCAGCCTGGGCAACAGAGCAAGACTCCATTTCAAAAAAAAATAGAAAGAAGGAAAAAGAAAAAGAAAGAAAAGAAAGAAAGAAGAAAGAAGAAAGGAAGGAAGGAAGGAAGGAAAAGAGGAAAAGAAAGAAAAAAGAAAAGAAGAGAAGAGAAGAGAAAAGAAAAGAAAAGGAAAGAAAAGAGGAACTCTGCCCAGCCATGTTGGCAGGAACAGGCATGTCCTCGAGTGTGGTCCTGGGGCCAAGGGACCCAGAGGTCCCAGCCTCATGATGAAAGGCTGCATCAGGCTGTCCTCACCTGACACTGTGAGAACATCCCATTAATCTGATCCTCTCATTTAGATTCTGGATTCCATAATCTTTGCATCTCCAGGCCAGGCTGTGTGAGCACAGAATAATACATGTGGCTGTCTTGAGAGCGTGCCCTATCTAAAATCCACATCAGTGTATGACTTCTCTATGGGCGCAAATGAGATGTAAACACTAGATCAGGTGAGGAGAGATAAGTAAAGGATACCAGTGCTTGAAGACAAAAGAAATGGACATAAAGCTATGAATGGGTAGATAGGGGCTGGTACTTTTTTTTTTTTTTTTTGAGATAGGGTCTGGCTCTCTCACCCAGGCTGGAGTACAGTGGTGCAATCATAGCTCACTGCAGCCTCGCCCTCCCAGACTCAAGCCAGACTCCCACCCTCCCAGACTCAAGCTATCCTCCCACCTTGGCCTCCTGAGTAGCTGGGACTATAGACTCAAACCACCATGCCCAGGTAATTTTTTCTGGGGTCGGGATGGAGGGCTGAGTTTCACTCTGTTGCCCAGGCTGGAGTGCAGTGGTGTAATCTCGGCTCGCTGCAACCTCTGCCTCCCAGATTCAACCAATTCTGCTGTCTCAGCCTCCCGAGTAGCTGGGATTACAGGTGCCCACCGCCACACCCAGCTAATTTTTGTATTTTTAGTAGAAACGGGGTTTCACCATGCTGACCAGGCTGGTCTCGAACTCCTGTCCTCAGGTGATCCACCTGCCTTGGCCTCCCAAAGTTCTGGGATGACAGGCCTGAGCCACCATGAGTGGCGCCCAGCTAATTTTTAAATTTTTTGTAGAGATGGGGTCTCACTATGTTGCCCAGGCTGGTCTCCAATGTCTGGGCTCCAACGATCCTCTCACCTTGGCATCCCAAAGTGCTGGGGTTACAGGCATGAGCCACTGCACCCAGCTTCTGGTAAAGTCTTTGAGTAAACAGAATAATTGCATAAATAAAACAAATCTTAATACAAAAAATGAGTCAGGAGATTTAAAGCAATTGGCTCCTCAAGCACATTGGTCTGTCTATTTACCTGAGGTCAGTAAAGCAGTAGCCAAGTTATCACAGATATTCCCCCAAAATACTGGAATTTGTTGATCTGCAGGTGCAGTGGAAGGCAGTCTGGGTGCTGCTGCCCCCTGGTGGTCACTTTGAGGATATTGCTCAATGCACAGGGAACCCTGAGGACCGGGCAGCCAGGCAGGTGCCTGCTGGGGCTGGGTAAGGGGCTCTGAGTGCCTTTAGATGCCCCTGGGAGGCTACACTTCTATTCAGCCATCAAGTTCAGGGAGACGGGGCCCATCGTGGGCACGACTATGAAATGGGAGGATGGATGCTGAGAAAGAGAAGCATTCTTCTAGAAGTTCCTTGCAAGGTAGCTCCTCTGAACAAAGGCCCTGGAGTCACAGCTCTAAATCCCTGAGAAGTTGCTAGGACCCCCTTCTCACTTCCTTTGGGCAGGAACCTGTTTAGCTCCCTCCCCTATCCCAGGAATATTCAGCACCTGGAAAATAATCTCTCCCCCAGACCTAAGTCCCTTTTGGTTTCAGGCCTGTGATCACTCATGCTATGCATGGAGAAGAGATTCCACCTCCTAGGTATCCCTAGACTCAGATCTTTTTATCACCTTCTATTCACCCCATTCGTGAGGGAAGGAGTCCCACTCTAGGGCTGGACACACAACACCCAACACTGGATAGGTGAGACCCACGGCAATTTTCTAGTCACATATACTCGTAGCCCAGGGGAAGGGCCACTGCAGGCTATGCAGGGCCACATGAGGTGGTGCTCAAGAGCAGAGTGAACAGCAGGGTTGTTGGACAGCAGGTTTGGTAGTAACAAGAGTGATATGGTTTGGCCGTGACCCCTTCCACATCTCATCTTGAATTGTAATTCCCATAATCCCCACATGTCGTGGGAGGGACCCAGTGGGAGGTGATTGAATCATGTGGGGGTTACCTCCATGCTGTTCTCATGACAGTGAGTGAATTCTCATGAGATCTGATGGATTTATAAGGGA
Organism: Homo sapiens; assembly: GCF_000001405.40. Classification (NCBI taxonomy): domain Eukaryota; kingdom Metazoa; phylum Chordata; class Mammalia; order Primates; family Hominidae; genus Homo; species Homo sapiens. The sequence goes on along the minus strand of NC_000021.9, from coordinate 34,442,834 downwards.
CTTTTCCCCCTTTTGCTCAGCACTTCTCCTTCCTGCTGCCACGTGAAGGAGGACATGTTTGCCTCCCCTTCTACCATGATTGTAGGTTTTCTGAGGCCTCCCAAGCCATGTGGAACTGTGAGTCAATTAAACTTCTTTTCTTTATAAATTACCCAGTCTTGGGTATCTTTATTAGCTGCCTGAGAACAGGCTAATACAGAGGGTGGAGTGGCCCCTGGTTTCTTCATGAGGTTGTTAAATAATTCCGCAGACTGGCAGGGAACTGAAGCCTGCTACTTGGCAACAAACAGGGGTGGTACCTGGTCCCTGGGATGAGAAGGGTTGCCCAGCTGGGAGACCCTATTTATGGGAGCAGAGGTGGGACAGGAGCTTGCATTTAGGCCACTTGAGGCCCTTCACATTTTACCACATGTCAAGGCAGCACGTAACATTGGCCTTGATTTTATGCTTTATGCCGCTGCTAGAGATGGCTGGGCAGGTGCTGCACTGAGTCCAGCACTGGGCCTTAGGGGATGAGCAGGGGGTGAAACCCAGCCCCACTTCCCTAGCTGAGCCAGGGGCCCTGGAGTGGGGCAGTGGCTGCCTGGTAGGAGGAGTGCCTCTCCAGTTTGCTGGAAGGACACCATCTGGGCTCTTGGGCCTCTGCAGCCGGCTTGAACTCCCACATCCTTTCCTCCTCCAGCACCTGCCTCTGAAGGTGGATGAGGTCACCATTGCAGCCTCCCCAGGAGTAGGGAGAAAGGGACAATGAGAGGAATCAGTGGAGAAATTCCACACCTTCCGATGGCCTCGCACATCACGAAAGGGGGTGAGAACAAGGCAGCAGGAGCAGGAGGGCCTCCATCTTGGATGGGATTAAAAATCTAAGCTGCTTTTCTTCCGAGGCTCAGCGAATTAGGGTAGTAAGGTGAGTGTCCCAGTTCCTGTCTTGTCATAGAGAGGAGGAATGAGAGAAGTTGCTGCTTGTCTCAGGCTTCCACAGAATGGAAGGCCAGGTCCCTGTCACGGCCCCGTCATGCCCCGGCCTGCTCATCCACTCCTCTGTCCCCACGTGGTGTCTCTCCCCTCACGCCAGACAATCCTCAGACACAAGCCCCCTCATGCAGTTTCACAGCAAGGAGATGGGCAGGTCCACTTCCAGTGGGTCAGGAAGGCTCCCCCAGCACCCGCGAAGGCAGGACTCGGGGTCACTTGGCAATGAAAGGCCTGAGTTAATGTGAGGAATGGAGAATCCACAAGCTTTGAGGGAAAACTGGGAGATGCAGAGAGAGGAACCCAGGCTTCAAGAGGACTTTCAAAACACAGCTTTTCTAGGAAAATTAAGTGGGTGATTATCTTATTTCCTGTGGCTGCCATAACCAATGACCACAAAAATCAGTGGCTTCAAACAACAGAAATGTAATCTCTCATGGTTCTGGAGGCTGGAAGTCCAAAATTAAGGTACCAGCAGGGCCAGGCTTCCTCGTAGGCTCCATGCCTTCTGAGGATCCTTCCTGCCTCTCTCAACTGCAGGTGGCCGCTTGCATCCCTTGGCTTGTGGCTGCATCACTGTCTCCTCCACCTCCATCTTCACGTGGCCTTCTCTCCTGTGTGTCTGTATGCCCTTTCATGTCTCTTATAAAACATTTATCCAATTTTACCATAAGCTAATTAATATAAACAAGAGTTAAGTTCCTATGGCCTGTTTCTGGTCACAAAACATCACCAAACTTACAAAGACCTCAAACACTTCTAATACTAAACATTGAAATAAATGTGAGCCATACATACATTTAGGAAAGATTAATACAAACAAGTGAAAGCTGAGCACGGTGGCTCACGCCTGTAATCCCAGCACTTTGGGAGGCTGAGGCAGGCAGATCACCTGAGGTCAAGAGTTCAAGACCAGCCTGGCCAACGTGGCAAAATCCTGATTCTACTAAAAATACAAAAATTAGCTGGGCATGGTGGCGCATGCCTGTAGTCCCAGCTACTCAGTAGGCTGAGACACAGGAATCACTTGAACCCTGGAGGTGGAGGTTGCAGTGAGCCGAGTTAGTGCCACTGCACTTTAGCCTGGGCAACAGAGTGAGACTCTGTCACAAAAACAAACAAACAACAACAACAACAAAAAACAAGCGAGAATATTATTGACTGGCTTATTCCACTTCAGAGCTGTGGATGGCAGAGCCCATCCCAGAGGCACAGGGTCAAGGCAGACACCAACCCTGGACAGGGTCCTCTTCCATCATAGGGCACACTCACCCACTTCCACACTCGCTCACACTGGGACCATGTAGACATGCCAGTTCACCTACCGTGCATAGCTTTGGGATGTGGGAGGAAACTGGAGGACCCAGAGGAAACCCACACAGACATGGGGAGAACGCACACCCTCCACAGAGACAGTGGCCTGGCTAGGAATTGACTTTTTTTTCTCATCAACTTTATAGCAAAATGATGTTGAATGAGATAGTGTCATCCAAGGACCTGCTGTATAATGACATGTATCCACCATCGTAGTAATATACAGAGCATTTTCGCTGCCCTTAAAGTCCTCTATGCTCTACCTGGTTATCTTCCCCCCACCCGTCTCAACTGCTGGCAACCACTGATGTTTTCACCATAGTTTTGCCTTTTTCAGAATGTCACATAGTTAGAGTCATACAGTATGTAGCTTTTCATAAGGGCTTCTTTCACTCAGTCATATGCATTTCAGTTTCCTCCATGTCTTTTCATGTCTTGATAGCTCATTTCTTTTTAGCACTGAATAATATTCTACTGTGTGGATACACCACAGTTTATTTATCCATTCACCTACTGATGGACATCTTGTTTGCTTCCAAGTTTGGGCAATAATAAATAAAGCTTGCTATGAGCATCTGTGTGCAAGTTTTTGTGTGGTTACAAGTTTTCAACTCCTTTGGGTAGATACCTAGGAATACAGTTTCTGGATCGTATGGTAAGAGTACACGCCGTTTTGTAAAGAGCTGCCAAACTGTGTTCCAAACTGGCTGCACTATTTTGCATTACCATCAGCAATGAATGCGGATAAAAAACGCCACATCCTTACCAGCATTTGGTGTTGTCAGTGTTCTGGGTTTTGGCCATTCCAATAGGTGTGTAGCCCACTGTATTCATCAGGGTTCTCTAGAGGGACAGAACTAATGGAATGAATATATGTATATGTATATATATAGTATATGTATATATATGTGTATATATGTATTTATGTATATGTGTATATATGTATATATGTATACGTGTATATATGTATATATGTATATGTGTATATATATGTGTATATATGTATATGTGTATATATATGTATGTGTATATATGTATATATGTATATACATATATTCCAGTATATGTGTGTATACACACACACACACACACACATATATATACACACACACACACATAATATAAACAGGAGTTTATTAAGTATTAACTCACACAATCATAAGGTCCCACAATAGGCTGTCTGCAAGCTGAGAAGCCAGAAGAACCTCCTGAGTAGCTGGGATTACTGGCATGCACCACCATGCCCCACCATGCCCAGCTAATTTTTGTATTTTTGGTAGAGACGGGGTTTTGCCATGTTGGCCAGACTGATCTTGAACTCCTGACCTCAAGTGATCCCCCAGCCTCGAGCCACCATGCCCAGCCAGCTGGTCTGTTTCTTAATGTTAAAGTCTTTGACTATTAAAAAATTGGACAGCTTATTGTATGTGTTACAAATGTTTCCCCCATTATCATTGATCTCTTGACTTTTTGATAGCATTTTTTGCCATAAAGAAATGTCTAACTTTGTGTAGTTGGATTTATCAGTCTTTTTTTAATGATTTCTGACTTTTGTGCCACACTTGGAAAGATTGCCACCGTCTGGGATTATAAAAATAAATCTCTCATGTTTGCTCTAGTTCTTTCATGGCTTTATTTAAACATATATAGATATATAAAATCTTAGCCCCATCTGGAATGTATTTTGGTGTGTGTAGAGCTCCAGTTTTACTCTTTCCCAGTCTACTCAATCGTCCCATTCATTTCTGAGATAACTAATCTTTTCTCCATTGATTTGAAATGTCCCCTTTATTTTATACTGTTTTCCTGAATGTTTTCAGTCTATTTCTGGATTTTATTCTGTTCCACTGATCTATCTGCCTGTTTATTTATTTATTTGTTTGTTTGTTTATTTTAATTTTGAGATAGAGTCTTGCTCTGTCGCCCAGGATGGAGTGCAGTGGTGCAATCTCGGCTTACTGCAACCTCTGCTTCCCAGGGTCCAGCAATTCTCCTGCCTCGGCCTGCCAAGTAGCTGGGACTACAGGTGCGTGCCACCATGCCTGGCTAATTTTTGTATTTTTAGTACAGACGAGGTTTCACCATGTTGGCCAGGCTGGTCTCGAACTCCTGACCTCGGGTGATCCACCAGCCTCGGCCTCACAAAGTGCTGGGATTACAGGCATGAGTCACCATGCCCAGCCCCTTGTCTGCTTGTTTATATGCTAGGATCAAACACTTTTAATTTCTGTGGCTTTCCAAAATGTTTTAACATCTTTTGGTGATATTTTCTTTCATTACTTTTTCCCTGGAATTTCCTTGGCTATTTTTGCATATTCGATTTTCCATAAAAATATTAGCATCAACTTGTCTCTGTTAATTTCGATGAGGCAAAACCCTCAAGCTCTTTGTTTAAATAAGAAATCTAACATATTTGTTTATCCCCTGCCTCCTGTGAGAGAAGAGAGAAACCAAAGAAAGTTCGCAAAGGCTTATACCTTTGAGGAAACAGAGGTATCAATTTAAATATCTCTGCCAGAGCCAATCAGTCTGAATTTTAGCCTTTGGGGAAGTTAGGGTTGCTTTTCTTGGGCAGAGCATCAGCCTCTGAAATCCAGGGGATTTACTTCCTCCTTTGTTAAAATGACATAGGCAAGGATAGGTGTTTGTTTGTTTGTTTGTTTTGAGATAGAGTCTCACTCTTTTCACCCAGGCTGGAGTGCAGTGGCACTATCTCAGCTCACTGCAACCTCCACGTCCCAGGTTCAAGCAATTCTCCTGCCTCAGCCTCCCAAGTAGGTGGGATTACAGGTGTGCGCCACCACCCAACTAATTTTTGTATTTTTAGTAGAGACGGGGTTTCACCTTGTTGGCCAGGCTGGCCTCGAACTCCTGACCTCAGGTGACCTGCCTGCCTTGGCCTCCCAAGTTGCTGAGATTACAGACGTGAGCCACTGCGCCTAGCCAAGAATAGGCGTTTATCACGCAGGATGCTATCTGCCACTCTCTGCAGCTGCAGGAAAAAAAAAGAACATTTTTTTCCTTTTAATTTTGCTGCAACTTTGCTGTGATTTTTCAAGCCTTAAAGCTGGAACTTTATTCATTGGTGCCGAGAGAAAGAAAGGCAGGTCTGAAAAGCACAAAATATGTCATTAGAAAGGAAAAGGGAAGAAGAAAATCACTAAATGGAATATTTGGCATTCAGTGTAGTCTGGAAAACAAAACAAAAACAGCACAACAACAACAAAACAAGGGAAATTTCCATTGGAATTATACTAAATTTATAGATTAATTCAGGAAGGATTGTCATCTTTATGCAGATGAGTCTTTCTACCCAAGACTAGGAAATATACTTGCATGTAGTCAAATCTTCCGTTTTGTCCCTCTGTTGTTTAGATTTTCTTTGTGTAAATTTTGTGCAACTCTTGGGTGTTCTATCTTTGGGGTTTCCTATTGTAAATGGAATCTTCTATTCAATTATATCTCAAAGATATTGTTGTTAATATAGATTCTTGGATATTGTTTTGTAAAAACATTTATTTTGTGCCCCCTGAGCTTCCTGAATTATCCTGCTCTTTCTAATGGTTTTGCAATTGATTCTCTTATTTTTTCCAATCATACAGTCAATGATTGTTTTTGCCACCTTCTTTCTAGTTTTTGTACCTCTTCCCCACTCTTGTCTAACTGAATTGGTAATTCCCCAGTGCAATACTAAATGGTGGTGGTGATAATGGGTAATTGGGTCTTATTTCTGACTAAACTGGGGTGCTTCTGTTATTTCAGCATTGAATATACATCTAATTGCTAACTTGAGATAATCACAGAGTGGATTTCCTAATATTGAACAACTCCTTCCACAAATCTTTTAATGCAGTGTTAGATCTATCAGCTAATATTGTATTTAGAATATTTACATCTATATCCATAAGTGGAGTTGGTCTGTGTTTTTCTTTTATTGTGGTTATTTGATTCTATAGTTATTGTTATGGAATCATTGACATGCAAGCTTCACAGGAATAATTTGGAAGGTTTTCTCCTTTCTCCATGCTCTCTAGAACAGTTTAAAAACATTAGTGTTTGCCAATGGCCATACTGCCCAAGGTAATTTATAGATTCAGTGGCATCCCCATCAAGCTACCAATGACTTTCTTCACAGAATTGGAAAAAACTACTTTAACGTCCATATGGAACCAAAAAAGAGCCCGCATTGCCAAGACAATTCTAAGCCAAAAGAACAAAGCTGGAGGCATCATGCTACCTGACTTCAAACTATACTACAAGGCTACAGTAACCAAAACAGCATGGTACTGGTACGAAAACAGAGACAGAACAGAACCAATGGAACAGAACAGAGCCCTTGGAAGTAATACCACACATCTACAACCACCTGATCTTTGACAAACCTGACAAAAACAAGAAATGGGGAAAGGATTCCCTATTTAATAAATGGTGTTGGGAAAACTGGCTAGCCATATGTAAAAAGCTGAAATTGGATCCCTTCTTTACACCTTATACAAAAATTAATTCAAGACGGATTAAAGACTTAAATGTCCGACCTAAAACCTAGAAGAAAACCTAGGCAATACCATTCAGGACATAGGCATGGGCAAGGACTTCACGTCTAAAACACCAAAAGCAATGGCAGCAAAAGCCAAAATTGACAAATGGGATCTAATTAAACTAAAGAGCTTCTGCACAGCAAAAGAAACTACCATCAGAGTGAACAGGCAACCTACAGAATGGGTGAAAATTTTTGCAATCTACCCACCTGACAAAGGGCTAATATCCAGAATCTACAAAGAACTTAAACAAATTTACAAGAAAAAAATCAAACAACCCCATCAAAAAGTGGGCAAAGGATATGAACAGACACTTTTCAAAAGAAGACATTTTTGCAGCCAACAGACACATGAAAAAACGCTCATCATCAATGGCCATCAGAGAAATGCAAATCAAAACCACAATGAGATACCATTTCACACCAGTTAGAAGGGCGATCATTAAAAGTCAGGAAACAACAGATGTTGGAGAGGATGTGGAGAAATAGGAACACTTTTACACTGTTGGTGGGACTGTAAAGTAGTTCAACCATTGTGGAAGACAGTGTGGCAATTCCTCAAGGATCTAGAACTAGAAATACCATTTGACCCAGCCGTCCCATTACAGGGTATATACCCAAAGGATTATAAATCATGCTGTTACAAAGACACATGCACATGTATGTTTATTGCGGCACTATTAACAATAGCAAAGACTTGGAACCAACCCAAATGTCCAGCAATGATAGACTGGATTAAGAAAATGTGGCACATATACACCGTGGAATACTAAGCAGCCATAAAAAAGGATGAGTTCATGTCCTTTGTAGGGATATGGATGCAGCTGGAAACCATCATTCTGAGCAAACTATTGAAAGGACAGAAGACCAAACACCGCATGTTCTCACTCATAGGTGGGAATTGAACAATGAGAACACTTGAACACAGAGTGGGGAACATCACACACTGGGGCCTGTCGTGGGGAGAGGGGAGGGGGAAGGGATAGCATTAGGAGATATACCTAATGTAAATGACGAGTTAATGGGTGCAGTACACCAACATGGCACACGTATACATATGTAACAAAACTGCACGTTGTACACATGTACCCTAGAACTTAAAGTATAATTAAAAATAAAAATTAAAAAAAATTAGCGTTTGCCAATCAATAAAGTTTTAATAGGATGCACTTGCAAAGCTGTTGGAACCAGATGCTTCTCTGGGTAAATGACTTTTTATCAAGGTTTTTACCATCTCTGTGATAAACGATATTTTCTGATTTTTAAAATCTCTTTGGTGGTCAGTTTTGGTAATTTATATTTTCCTAGAAAATCATCCATTTGGTCAAGATTTTGAATCTATTTGCAGAGGGATTGAGGAGTCACTCATTTGATATCCTCTGTGTCTACAATTATTTCATTCACAATTCTTATTTTGTATATTTGTTCTTTCTCCTTTGTTTCTTTATTAGGATAGTTAATGATTTTTTCATTTCTTTCTTTCTTTTTCTTCAAGGAACCAACCGCTAGATGTATTATAGATGTTTTTTTTTTCATTATTTTTGCTCTCATCTTTTCCAATTGCTTTTTTTCCCCCCTGCTTTCTTTGGGTTTATTTTGTTATTCATTTCTTAATATCATTAGGTGCTTAATTTCAAATTTTAAAGCAGCGTTACTTGGATGAAATGTACATACCATTGTAAGGGTATAGTCTGATAATTTTTTGTTAATTTATACAGTTGTGAACCATTACCACAATCCAGCATAAGAACATTTCCATCAGCCCAGAAAGCAACCTCCTGCCTGCTTGTATCAACCCTTGCCTCCGTCTCTAGCCCCTGGCAGTCACTGATCTGCTGTCTCTACAGTTTTGCTTTCTCTAGAAATGTCAAATAAATACAGTCCTACACCTTGTGGTCTTCTGTGTCTGGTTTCTTTCACTCAGAATAATGTTTCTAAGGTTCATGAAGGTTTATTGTTGAATTATTTGTAAGAATGTTGGTTTTCCATTCATAGTTAATGGACATTTGGATTCCTTCCAATTTGGTGTTATTACAAATAGGGCTGATATGAACATTATGCACAAGTCCCCTTGTGTGGACATGTATTTTTATTTTTCTTGGGTAGATACCTAGGAGTGGAATTGTTGGGTCATATAATAAGTTTAAATTTTTAAGAAAATGCCAAACTGTTTTCCAGAATAGCTGTATCATTTAACATTGCCACTGGCAAGGTATGAGAGTTTCTGTTTTTCCACATCCTTACCAGCACTCAGTATTGTCCATTTTTTTAAAATTATAGCCATTCTGGCAGGTGTGTAGTGATATATTATGGTGGTTTTAGTTCGTATTTCCTTAATGACTAAATGATGTTGAGCATCTTTTCATGTGCTGATTAGCCATTTGTATTTTTTCCTTGGTGAAACATCTGTTCAAATATTTTTCCTACATTTTACTGGGTTGTTTGTCCTCTTTTATTAAATTGTAAGACTATTTCATATATTCTGAATGAAAGTCCTTTATCAAATATATAACTTGCAATTATCATCTCCCCATCTGTGTGGCCTGTATTTTCTTTCTTTTTTTTTTTTTTTTTTTTTGAGACAGAGTCTTGCTCTGTCACCCAGGCTGGAGTTCAGTGGCGCAATCTCGGCTCACTGCAAGCTCTTCCTCCCGGGTTCACGCCATTCTCCTGCCTCAGCCTCCCGAGTAGCTGGGACTACAGGTGCCCACCACCATGCCTGGTTAATTTTTTTGTATTTTTTTAGTAGAAACGAGGTTTCACCGTGTTAGCCAGGATGGTCTCGATCTCCTGACCTCATGATCCACCCGCCTCGGCCTCCCAAAGTGCTGGGATTACGGACGTGAGTCACTGCGCCCAGCCTGCCTCCCAGGTTCAAGCGATTCTCCTGCCTCAGCCTCCTGAGTAGCTGGGATTACAGTGCACGCCACCACACTCAGCTAATTTTTTGTATTTTTAGTAGAGACAGGTTTCACCATGTTGGTCAGGCTGATCGCGAACTCCTGACCTCGAGATCTGCCTGCCTCGGCCTCCCGAAGTGCTGGGACCACAGGCCTGAGCCACCACGTCTGGCCTATTTGTTCTTTTATGCACCGAACAGTAAATTCAAATTACCTACCTCTAAACTGTTTCTTCATTTTTTTCTTACTCTCTATAAATTTTTCTTTATGAGTTTTGATGCTGGTTTATCTTCTGCATAGATAGTCATGATGTTAGCTGACCAGTGTGGATTATGAAGTATCTCCCTTTATCTTATTTAAATGCTCCCTGCATTGAATTCAACATAAATGATATTAATAGGGAGATTTCTTTTTTATGTTCGTATTTGCTTTATGCATTATGCCCATTCTTTTTGTGTCAATATAATTAAGTGATTTGTTAGTAATTGGAAAGTGACTTAGAACATGCCCAGCTCATGGTGAGTACTAATTAAGTATTTGCTAAGAATAAAAAATAAAGGCTTTTTGTATGTCCTGTATACAGAACATCATGCCAAGAGGAAACCCCCAGGAAAATTAAGTAATTACTCTTTCTTTAGTCCGGGGCAACCACAATCTGCTTTTGGTCTCAATGGATATTTTTTACCTTTTCTGGACATTTTATATCAATGAAATCATATAATTCATGTCCTTTCGCATCTGGCTTATTTCACTTAGCATAATGTTTTCAAGGGTCTTTGATGTTCTGGCAATGTACCAGCACTTCACTCCTTTTTATGGCTCAACAATATTCTACTGTATGGATAGACCATGTGTTGTTTATTGATTCATCCATTGGTAGACATGTGGGTTATTTCCACCTTTTGGTTTCCGTTAATAATCTGAACACTCATGTGCAAGTATTTCTTTGAATAGCTGTTTTCAGTTCTTTGGGGTATATACCAAGGAGTGGAAGTGGTGGATATGGCAGTTCTATGATTAATGTGCTTTTCCTCTATTTATTTTTTATTTGATTTTTATAGAGACAGGGTCTTGCTATGTTACCAAGGCTGCTCTCAAACTCCTGGGCTCAAACAGTCCTCTCACCTTGGCCTCTCGAAGTGCTGGAATTATAGGCGGGAGCCACCATGCCCAGGCTTTCTAGGATTAACGTTTTGAAGAGCCACTATATTCTCTTCCATAGCAGATGCATCATATTATATTCCCACCAGCAGTGTACTATGGCTGCTGTGGGGAAATATGACATTTCCCCACATCCTCACCAGCAAGTGTTAATTCCTTTTTATGTGTGAAGTGGTATCTCATTGTGGTTTAATTTGTGTTTCTTTCATTACTAATGATTCTGAGCATCTTTTCATGTGCTTGTTAGCCATTCATTCTGGTGATTGTTTTTAATCATACCTTCTTATAATATACTCAGTCCTTCATTTCTCAGGAAATATCTATTGATCATCTAATATAGGTGAAGATAAAAGAGGAATATTACTATTTTTTCTGCCTATCCCAACCACCTTCTCTGGCAATTCTTTCTAAAGAAGGATCTTCTCCCCAACCTCCTTATTGCTGATTTCTGCATCTTATTTCTTTTTTTATGGCTCAAATCCCAGTATTTTTTTTTTTACTGTTTATTGCTTGCTTACTTTTTTTTTGCTTCTCTTCCCACTAGATATAAGTTCCATGCGGGCAACTAATCTGTCTATCTTGTTCTGTTTGTAACCCCAGCACTTACCTAGTGCAGTATCGGACTGGCAGACAGTAAGCTTTAATAAATATTTTTAAATAAATATCTGAATGAATGAACCACAATAAGTTCAGTTTCATTCGCGATGACTCCCCTATAGGATATGCATAATAATGATAGACTTAAGGACTTATATTTATATCTACATGTGTTAGTTTTCAGAAACTGCTATCATCAATTGAGGTAGGAAGTTGAACTTGACTCCAAAGGCAGGGCGCGGATACTGGACCATATTAAGGACTAGCTAAAACAGGTACAGGGCGGAAGCACCTTTCCATGGGACACGCCCACCAGTGTGTGCCACATACTATGGAGTTCACCGGAAGTTGCGGCCCCTTTCCATGGCAACAACCCGACAACCTGGAAATTAGCACTCTTTTTCTAAAATTTTCTGCATAATCTGCCCCTTAATTTGCATATAATTAAAAGTGGGTGTAAATAGGACTACAGAACTGCCTTCGAGCTGCTACTCTGGGCACACTGCCTATGGGGTAGCCCTGCTCTGCAAAGAGCAGGACCTCTGCTGCTGCTGTCCACTGCTGCTTCAACAGAAGTTGCTGTCTAATACCACCAGCTTGCCCTTGAATTCCTTCCTGAATGAACCCAAGAACCCTCTCAGGCTACAACCCAATTTGGGGGCTTGCCTGCCCTGCATCAAAATAACCACAAACTTGGTGGATTAGAAAAACAGATATCTATTCTCTCTTAGTTCTGGAGACCAGCTCAAAATCAAAGCGTTGGCAGGACGCTACTCCCTGTGAAGGCTCTAGGGGAGGACCTTTTCTTGCCTCTCCCAACCTCTGGTGGCTCCAGGCATTCTGCGGCTTGAGGCTGCATCACTCCAATCCCTGCCTCCATCTTCACATCTTCTTCCCTGTGTCTCTTTCTTTTCCTTTTCTGTCTCTTATAAGGACATTTGCCATTGGATACAAGGTCCACTGTAATCCAGGACGATCTCACCTCAAGATTCTCACCTTACTTACTTCTGCAAGAGCCCTTATTCCAAATAAGGTCACATGCTGAGGTTCCAGGTGAACATATCTTTTAGGGAGACACCATTCAACCCACTGCACCAACTAATTAAGTTCTGCACATTCTACCTTCTAAAAATCTCTTGGATCCATCGACTTCTCTCCAGACTTGCTCCCACTCCTTCTTTCAAATACTGTCATCTCCTGCCTGGATTATGCCTGCAGCTGCCTAACTTGTTTCTCTGCCTCCAGTTCTGTGCCTGTTCAATCCACACTCTGTGATGCAGCCGGAGTGATCTAAAACAGGCGGGTTTTGTCTTTTGCTGAGCATGTGCTGCAGACCGGCTCCATCACTGGCCCCCATCTTAATGCTACAGTGATTGCCCACAGCAGGTTCCTGACTTAGGCTAGTCAGAGCCATCCCCTGGGATTTTCGTGGCTGAACAGGCAGGAAAGTACCTCTCTGCCATCTACTGGTGGAAGTGTTGCAGTGTGAGTCTGAGCACCAGGTGCCACAGCTTGTGTGCTTCTCTGCAGTCGGAGGAAATTAGGCCAACCTGCTGAGAGAGGCAGAGATGGAAGACAGGAGGGGGACAGAGAACCCTGGGGACCCTCCTTCCTGCATCCAGCCCCTTGGCTAGCCCTCCCCTTCCTCTCTCTTCCTCACATGAACCAGTAAACTCTCCCTTGTTACTAACTCTGGTTGAGATGTGGCTTTGCACTCTGGAGCATCCCGACTGTAACCATCATCCTTACAGACAAGACTCATGGGATCTGATAACCACACAGCTTTATTTCTGCCCCCACTGTTTCTTTAAATCTCTTCTGCGGGCCCCACATACACTGGAGTTTGATCTTGCCCTGCACCTATAGTCATGATAGGTTGGAAAATATAGTCTTAATTCAGTAATTAAGATGTGCAGTCTTATGTCATAAACAAAATTCTGAATTTGATTTAAGGCTGGGGCTCCTCCCTGTCCCAGCTAGGGCCTGCTGTGGGCAGGAGAACTGCAGCTGGGAGAGTGGGCAGCTCAGCTGGTATCTTCCTTTCATTGGGACTCTTCTGTTTCTGTTCCCATGCCCCAAATCCCCCAGATTTGTAAACTGTGGCTTCTGGCCGGGTGCGGTGGCTTACGCCTATAATCTCAGAACTTTGGGAGGCTGAGGTGGGTGATCACCAGAGGTCAGGAATTCAAGACCAGCCTGGCCAACATGGTGAAATCCTGACTCTACTAAAAATGCAGAAATTAGATTGGCATGGTGGCAGGCACCTGTAGTCCCAGCTACTCGGGAGGCTGAGGCAGGAGAATTGCTTGAACCTGGGAGACGGAGGTTGCAGTGAACCAAGATCACACCACTGAACTCCAGATTGGGCAACAGAGCAAGACTCCCTCAAGAAAAAAACAAAAACAAAAAACAAAAAACAAACTGTAGCTTCTGAGCTCCCCAGGACTGAAGCTAGGAAAAGGAGAGAGCTGAGGGAGCAAAACAGTCTTGTCTGTCTGTTCTGTGATGTAAACTAGCAGAGGCAAGTGTTTAGAGCTAATACCTTCCCTGTGAGCACATTCTTGAAGTCTCAGAAGACCCTGAAGCATCATATGGCCAACTGCACCAGGCCGGTGTTTCAACAGCGTCCCCATGTGGCAGCTAGAAGCAATAGCACAGAGGAGTGTTCAGATGCTAGTCCTCTCTGATTGGCTGAGGAGGCCAGGCCAACCACCCTACTCATTCTGGACAAAGCCGCTTGGAGTCCTGGCCAACCCAGGAGGCTTTAAGAGGGAGGCGAATATAGGTTGTCCTGCCAGCCAGGCAGCCGAGGACGCAAGTAATTAACTGAGAGAAGAAATGAGCTGTGACAATATTTGCCCTCTTTGGCTTGGGGAGCCATTCCACAAATGTCATCATATGTTTTTTTTTGTTTTTTTTTTTTTTTTTACAGCAGAGGGATGAAGTGACTTGGCTGTAATCCCACAATTAGTAAATGATCAAGTCCCAACTGGAACATGGTTCTTCCAGTTCTAAAGGCCATGAGCTTTCCTTTGAACCTCCCTAAAGATGAGTCCCTAAATGCTGGATAAGAGAAAAATGAAGTTAAAAGGAAGGACAAAGGTGACATATAAATTAAAGATTTTAAACATATGTGATGCCTCTTTAACCTCCAGGAGAGGAAAAAGCCTCTGGAGTCTGTGCTCTTAGCCAGGAGGGGATGGATGCAGGGCATCCTTTATCTGGAGACGCAGGGCAAGGAAGAGACTCAGTTGTTCTCTGCAGGGGTCCTTTACCGTCATTTTTAATGTCTTTTTGCACTGCAGGGCATCAGAGCTGACCGATGAGGTCTGTCTCCTCTAGAAAATTCTCCTTGGAAAGAATGTCAAGTGTGGATATGAACATTTATTTGTTGACATTTTAAAAATGCCAATACTGACCCCCTGAAATGCAAAGGCACTTCTTTTCTTTTTAAAATTTCTTTTGGAGTCAAGTCCACATCATTGCCACCTTTGCTCCCAATTTAGACACCTTTCTTCGAAGCTGACTGGCTTCTCAGTGGACAAAAAAGCCATTGCCCTCTGGGAGAGTTGGGTCTTTGATGTCAAGGGGACTGCAGGATATTGGAATTTGTTCTTCCAGAACTGTAGCTCATACAAATATTTACCAGGTGAGTGGCTTTGCTTGGTTGCGTTCAGGGCAATATTTGTCCAGACTGATCAGAGGCCTAAGGAAGGAGGTATCCACAAGTCAGAAGAAAATTCTTGGCCCTCGTGCTGATACAGGTTGTTCCATTTCACTGTTATGTAAGCACAGGGGAATGACCGGAGGCGGGCGTCATCCACACAGCATAGGGAAGCAGGCAGCTGCAGGGCCCCACACTGACCATGATCCCGACCACTCCCCCTCAAGGGACGGGGACACTCTTCGTGAGATGGCACCATGTGGCCAGATATAGAATCCTTAAAAATAGTATTTGTATTTTTCTATGAATACCTTAAACTTTGTTTTCCCACCATCTATCAGGGCTTTCTACATTAAAGAAACAACAGGGAAGCCAGGTGTGGTAGCACACCTCTGTAATCCCAGCTACTCAGGAGGCCGAGCAGAAGAATCGCTTGAACCTGGGAGGCAGGGGCTGCAGTGAGCTGAGATCACACCACTGAGCTCCAGCCTGGGTGACAGAGCAGGACAAGAAAACAAGAGAAAACAAAAACAAAAACAAAAACAAGACAACAGGAAGAGGTTTATATTGAAGCAGACGATGCATGCAAAAAAGTGCCTGTGCACAAGGCTACAGCTCTATGAAGTGTCTCAAATTGAACAAACCTGTAAAACAGAATATGACCGGCACCCAGAGTTCCCCTCATGCCCTTGTCATTTACCCTTCCCTGAAAAGTATCCACTATCCTGCCTTTTAACATCAGAGATTGTTTTTGCCCAACAGGGAGAGTTTAAGGTCGTGGATATGCCTTGGCAGTAAGAGTTTATGATTTAACCTTTAGGGAAGTGATCGAGACAGTTCACCACACAGGATCCTGGGTCCAGCGTGAAGGTGACATTCAGGGTATGGAAGGAGAATGACTTTGGTGTGGATGACCCACCTCTGGCACCTATGAGCTATGGGACATTGGGCCAGTCACTTCCCTGAGCCTGAGTGTCCTCTCTTTAAATGGGGATAATACTCCTGCCTCACAGGATTCTGGGAGGTGGGAAGCATTTGACACAGATCTATTCCCTAACATCAGTGCCCCTTCAACAGGCAGACTAGACAGGACTCTCCGTGGAGGAGAATGGCTGCTCAACAAAAGGCCATCTTTCCTTCTGTCTCACGATTGTTTTGGAGCTTATGATTCCCCACATCTCATGCCAACGTCCTCCTGATCTGAATGTTAAATCTGTTGACTTCACAAATGAAACACTCTCCAAAGCCTCCACCTCTGGCACATTGGCTGCCCGGTGTGCTCTCCCTCATCTATTCAGATACCTCCCCAGAGAGCGGCTCTTCCCACACAGAGCCCCAGGCTTCTCTCCTGCCTTCTCAGGACCAAGGACATAAGATCCTGCTCATCCTTCACCTCCTTCACCACCTTCACCTCACAGATGAGGAAACTGAGGCTCACAAAGATGAGGGGGCTGGCCCAGGGTCATGCAGCAAGGATGTGGCTGGGGCCAGAGCCCTGACTCCCAGCCCTTATCACTGCCACGAGCCCCTTATTATCACGGGTCAGGTGCTCTCCCCTCCCACGTCCCACTGGCAGTGTCCAAATCCCTTGTCTGTGTGGCAGAGGGGGGATGCCATGGTCCATCCCATAGCAAGAGACAGCAGGAGCCAAATGAATCTTCAACAAAGATATCTAACAAATGGGTGCATTTATTATTGAATAGGTAATACACATACGGTTAAAAATATTTAAAGCATAAAAATATTTAGTGAGAGCTCTCCCTCCCACACCTGCCATATATCTACCTGGTTCTCTCCTCCAATAGGTAACCCCTCTTCTTAATTTCTTGGATATTCCACTGGTGTTTTAAATGCTTACAGTGGCAAAATCAGATATATATATATATGCTTCCTCTCAATTTTTGGATACATGTTAACATGCTCTCTTCTTTACCTTTTTCATAACAGCACACCTTAGAGAGCTTTATACATCAGTACATAAATAGCTTCCTCGTTCTTTTTCACAGCTGTGTAATACTCCATTGTATATGTATATTATAATTTTTTTTTTGAGATGGAGTTTCACTCTTATTGCCCAGGCTGGAGTGCAATGGCACAACCTCTGCTCACTGCAACCTCCGCCTCCTGGGTTCAAGCAATTCTCCTGCCTCAGCCTCCCAAGTAACTGGGATTACAGGCATGCTCCACTATGCCCGGCTAATTTTTTGTACTTTTAGTAGAGACAGGGTTTCTCCATGTTGGTCAGGCTGGTCTCGAACTCCCAACCTCAGGGGATCCACCCACCTCGGCCTCCCAAAGTGCTGGGATTACAGGTGTGAGCCACTGCACCCAGCTTGTATATTATAATTTTTAACAGTTTTATTGAAATATAATTCATATACCATAAAATTCATCCATTTAAAGTATGCATTCAATTTTTTTGTATATTCACAGATTGTGTACAGTGAGCACCACAATTTTAGAAGTTTTATTACCCCTCCAAAAATGCTATATACCCTTAGTTATCACCCCCAATCCCTCCCGCTAGTGAACCACTAATCTATTTTCTATCTTTGTAGATTTGCCTATTCTTGGCATTTCATATAAATGAAATCCTACAATATGTAGTCCTTTGTGACTGACTTCTTTTATTTAGCACAATGTTTGCAAGTTTCATCCGTGTTATGGCATATATCAGTACTTCATTCCTGTTTATTGCTGAATAACATTCCATTGTATGGATAAACCACATTTTATTTATTCATTAGTCAGTTGTTGGATATTTGGGTTGTTTCCATTTTTTGCTATTACAGATAATGCTGCTTTGAACATGTGTGTTCAAGTTTTTGTGTAAACTTACATTTTTATTTCTCCTGGGAAGATACCCAGGAGTAGAATTGCTGGATCATATGGCTTATTTTATAACTTACTTACCCAGTACCCCATTGATGGAAATTTCATCAAATTGTATCTTAAAAACCAGCAACCATCACAAACGTGGCAAGTTAGAGTCCTAGAGTGAGGATTAGGAAGAAATGGAACTGGAAACAATGGCTGGATGATTTAACTTGCCAGTCTTCCAACTTTTCCCTCCCTGCTCCTGGGGAAACTTTACCCGCAGACACTTACTCTAACACTTTCCAATTAAGCCTACCTCAACTCCAATGGGGTCTGTGACTCTGGGAAAGAGAAGAGCCATTTCTCACCACCTGGCACAGGAGTCCACTGCCCACTGACCCCTCAGGGAAAGCCCAAGTCCCCTCAGGTGTGTCACCCTTGGGGTGTCACTCCCTTCCTGTCTGGGTTTCCTCATCTGGGAGACTGTCCAGAGGAAGCTGGTGACTCTTGACCATGGAGTTTCCTGGCCCTATGATGACAGATCTCTGCCACACCTGGCCATCTGCCACACCTGCAACAGGTGCAGAACACAGGGGAATTCAATAGCCATCCAAGCTCTAAGCGGAGAGCCAGCCTCAGGGGGAGCTTCTGGCCACCTCAGTTCATGATGGGACCTGAGAGATGGAGATTCCTTAATACCAGCACGTTTTAAAAATTTGTTTTGATTGAGAACTTCTTAACAAGTCAAAGCTGGGAAGTGCTTTCTGTTCTGATGCAACAGAAGACACAGCAAATCGGATCCTCTGATTAATTGCATGAAAGCAAAGTCATCCACTTACTAAGTTTCTGTTTGGTGCTGCCCTAAGATTGTTGGAAGATCATATTACTCCCCACTCTGGAAACTCAGTGCAGCTCAACTGCAGTAGGACTGATTCTTCCCTAGGAGACGGAGTTCTCCTTTCATCATCTTCCCCTTCTGTGCATGGTAGCCGCTTGAACTTGCCCCTCCAAGAGTCAAGGACAAGACCACCCCATGGAATGTGAGTACTCAGCTACAATGCAAGGATGGGCAGGTTGAGATTTTACATATTTCACGTCATTAAATTACAAGTACAAAATAGCACAGAGGAAAAAGTTTCTCTCTTCTACAGGATATGTTTGTCCATTAAGATACAACCTAACTTACTTTTACCTTTGTAAGAAAGGTAAAATGTAATGTATTGCAGTAATTAATATAGTGAGTTTCTTTCGTGTAGAAAATGGACTGGTTTTTAAATAATTTAATGTTCTGTGTGTAGCTCTTAGTTGGGGATATTTTATTTGTATTTGAATGTGTTGCATCATTCTATGACAATTTCTAGAAAGTTCTATGAGTTTATACATGTGTTCTGAGTTTCAATAAGTTCTCTTGCCCTAATATAAGGATATTGTGTTCTTGTTGGGTTGATTTGCTGTCTGTTTGTTTGTTGCAATAATTACGGGAATTTTTCACCTTCCTTACTTTAATGTCTCAAACCATTCTACCAAACAATGGTGTAAATTTATGCTTGTGGTGTTGTTTCTTGCGAGTGACTAATTTTATGTAATTAAATCTGTTCATTTGTCCTGGGCTTTGTCACATGTAGTTTGAAAAGTAATTTTTAAATAGTTTCTTCCTTCATCTAAAAGTAATAAGCTCATTCACACATTCTGGCAACTAACTATAATAAAAAATACTGGCCTCTCTGAGTCTTGCGTTCGCAAAATGAATTAGCAACAAACAACGATCAAATGGGAAGCATTTTGGAGCACCTTTGTTCTGCACAGCAGGCTGCAAGATTGATCCTATGATGTGTTTTTAAATACATCTGTGTTCACATTAGAGCAAGAAATGGGGGTTTGAGCCAGTAAGGCCCCACTGGGAAATGTCTCACAGGATTGCACTCTACAGCTCTGGTTTTCATTGTTTCATTTTCTCCACCAGCTCTCCAAGCAGAGAAAACAGTTTTGAATTGAACAGCAATTGAGATCTTAATCTTCTGGTCTTACAAGGGCATACAACGGCTTTACCCAGGGGCACCTCACCAGGGAGACCAGAAAAGTACCAACTGGTACACTCTTGCTTTTCAAAAATAAGTATACACGGTACTAAGTGTACAAAAGGGCAAACAGTAAAAAATATATCTTCTTCCCCCAGGTTTCTTCCCCAGAGGCAATTGCAGATACTAATTTCTTATTCATTCTTCCAGAGATGTTCTATACATAAAAAAAGTACAAGCAAATAACATATAACTTCCCCCTTCTTTACAAGTGGCATTGCAGAGCATGTCACCATTAGCTTATTTTTTCACTTATTAACATTCAGTACCATAAAAAACTCATTGCTTTTTATGACTGTGTAGTACTCCACTGCATGGAGGTTCCAAAATGTATTTCACCATCCCTCAGTTGGTGCTATTCAGGCTGTTCCCAGGCATTCGTCATCACAAGGAGGACTGCAATGACTAACCTTCAGCATATGTTGTCTCTAGATGTTCTGGAGCATCTTTAGGATAGATTCCTAGAGATAGAATTGCTGGGTCAAAGGTAAGTGCACTTGTAATGCTCATAGATCTTGTCCGTGTGCCCTCCATGTTGGCTGCATGAATTTACCAGCAATTATACAATTAAAATTCTCCTTGGAAAAAATGTCAAGTGTGGATATGAACATTTATTTGTTGACATTTTAAAAATGCCAATCCTAAACCCCTGAAATGCAGAGGCACTTGTTTCTTTTCTTTAAAAAAATTTTTTTTTGGTGTCAAGTCCACGTCATTGCCACCTTTGCTCCCAATTTAGACACCTTTCTTCTAAGCTGGACAAAAGAACAAAAAAAAGCCATTTTTTTGTTAGTTTATTCTGAAACATCATGAATTTGCAAGTCCAATAGGTAACAAAATGGTATCTAGTTATTATCTTAATTTGCATTTTTCTTATATGAGTGATATTGAGAAGCTCTTCTTATGTTGAATGTTCATTTTTTCCCTGTGAACTATTTGTCCATATCTTTTGCACATTTTTCTACTGCAGTTTTAAACTTTTTCTTACAGAACCGAAGGCTATTTAGAAAATCAGTGATATAAATTGCACTTTGTCATCTGCCTGTTGGTTTTATGGTATGAAATAGCTTAATTTTTTTTATGTAGTTGAATTTGATTTCTATTTCTTGTTTCTTCTGAATTTTTGTTATGCTTAAAAGAATATTCCACTCTGAGATGATAAAGAAAAAATCTGCCATGCTGTACTCTAGTACTATAAATTATTTCACTTTTTATGTTAAAATATTTGATTTATCTGGGCTGTTTTTTTTTTAATCTGGACCGATTTATCTGGTCATATGGTGGAGAGATGTGGATCTAATGCTATTTCCCCCAATGCTACATATTGAATAATTCATCTTTTCCCACCGATCAGAAATGCTCCTTTATTAGCTAGCTATCAAATTCTAATTGCTAACTATTGATGCTGTTTTTACTCTGTTTCATTGGTCTGCTTGCCTGTGTTTTCAGCACCACACTATTTTAGCTGTTGTAGTTTTATTTTTTATTTTTTTTATTTTTTAAGACAGAGTCTTGCTCTGTCACCCAGGCTGGAGTGCAGTGGCCCGATCTTGGCTCACTGCAACCTCCACCTCCTGGACTCAAGCGATTCTCCTGCCTCGGCCTCCCTAGTAGCTGGAACTACAGGCATCACACTATTTTAGCTGTTGTAGTTTTATTTTTTATTTTTTTACTTTTTAAGATAGAGTCTTGCTCTGTCTTGCTGGAACTACAGGCATCACTTGGCTCACTGCAACCTCCACCTCCTGGACTCAAGCGATTCTCCTGCCTCAGCCTCCCTAGTAGCTGGAACTACAGGTGTGTGCCACCACGCCTGGTTAATTTTTGTATTTTTAGTAAAGACGGGGTTTCTCCATTTTGGCAGGGCTGGTCTCGAACTCCTGACCTCAGGTGATCCACCTGCCTCAGCCTCCCAAAGTGCTGGGATTACAGGTGTGAGCCACCATGCCCAGCACTGTTGTAGTTTTATAGGGAGAGTTGTACCTGGTTCTGAAGAACCCCCAGCCCACACACTCTGCAAAGCCCAGCAAGTCCCAGCTGGGCTTTGTGCATATAAAGCTTTCATTCATTGAAAAAAATGTAAATTAGTTTTTATAGCTGGCTGATTTAAAATTTGTGGCTAGGCTAATTCATTAGTCATTCTTTTTATTCAGATTTTTTTTTCTAATTAGTCTTGACAGTTGATTTTTCTTTTTCTTTTTCTTTCTTTCTTTTTTTGTTTTTTTTAAATAGGGTCCCATGCTGGAATGCAGTGGTGTGAACACAGCTCACTGCAGCCTCAACCTCCTGGGCTCAAGTGATCCTCCGGCCTCAGCCTCCTGAGTAGTTAGGACCATAGGCTTGCACACCACACCTGGCTAGTTTTTTTATTTCTTGTAGAGACAGGGTCTTGTCATGTTGGCCAGGCTGGTCTCAACCTCCTGGGCTCAAGCAATCTTCCCACCTTAGCCTCCCAAAGTGCTGGGATTACAGGCATGAGACACCATGCCCGGCCAACAGTTGATTTTTCTAAATGAATAGTTTATTGATTTCACAAAGAAATCCTATTGCTGTTTTTATTGCAATTATGTTTGTTGTATAAATTATTTGAGGGATAACTGACATCTTTATGATGTTGTGTCTCCTATTCAAGAACTTAGTGTTTTTCTGGGCACAGTGGCTCCTGCCTGTAATCCCAGGGCTTGGGAGGCTAAGGTGAGAGGAGCTCTTGAGACCAGGAATTCAAAACCAGCCTGGTCAACATGGCAAGACCCTATCTCTACAAAAAAAAAAAGAGAGAGAAAAAAGAAAAAAATTAGCCCGGCATGGTGCTGCATGTCTATTTGTGAGGCTGAGGCAGGAGGATCAATTGAGCCCAGGAGGTTGAGGCTGTAGTAAGTTATGATCATGCCACTGCACTCCAGCCTGGGTGACAGAGACTCTGTCTCTCTAAAACAAACAAAACAAAAAACAAAACAAAACAACAACAAAATAGTGTTTTGGACTCTTTTGATTTTTAAAAATATATTGACATACCTGTTGTTACACTCCTGCTCATGCCTCAGAGAAGGCCTCTTTGAGCAGCGACACGTTTTCACGGATATGAGGGCTCCATTCTCCTTGGTGTGGCCAGGCAGCCCTCAGCCCAGGACGCTGGATCTCATCCGGACCTCTCTGTTTCTCAGGGGCCAAGTGGACTCCCCATGAAGCCTCCAACCAGACCCAGGCCAGCACCCTCCTGGGGCTCCTGCTGGGTGACCACACAGAGGGGAGGAATGACACCAACTCCACCAGGGCTCTGAAGGTGCCAGACGGAACCAGCGCTGCCTGGTATATACTCACCATCATCGGCATCTACGCGGTGATTTTCGTCTTCCGGCTGGCCAGCAACATCCTCAGAAAGAATGACAAGTCCTTAGAAGATGTTTATTACTCAAATCTGACCTCTGAACTCAAAATGACAGGGCTGCAGGGCAAGGTCGCCAAGTGCTCCACCCTGTCTATCAGCAACAGAGCTGTGCTGCAGCCCTGCCAGGCCCACCTGGGGGCAAAGGGCGGAAGCAGCGGGCCCCAAACCGCAACCCCAGAGACCCCCTGAGAGTCAAGGCCAGGAGGCCTTCCCTAGGGTGGCCCCAGACTTCTTGGAGGGGAGCAGCTTTGGGTTTACTTGGAGCCCTTGAGGGGGACTGGGGGTGCATCACTGACAAGGGGTGCTTCTGGCTGCTAGTTTGTGACCAGAGCCAGCCACCCAGTTCCTTCTCAGACTTCCAGGTGCTTCGAGAAGAGAGAGCAGGGCAGCGGTTTCTAGCCAAATTCAATCTTCACTGGCAAAACCTGTGCTCTGGGGAGGAGCACTATTCCACTGTTCTCGGAGGAATCCGGGAGACTCCTGGGGGCATACAAGGAGGTGACTCCTTGTCGTGGAAAGAAGAATGAACTTGGAGTCAGTTCTGGGTTAAAATTCAACTTCTGGGGAGTCACATAAACTGAGCAGCTTAGTTGCTCACCTGAGACATTTAGGGTTTGGAGACAGATGGTTTTAAAAGTCTATTTTATTTGAAAGACTCTAGCTTGAATATAGGACCAAAGTTGTTAATATCAGAAGTTGGAAATTCTTCATTTTCATTGAAAGAATTAGGTACGACAAAAAAAGCATTGGAGCTGGGTGTGGTGGCTCATGCCTGAATCCCAGCATTTAGAGACCCTGAGGCAGTAGGATCACTTGAGCCCAGAAGATTGAGTCCAGCCTGGGCAACCTAGGGAGACCCCGTTTCTACAAAAAAAAAAAAAAAAAAGTTTTGTTTTGTTTTGTTTTGTTTTGTTTTGTTTTGTTTTGTTTTGTTTTGAGACGGAGTTTGCTCTTGTCGCCCAGGCTGGAGTGCAATGTCACAATCTCAGCTCACTGCAACCTCTGCCTCCTGGGTTCAAGCAATTCTCCTACCTCAGCCTCCTGAGTAGCTGGGACTACAGGCATGTGCCACCACGCCTGGCTAATTTTTTTGTATTTTTAGTAGAGATGAGGTTTCACCATTTTGGCCAGTCTGGTCTCGATATCCTGACCTTGTGGTCCGCCTGCCTTGGCCTACCAAAGTGCTGGGATTACAAGCATGAGCCACCGTGCCCAGCCAAAAAATGTTTAAAACACATTAGCCAGGCATGTGCCTATGGTCCCAGGTACTTGAGAGGCTGAGGTGGGAGGATTGCTTGAGCTTGGGAAGTCGAGGCTGCAGTAAGCTGTGATCATGCCACTGCACTCAAGCTTGGGTGACAGAGTGAGACCCTGTCTCAAAAAAAATTTTTTTCTTTTAAGAAAAATGTATTAATTTTGGAGTCAGAAGAACCAAACTCTAGTCTGGATTTGATTATCAATCACTCTGGTGTCCTTTCACACATCACTTCGCTTCTCTAGAACTTAGTTTCCATACAGATAAAATGAGGCTAATGATGTCAGATCTGCCAACCTTACCAAGTAGATAAGATCTAATGAAACCATGCATGTGAATGTATTTCGAAAAGTAAAATAAGTATGTAAATATAAGCCTTGTTGTGGTAAGTGGTGATGGTGGTGACTGGTGGTTCTAGGTGATGCTAATGGTTTTGGTGGTGGTGATGGTTTATGTTGATGGCAGTGTTGCTGTTGGTGATGTTATTGGTGGTGGTTATGATGCTAACGGTGGTGGCGTAGGTGGTGGTGGTTGATGTTGGCATTAATGGTGGTGGTGATGATGCTATTCTGAAACAGGAAATGACTAATTCCTTGACAATTAGTCTCTAAGCAATGGCTGTATTGTCTTGTTCCACAAGAGAATTCCGTCTGCATGTCAGTTGATGACCTGTGCTATCAATTGAATCCATGAGATTTTGCCTGTGGACACTTTTAGATTTCCTTACATTAGATATCATATGCTTCACTCAAGTGGTTTACCAATACCTGTTACTTATATACTTTTCTTTGTCTAAAAAAGAAATAAGATCTGTCTAGATGACTGATTAACTTAGGGAGATTCTGATTAACAGAATTTCTAGAAATGGCTTTCAGCAGGCAAAGAGAAAATTATATTTTGTACCAATTTATATAAAGTTCATCTAGCTCAGCTTTTGGAGATGTCCCTGGGGCTAGAGATGAAATATCGTTTTCCTGTCCACAGACAGCGGTCTGCAGTTCACCCCATGAACTCATACAGGTCAGAATTAAACCCCGAGCTTTGTTTATGGAGGGTGAGATATATTTCCAAGTATTTCTTTCTCTTTTCACATTTTCCACATCATTACCATCATCATTGTCGTCATCATCATTGTCATCATCCTACAGGTTGAAAACAGAAGTGTTAGTTTATTTATAAAGTTTATATAGGCTTTATGCATATGTTTGAGATGCTTATAGGGCAGGACAAAACAGAAGACACAAAGGTAGACAAAAATGTAATCCACAGTCATAGGAATACAGAATGCATTCAAATGGGGCTGAATGGTCAGAACTTAGGTGAATCTGAGGATAGGAAGAGTGAATTGGCACAATCTCCCCTTGTTGGTTGCCCCTGCAGCATGCATTTCCCCCTTCTCTAATCCAGCTGCCCCGAATTTTCATTTGAGGACCCATACAGCTCTAGGAAAGTTGAAACTACCCCCAGTTCAAGAATTGGAATAAGTTTCAAATGAAAAAGCTGAATGAAAAATAATTTTTAAAAAATAATAATAATAAGTGTTTTAAAAAGTGGGAATAAGAGGCCTAGATTGATCCAGTCGTTGCATCCCATCTCCTGGCCTCATTGCTTGGGACCAGGATGGACACCTGACCCTAAGCGAAACAACCCAATAAGAGTGACCAGGAGAACTTTAATGGGGAATTCTGGAACAAAAAAGCTTTCTCTTGCTCTGGATGGTGTTAAAAGCCGATCTGAGCCTGAAATTGTTACGGGAATGGGATCCTGATCCAGACCCCAAGGGAGGGTTCTTGAATCTTGCACAAGAAAGAATTGAGGGCAAGTCCATAAAGTAAAATGAAAGCAAGTTTATTAAGAAAGTAAAGAACAAAAGAATGGCTACTCCATAGGCAGAGCAGCAGCAGGGACTGCTTGACTGAGTACACTATGGTTATTTCTTGATTGTATGCTAAACAAGGAGTGGATTATTCATAAATTTTCCAGGAAAGGGTCAGGGATTTCTCAGAACCCTCAGTTCTTTTAGACTATATAGGTTCTCCTTTTAGACCATATAGGGTAACTTCTGGACATTGCCATGGCATTTGTAAGCTGTCATGGAGTTAGTAGAAGTGTCTTTTACCACACTAATGCATTACAATTACCATATAATGAGCAGTGAGGAAGACCAGAGGTCACATTAATCACCATCTTGGTTTTGGTGGGTTTTGGCTGGCTTCTTTATTGCATCTTGTTTTATCAGCAGGGTCTTTGTGACCTGTGTCTTGTGATATCAATCCTGCTGGCCTCCTGTCTCACCCTGTGACTAAGAATGCCTACCCTCCTGGAATGCAGTCCAGCAAGTCTCATCCTCATTTTACACAGCCTTTAATCAAGATGGAGTCACTCTGCTTCGAAAACCTCTGACAGAATTGCTGGATCCATTTTGCCACCATGAAGAAAGCCAACTTGAAGGCAAAAACCCAGCATCTAGAAGGGAGAAGAACTAGGAAATTACAGAGACCAGAGCCTGTACCAACTGTACCCAGAGCCTTCATTTACCACTGGAGTTTTTCAGTTTGTGAACCAATGAGATCCTTTTATTAAGTCTTTTGGAGCTAGGCTTTTGTTCCTCACAACCAAAAATATCCTAAATGATACCACTGGATAAATGATTTCCCGAAGGAAGTGGGCCTTGGAGTCAAATTTGAAAAGAGAAGATGTGTGATGTGCTGTGTGGGAGGCTGGGATCATTTTTTTTCACCAAGATTTTTATATTTATAGGCTTTTATATTTATAGGGGAAAAACAGATTCGGTACACTTCTTACTTCAGCTCAATAATCATTTGCAGGACTTCTCATTGCTTGACCTCTCAAAGAGCACTCAGTGAGACTCTGTACCATTTAATCCTCACCCCTGACTGTCAGTAGACTGCCATGGAAACCCCAAGGATGCCTGTCCTGTTGGACATGTGGTCAGAGACTGGCTCCAAAGATATCTCCCAAAGAGCAAAAGCCACCATCTTCCTGTTGGTGCCCAGACACAGGTGCATGAGCTCCAAGGACTCCTTCCTAGGCCACCTCTCTGCTGCCTGATCTAAACTCACCTCATTTCTGGGAGCTGGTCTGAGAGTCTGCCTTGGAGATGTGTTGGATGGGAACTAGGGGTTTGTAGGCTCCATTGTGAGCAATACTGATGGGAAATGACCCCAACTGGTATGGATATTTTGCATAAAGCCCCTGAAATCTGACATGCTCAGGGTCAGAGCCATGAACCACTGTCTTGACAAACCCCATGTACATGGACTAATAAGGAAGGTGTGGGCACCATGGCGTTAGTGTTCAACTGGAGAGTGGGAAAGAGATTTGCATGTGCCACCAGCCCTGATAGAGACAGTGACAGAACACACTGATTCTCAACATTGCAGACACCTGCTGTCTTTGTCCCTATGTAGGTTTCCCCCAATATTTAGGGGATCAGGTCAGATAAAGGCCTTCCTCTGAAATGGAAATTATTTAAAATCGATGAGGAAGTCATCCAGGAATGACTTCCTCTGGGGATCTGTGGATGATGGTGCTAGGGTTTGTACCAGACCAAATCAAGGTAACTAGAGCCTCCCCAGGTGATTGTAACCCATCTCCTAAATAAAACTTGCATCGACTCGGTTGCATTACAATTTGATTTTCCTGGGTGATGTACTCATCACATTTTTTAAAAAAGGACTTAAAGAAAGACTTTAGAGACTAAATTCTTGGTATTTATGCACCTCTTTCTGGAGTCACAGGTGGGCTCTGATTCTCATAACTGATTGCCTTGACTTCTACCGGAGCAGAAGAATGCCAGCTCATTCTTCAAATACAGTTAGTCTTCTGTTGGCAATTATGGAAAACAGCTCTACCTAGCGCATGCAAATGTGTGTGTGTGTGTGTGTGTGTGTGTGTGTGTGTGTGCGCGTGTGTGTGATTTTGAGGAAGGTAACTGAGGTAGCTCACAGAATCAAAAGGACAGCAGCTCCTCCCAGCCTTAGGAAGGAGAGGGGTTAGTCTGCCATGAGGCCCTTACTTGGCGGCCCCAGTTGGAGAACCTTCTCACTAGGATTCTCCCAAAAGACAGCTCAGCTCCCATGTCTGCCTTTTAGTGCCTCTGCTCAAGTTTCAGATCTCAGGGTGAGGGCACTGCAGTGGATCAGGGAAGAGCAGGTGTGCAGGTGACCCAGGGAATGGAGCGCTCTGATTGGCTGAGGCTGAGTCATAGGCCCCCTCCTATAGGACATCAAAGTCTTTGAAGAAAATGCCAATTAAAAGCACTGTTGGCTGGGCACTGTGGCTCATGCCTATAATCCTAGCACTTTGGGAGGCCGAGGTGGGCAGATCACTTGAGGTCAGGAGTTCGAGACCAGCCTGGCCAACATGGTGAAACCCCGTCTCTACTAAAAATACAAAAATTAGCTGGGTATGGTGGCGGGCACCTGTAATCCCAACTACTCAGGAGGCTGAAGCAGGAGAATCACTTAAACCTGGGAGGCGGAGGTTGCAGTGAGCCGAGATTGTGCCACCACACTCCAGCCTGGGCAACAGATCGAGACTCCATCTCAAAACAAAACAAACAAACCAAAAAAGCACTGTTGCTCAGATATCACCCCCTGTGTGAAACCTTGATCCCTAAGGCAGAATTGCTTGTTCCTCCATGGCTTCTGTAGCACTTTGTAAAACATTTGGATGGATCAAAGAGAGAAAATTTTATTCAACAGAATTTTTCCAAGGACGGCACATTTGTTTGCCAAGTGTTTGGTAAGCAAGAGAGACCTGTACAGTTTTGGTACAGGAAGGGCCCATGAATGTGGGCGGAACTATTCCACAGGAGACAAGGAGAAGCTGTTCTCTGGAGGGAGGGAATGGAGAGGGAGAGGTGGTTTAGGGATCTGCAGGATGGCAGAATGCATCCAGAAATGACTTTCCTATCATTTCCCCACCACTGCCTCAAGCCCTTTTCTTCTACGATTTTATGAAACTCATGGGATAAATGCTTGAAGTGAGTAGGCTAGAAGCCAGCAAAGGGATGCAGGGATGTGCCCAGACACATACAGGTGGAACGGAAGCAGCAGGCAGATGGGGGGTGTCAGGAACAGAAATGCTTTCCTAGGGCAACCTAGTTAGGTTTCGTTTAAGCTAATCAGGAAGTAACCAGAGTCATGGGGAGGCTGTAAAACTGAGGCAGGGACCAGATTTCACCAAATCATTGTAGAATGAGGGCAAGGATGAAGGAGGGGTGGAGGTAGGTGCTTGCAGGAGTCACCTTGATATGGTTTGCCTGTGTCCCCACTCAAATCTCATCTTGAACTATAGTTCCCATAATCCCCATGCGTCATGGGAGGGAGCCGGTGGGTAATTACCTCCATGCTGTTCTCTTGATAGTGATTGCGTTCTCACAAGATCTGATGGTTTTATAAGGGGCTTTCCCCACTTTGCTCTGTATTTCTCCTTCCTGCCATCATGCGAAGAAGGATATGCTTGCTTCCTTTTCTGCCATGATTGTAAGTTTCCTGAGGCCTCCTCAGCCATGAGGAATTGTGAGTCAATTAAGCATCTTTCCTTTATAAATTACCCAGTCTCAGGTATGTCTTTATTGACAGCATGAGAACAGACTAATACATACCTGAAAAGGAGAACACTTATCACATAATGCTGTAAATACAGGTCGGCAGTCTCTTCCCCACTGAACCAGAAGAATATGATTTTTAAGAATAAAAGATATCTTATTGATCAATTGATCAACAATATCTTATTGATCTTGACCCACTTATTTCAAAACACACAATAAATATTTGTAACTATTCTTTTAAAAATAGCAATACCCATTTAAAAATAATGAAATCCAGACTAAAAGGACTTGGTATGTACCAGGCACTAAGTGCGCTGCATGCATCTCCCCGCTTGCCAGTTGCCCATCCCCTGCGCCTAGTGCTCCATGCTTGCCTCTCTTATGGCACCCACAAATGAAGCTGGAGGCAGAAACCATACAGTCACTTGAACACAGGAAGTTTCCTGTAAGGAAATGATTAAGTGGTGAGGAAGAAACTACAAAGATACAAAGAGAACTCTCAAGGGTTCCCTAGGGCTCAGTACCCAGGGAAGGACCAACTCGGCTCCCCAAGGCTGGGCTTCAGACGTCTTTAGAGAAGATGTGATTGCAGCCACTGGCCGGAGGGGAAGTTCGTGGGTGGCCGGGGCCACAGTTGGCCCACAGTCCCCAGGCAGCTGGTCCTCTAGTGCACAGGAGCACCAAGACTGGTAGATGGGTGACCAGAGAGAGCCAGGGTGCCAGGAGCTCACTCGCTGGTGGGGTGGCCGGGAGGATGCTGTGCGCCTTGCCCATGGCACACAGGGCCCATGGCACACGCCTCCAGGACACAGCCCCAGAGAGGCTGTGGTGTGGCACTTGCAAGAGTCGAGGCACTGAGCATGTGCCATGGACTGAATGCTTTTGTCCTTTGTCCCCTGAAATCCACATGTTAAAGCCTTAATCCCCAATGTGATAGTATGGAGGTGAGATTTAGATGAGGTTTCGGGAGGTTTAGATGAGGTCGCGATTGTAAGGCCCCCATGATGGGATCAGTGCCCTTACAGGAAGAGACACCAGACCCCCCTCTCTCTCTGCACCTTGTGAGGACACAGCAAGAAGTGTTCTACCCGCGAACCAGGAAGCAGGTCCTCACCGGGTACCGAATCTGCCAACACCTTGATCTCAGACTTCCAGCTTCCAGAACTGTGAGACAGAAACGTGTGTTGCCTAAGCCATTTGTTTTAACAGCCCAAACTGACTAAGACACTCATCAGAGAAAAAGCAGCGCTGGACATGTGTTACAGGCGGCAAGACTGATTCCTTCAGACTCCTGCAGCAGCGGAAAGAGATTCCAGTACCGACCAAGCTCAACCCCAACTCAGAAAACGGTGACTGAGGTCTTCAAAGAGAGAACAGAAAGGGAACAAAAAGGGACTGAAGGAGAAATGAAAACAGAACGTGGGGGCCACGTGGAAATGGAAAGTTCCAGAACGGTGAGGGGAGAACTACTGAAAATGGTTTAGCGGGGTGGGCTGGACGAGGTGCATTTTGTGATTTGGCTGCATTGCAAAGTCTTGAGCCAAGACTCAGCCAGGGCTGGGGTCGCCTCTGGGGATGCAGCTTAGTGCAGGTGGAAGCCAGGCTACAGTTTGGTGAAGCCTCTCAGCACAGTGCTGGGGCGAGTCCTCTACACTCTGTGGAATTCCCAGTTCACTGGAGGCTCGCTAGCAGGGCAAGTGTGGCCCGAAGGTGCACTGTCCATGTCAGGCAGGCATGCAGGGAAGCCGGGGAGCTGACACCCTGCTGGGGGCAGGGGAGTGGGTGGCCTGGGGTGCCTTGGGTCCCATCAGCAGGGTCATGGGAAACAGCCTCCAGGCTGCACAGTGGTGGACAGCAGTGCTGGCTCCCCCTGTACCTGCCCACCAGCCTTGGCCCTCCTAGGCCCCGAAGGGTCGTTTCCTGCTGTCCAGTGACTGTAGACCAGCCCTGGCCCAGGAAACCCTATAAACTTCTCCTCCAACTATTTCTCCTGGAGAAGACAAGAGTGCCAATGGATTACTACAGTGCAGGGCAATTGAGCAAAGATGGGGATGAACTGGGGTCCCATGGGAGCAGGGAGGAGGGGCCAGGGAACCCTGGCCAGAAATAGGAAAGCAGTAATGGAAGGGACGACTCAGGAGAGGGAGTGCCCATCTCAGAGCCTTTCAGGAACCTGGCATTTAATAAATGCCTCCTCCAGAGGGAAGGATTCAGGCAGATCACTTCTAGAAGGGGTCACCGCCTCTCCAGGTTCTGCATGGTCCACAGCATATGTACAGTCCCCAGAAGCTAGACTCCTTCCAGGCCTGGTGTGGAGGGAACCTAAGTGTGTGATGGAGGAGAGTCTTCCACGGGCTATGAACTCTTTGTAAAAAACAAAACAAAACAAAACAAAAAAACAGCATGCATGCGATGCTGGGGGCTTAGGACAATATCTTAAAACAGAACTGAAACATTGGTGGATAAACCTCAGGACAGGCAGGAAAAGAGCCGTAGCTCATCCACCATCAGCATTAGCAATGTAATCAGACACAACGGAAAATCAATGAAGTAAAACCAACCAGCAGGATTATGTTGTTGAGCCTCCAATAAATGTCTTAAGTGTCCAATAGAGCCATATCGTTTTGATGACATGAATTTCTGTGTTGCTTTTCTGATTGCTCAAAATCCTGAAATTCTTTGGAGAGTATTATCAATGTCATTATCTTTGCCAGGAAGATGCTGAGCTGTCTTCCCTGAAGCAGTGTTCTCCCTGGGTTGTTTGAACCCCTGACTGTCACGTGCCTTCTGTCCTAAGCTGCCACCAAGGCCCAGACAAGCCCTGCCATGCATGTGTCTCTTTATTAATACATAGTACAGCAGGGAGCTGCCCCCTCTCCCAGCCAGGCAGGGCCGCTTATCCCACACCCCCTGCCTTGCAAGCACACTTAGTGTGGAGTATATTAGGAAGTTTAATTAGCAGAAAATAAATAAAGTAGGGATCCCAGCTTGAGCCCAGGCTGTCCCCTGCTGGGGTGGGACATGTCTGAACAGTGTTGATGAGAGTTTTATGAAAGACGCATCTCCTAGAGGAAAGGACATGGAGAGAAGTAAGTTTGATTCCCTCTCGGAGGAGCCTGAGTGCCCAGAAGTCCAAGCAAGAATCTTGAGCTGTATCTGGGAGTGGGGGTGCTTAGATCACGAGCATACTCCTGAACCCTGGCAATGGGGCAGAGCATGGAATGTGCTGACTGGCTTAAGCTTGGAGCAGGACTTGATGTGGCTTCCTCCAAAGGAACCTGAGTTCTGTGGGAGATGGATGAACATCTGAACAACTCAGGGCACTGCTGGGGATATGGAAGCTGGCAGGCAGCCCTTACCATTTGAGGTGCGATAGGGAGAGAGGATAACCAACGTTTAACAAACTCTATCAAATACTGGGTGCGTTGACACGTGCCAGCCCCAGGATGCTCTTAGAAACTCTATGAGGGGAGTGTAATTAGAGCACTGAGGCTCAGAGAGGTTAAGAAACTTGTATATTGTCACACAGCTAGCAAGAGTTTCAGGAAGCTAGATCTAACAGATTCCAAGGCCCATGTAATGTTTCCATCAGGTATTTGTCCAAAAAACACTTTTCCTTCAAGGTAAGGAGTGGGAAGGCTACTCGTATGGGGGCATGGTGTCCCAGCAGCCCACAGCTCAGTGCCAGACTGTGAGTGAGAAGACGAATGTGTGTCCCATCTCTGCCACTTCTGTCTGTGTGGCCTCAAGACCCTCACCTAGAAGGATGGCTGAAGTATCACTCCAGGCCTGGTGTCCTGACTTCTTGAACAACTGTCTAGGGTGTGCAAGCCAGCACATCCCCTTTTCTGCTCCCTAGTTAGATGGATTTAGCTAGGCTATTGCTTTGTGAGAATAGAGGGACCCAAGAGCCTCATTCTCCATCTATATAACTCAAAGACTTTGTATAAGTCAGGGTGAGCTGGTTTTGTCATGAGAAACAACCACCCCAAACTCTCAGTGGCTGCAGACAGCTGGCTTTCTTTCTTTCCCCCGCCACATGCGTGCAGCAGGTCTGCTGGTGGCTGTGCTCTGAGACTCAGGTTGCTCCTGCAGACCCTCTGGAAACATGGCCATTCTCAGCTCTGGAGGGACGAGTCCCTGAGTATCTCACCTGGACAATTAAATGCTCCAGCCTGGAAGAGACACGAGTCACGTCCATCCACCATTCATTGGCTAGAATAAGCCCATGGCTCCTCTCAACCGTGGGGGCAGGGAAGTCTCATCCCACCGGGGCCTGGAAGGCTGAGAACCAAAAGTTGGGCGAACAGTACTCATGGCTATCATAGAGTGGAACCAGTTCCAAGACTCTCAAACCATTTTTTGAGAGCAAGGGGAAGCCTAATCTCATTCTCTATTTTCTATCATCTTTTTTACTTATATAAACCCAAACCTCTCTTTATTAAAACATCTCTCTATATATATGTCTATTTTAAAAAGTCTCTCTCTATATGTCTTTGTGAGAAAAAAAAATGTGTTACGTTCCTTTCAAAACCAACCCTGAGGCTCTGGAAGCACTAATGTTCTCCACCCACAGTTCCCCACCGGCCCCTGATCAGACCTGGTTCTAGGACAGGGGTTCTCACCTTGGCTTCCCTGTAGAATCACCTGGAAGCTTGTAAAAATCCCATGGATGCCAGGTCTCACCCCAGGCCAATTCTGTCAGAACCTCTGAGCTGGTGCCAGGCAGAAGCAATTGGGTGAAACTCCCAGGAGATGCCTGGATGGGTCCAGGTTGAGTCTGCTGTTCCGGGTGAGCCCTGAAGCAGCTTCCAGCTCCGGGGCTGCCTCTTTCTTTCCCAGGTGAGGTTCCAGGAGAAGCCAGAGATGGGGGTTTGCCTTAACAAACCAGGAGCTGAGGAAGGTCGAAGAGAATTCGGTGATTATCCCGACTCATGATTCCAGCTCCTTCCCAGTGGTGGGAGCTGGGAATGCCGTGGGAAGCAGGCGTGGGAGGGGTGCCCAGGGAGACAGGTGCCCGGGTGTGCTGTCACTCAGTTCCAGGCCTGAGCTCAGCTGCTGAGAAAACAGGAAGTGCATCAGGAACTGAGTGTGCTCAAGTCCTGGGTATTCACAATTCACAAGGACACGTGCACACATTCACACACACATTTGCACATCCCCATAAGCATACACACACACACACATACTCAGCTGGGCGTGATGGCTCACACCTCTCATCCCAGAACTTTGGGAGGCCGAGGCAGGTGGATCACCTGAGGTCAGGAGTTTGAGACCAGCCTGGCCAACATAGTGAAACCCCATCTCTATAAAAAAAAAAAAATACAAAAATTAGCCAGCTGTAGTAGCGGGTACCTATAATCCCAGCTACTCAGGAGGCTGAGGCAGGAGAAGTGCTTGAACCTGGGAGGCAGAGGTTGCAGTGAGCCAAGATAGAGCGACTGTGCTCCAGCTTGGGTGACAGAGTGAGACTCTATCTCAAAAAGAAAGGAAGGAAGGAAGGCAATCATTGAGACAATCAGTATTGCCAGGGAAGAAGGCTTTAATTGGGTGCTGCTGCCCAGGAGATGGAGCTCAGTCTCAAATCCATCTTCTGGACCCACTAAAATTAGGGGTTTATATAGCAGGGAAGAAATGTAACAGGAACTCGGGAGGGGTAAGGAAGCAGTCATGATGAATGGAGGGCCTGACGTCTCATTGTCTAGACAAGATGATCTGGTGAGTTTCAGTTCTCTGATACTTTTGGAGAGGACTTGGGCTCCTTTCCTGAGGAAGCAACTCAGATAAAACAAATTTAATTTTCAAGCTTTAAGACCAGAAGGGTCAATTTCTGTATTCATCAAAAACAAACAAACAAACAAAACAACAACAACAACAACTAACTGTCTATGGGACTATTGGTTCGGTTTCATTCTTTTTTTTCAGATTTTCTTCTCCATGAAAAAAATGTTTTTAAAAGAATCTCTTCCACAGAAAAAAAAAGCAACTGGGGATCTTCTCTTGTTTGGCGAGGAGATAAGGGGCTGTGGCCCTCTCCTCCTGAGCAGCTTGTCTGGCAAATGGGCAGATGATGTTGGCCTCAATTCCAAGGATGGCAACAAGAATGAACTAAGACATGACATGTAAAGGGGTCAGGGCTACTCCCCACACTAAGTGCTCCAAAATATTATTACTTACCCCAGGTGCTGAACAGAGTAGGGGCTTTGTGACCTCATGTGGCCGACTCATTTCACTGGAAGCATTATTCTGAAAACAAGTTTGGAGACGATGGGAAAGTCTGACACACACATGCTCATACACAGACGGTGGCAGCATCGTCTGCCGAGATGCACAGCAGACATAATTTGGCTGGTTCCCTGTGGGCTTGCTCTCTGTGGGTTTGTTGTTGTAGATTTGTTGTTGTGGGTTTGTTGATGTGGGTTTGTTGTCTGTGGGTTTGTTCTCTGCGGGTTTGTTTTCTGTGGGTTTGTTTTCTGTGGGTTTGTTGTCTGTGGGTTTGTTCTCTGTGTTTCCTTTCCGCCCTGCTTTTCACAGGAGAATGCCAGGCCCTCTGTGGTTTGTTGCCTGGGAGGAGATTCAAGATGCCAG
Organism: Homo sapiens; assembly: GCF_000001405.40. NCBI lineage: Eukaryota > Metazoa > Chordata > Mammalia > Primates > Hominidae > Homo > Homo sapiens. Next base: position 34,405,985 of record NC_000021.9, on the reverse strand, counting down.
GCCAAAAACCTGAGGGCTGACCCTTTCCCTGTGTATGGTGGGGAGGTTGTGGTACCTGTCCCAGAGAGGGATGGGACAGGGGACCGTGACACTGAAGGGAGAGAAGAAGGGGCAGAGTTGTCTACAAGCCTAGGGTTGAACAGAGGCTCTTGAGGCAGGGAACTGAGGCTCATGGCTCTTGTTCTCAAGAAGATGACTGGGCCACCTGGGAGAGTGACTTTGGGTTTACCTAAATGGGCTGGATCCTGGCTTTGAAATTCTCAGCCTCAGCAAAGATGCCAGTGCCCACATGATGGGACCACAGGGGCTTGGGTCTGAGCACCTAGACCCAAGCATCGGCTAAGGGTGACCTCAAGGCCCTGCCTGTGCACTGGCCTTGGGAAGTGGGGTGGGGTAAGAACCTCCAACCATGCCCAAGTCCCATATGACTTGATTTAAATAAATAAATGTGATGTTTCCCACAAAACTGAATTTGTGGATAAGATTCATACCAGCCACATGTATACACACATCTATTTATAGGAGCAACTGCTTTGGGTTTTTATTTGTTTTTTGTTTGTTTGTTTTTGGTGATTTGGTGTTTTTTGTTGTTTTGGTTTTTTGTTGTTGTTGTTGTTGTTTGTTTGTTTTTTTGTACTACCAGTTTCTAAATATTCCTTCTTCTTTGATGAAGAAAGTGATCTATGGCGGGTGGAAGATGGCCCAACAGCCCGGCAGCAACACTCACGTATTGAGTTTAGGGACCCACCCGTGTCCTGAGAGTTCAAGTTAAGACTTTGTCTTGCAACTGAACAATCTTTATCTCCCAATTATATGAAATCAATTTAAATGAATTAAACAAATTACAATGTCCCACTTGAGAATATCAGTTACCTGGGCAGTGGAGAAGAATTAGAAGTAAAGAAGTGCCTTCTAGGAAAGCAGATAGTAGTGACTCGGGGTGGAGGGAGAAGCTCCCATGGGAAAAGTGTGGAGGGCTCCCGACCTGGGAGGTCCCTGCAAAGGTGTCTGCCTGAGCAGTCCTACAGAGACCTGTCCACACTGCCTCCTAGTGGTCGCTCCATCACCTTCCAAACACTCCAAAGTTGGGGAGGTGGCCCCAGGAAGCCCACTTCTCTCTCCCAGGCAGTTGGCAGCCTCTGCTGGAGTGGGCAGCGGGGAGGGGAAGTCCCGGGAGGCTGGAGACTCCTGAGGAAGGGAGGACAAGGAGCCTCAGGTGGAGGGAGGGGAGTCCTAGGAGCTGGCTGCTTGGCTTGGCAGAGGCTGCAGAGGACGTGAGAGAGTATGTTAACAAGCACAGGAAGGTTCTCTGAGTTTCTCTGGCCATCCATGGTGCAATGGTTTGCGTGAGTCCAGGCCCCCATTTATCGGGGCAAACTACTTCTGGCTCCTTGTGCAAAAGCAGTTCCTGGCCAGACGCTGGCTTGGCCTGTCCCGGGGTGGTGGGTGGGGGGCACAGATGAGTCTCTGCGGAGACCTCTCTGTTGGTGCCTCTTAGGCTCTGGGACCACACCCCCAGTCCATGTGTCCCACATTGTGCCCCTAAGCTGAGGCCTGGCAGGTGCTGCTGTCAGAACCAGCCTGAGTATGGGCTCCAAGTGAACCCCAGTCAAAAGCTCCAGGATCCCATGAGTCCTCCTTTGGCTGGTTTTCTCCACACCCAGCCCCCATCACCAGTGCCACCCCCCACTTCATGCTGCCTCTAAAATGATCTTCAAGGACGTCTGAATTGTGCATTTTATATCAAGTTCTTCTTGTCATTGTTTTCATAATATATTGCCAGATTTACTCATAATTAAAGAAGTTAAAACAATGAAATGATCTTTTTGTCTATCAGATTGATAAAGGTTAAAAATCACTGGCTGGGCGCAGTGGCTCGCGCCTGTAATCCCAGCACTTTGGAAGGCTGAGGCAGGCAGATCACCTGAAGTCAGGAGCTCGAGACCAGCCTGGCCAACATGGCGAAACCCTGTCTCTTCTAAAAATACAAAAATTAGCCAGGTGTGGTGGCACGTGCCTGTAGTCCCAGCTACTTGGGAGTCTAAAGCAGAAGAATCGCTTGAACCCAGGAGGTGGAGGTTGCAGTGAGCTGAGAACACACCACTGCACTCCAGCCTGAGTGATAGTGAAATTCCACCTCAAAAAAAAAAAAAATTAATATCAAATGGCAGCTGAGAAATGGACATGAGTTTCAAAATAATAATACCAGCATCATTATTAACAATAAAACTACCGAGTACCATTTAAGATTTCATGTGTTTTTCTTTGTCCTTAGCTTATACTCTACTGGAGAATATATGATCAAAATACTGTGTTGTAGGGTCATTTGAAAGAAATTCAACTCTGTGTGATTTTGGAACTGACATGATAAGCAGCTAGGTTCATCAGTTACTGTTTGTATTGTTTAGAGATCATTTTGTTTTATTTTTATTTTTGATTTGCCTTTGTTTTTGTTTGTATATAAATTTAAGGGGTACAAGTGCAGGTGTGCAGTTTTGTCAAATGGATTGATTGCTCAGTGGTGATGTCTGGGCTTTGAGTGTAGTAGTGTACATCGTACTCATTAAATAATTTCTCATCCCTCACCCTAATCCTATCCTCTTTTTTTTTCTTTTTTTAGACGGAGTCTTGCTCTGTTGTCCAGGCTGGAGTGCAGTGGTGCAATCTCGGCTCATGATTCTCGTGCCTCAGCCTCCCAAGTAGCTGGGATTACAGGCACGCACCACTATGCCCAGTTAATTTTTTTGTATTTTCAGTTGAGATGGGGTTTCACTATGTTGGCCAGGCTGGTCTTGAACTCCTGACCTCAAGTGATCCACCCACTTTGGCCTCCCAAAGTGCTGAGATTACAGGTGTCAGCCACCATGTCTGGCTAATTTGTTTGCATTTTAGTAGAGAAGCAGTTTCACCATGTTGGCCAGGCTTGTCTCAAACTCCTGGCCTCAAATGGTCCTCCCATCTCAGCCTCCCTTTCGAAGTCCATTATTTTACATTCTGTACCCATGTGTACACATTATTTAGCTCCCACTTAAAGGTGAGAACATGTGGCATCTGACTTTCTGTTTCTGAATTATTTCACTTAGAATAATGGCCTCCAGTTCTGTCCATGTTGCTGCAAGAGACGTGATTTCATTCTTTTTTATGGCTGAGTAATATTTTTTAATGTAAAAATGTTGACATTTTCCAAAATGAAAACTGTAAAACAAGATACATTTGGAGAAGTCTAGAGTGTTTGCTTTATTCATGTTGTTTATGCGTTAAAATATAAGCATATTGCATACATAAGCATATTTACACCCACATCTAAAAGATAACATATTATATATACTTTTCCATACTTCTGAACAAGCGTCTCATATCCATAACTAAAAATTAGATGAGAAAGGCAAAGAACTCTTGTCTTCGAATTGACTTCATTGCACTATATAGCATTTCACACTGCGGTTCCAGGCCACAGGGTCCCTTGGGTAGGGGGAGACAAAGGGTGTGGCTGACAGGGAGACTCTAGGACTACCATTGCCACTTCCACCAGAGCAGCCACACTTCTGTTCCACATAGTTGGCATCCAAATTTGATTTGAAAAACAGTTTCCACTACTAAAAGAAAAATCCTATGAGAAAATGACCACAAGCCAATTATCCACTCAAACCTGCTGATCCTGGCCTCTGGGAGAGGCTGTTTGGAGACCACATATTTCATATTAACTTTACCATGATGAGATTATCTTACTGTCTGGGGTCATCCAAACTTGAGCTCCAAGAAAACCCCTGTGTGAGGGAAAAAAAAAAAAAATCCTCCTCCATTCAACAGTAGAGCAAAGGACCTGACCAATCATTTTGTCCACGTCTTCATTTGAAGGAATCCTTCATGCCCATTTTATGAAATGTCTTTAGCTCTGATTAAAGAGGCAAGAAAATACAAAGGAAGAGATGGTTAGAGTTTGAAGCAAACTGTCATTTTGCCTGAGTATATAAAATTAAAAGTGCTTTCAAGATGAGGTATTGAATTAGTTCAATAACTGCAAGCTCCGGGTGGGCGCAGTGGCTCACATCTGTAATCCCAGCACTTTGGGAGGCCGAGGCGGGCGGATCACAAGGTCAGGAGATCGAGACCATCCTGACTAACACGGTGAAACCCCATCTCTACTAAAAATACAAATAATTAGCCGGCCATGGTGGAAGGTGCCTGTAGTCCCAGCTACTCGGGAGGCTGAGGCAGGAGAATCACTTGAACCCGGGAGGCGGAAGTTGCAGTGAGCCGAGATCGTGCCACTGCACTCCAGCCTGGGCAACAGAGAGAGACTCCCTCTCAGAAAAAAAAAAAAAAAAAAAAAAAAAAAAAGACCTGCAAGCGCCAGTGGAAGCTAGGTGTGCAGACTGACTTTCTTTTGCAATTTGCCATACCTTCCTTCTGCCACCTGGAAAAAATCACTCTTAGTTGTGCAAATGGGAAGGCAACTGGCACAAATTCTATGCATACACAGACACACAACACGTAAGTCCAGGACTCCCTGGGTGTGTCATGACTATACCCCTGGTGCCTGGCACAATGCCTGGTGTACAGCAGGTGATCAGTACATATTTTTGAAATGGATGAATGAATGTAAACATTTCTCCCCATCTTAAGCCAAATGGGTAGGCTCATTACTATTAAAAGATTGCCAACCTCTGTCTCAGACCTATTGCAGAAGTGATGTCAAAGTAGCATTTTTATGGGTAGCATCTGCAATTCCCATATTTTATGGGTCAGCAGGGAGTTGTTCTGAGTATTTATTCCATGATGCTTGAAATCTGAAGTGTATGTGTGGGACTGGCACCACTGTAAGAAAGCCCTTTATGAGGTCATCATCCCCCACTTGCCATCTCTCCCCAGATGCAGATGTGCAAGCTTTTAAAAACACTTGAGAAGCCACCATGCCTCGCTTTGCAAGCCCTCTTTTAAGAAATGTCATTATCAGAAGTCAATTTGATGGCATCAAGAGGAAGCAATGCCTCCAATATCTGAAAACCCTGAGAACACTGCAATATGATGGATTTAAGACCGTATATTTTGGGGAAACCAATATCCCAGAAAGTCTCGTAACTGGGGAAGATATTAGTGATGGATATTTCATACAAACCCCAACTTGGTGTATTGTGCATGCTGCGGGTAGTCAAGGATGGGTGCCTTGGAAATATCGGGTGTTCCTAAGAGACGAGCTGTGTATCAAACAAGAAGACAGCCTCTTCTCTGAGTTCTGTGATGTGGTGAGGAAGGCCTATGGAAAGTGTGTCATCGTGGTCAAAGAGAGAAGGCAGCAGGAAGAGCAGAGGCCAAAGGAAGACAGAGAGGCTGAGGGCCAGTTCTATATCCCTACAGTCATTAGCTTAGCAAGCATTATGTGTTGCCCAGAGGTGGCCAAGTCCTGTGGCCATGAACTACTCTCTCTGCCTTCCCCTTGTAATTATCTGAACCCTTTAGACTCAGCCTGGTCTTCTCTGAAATGGTTTATCATCAATAACAGAAACGAGTTTTGTTTGCAGTCCATTGACAGTGGCTATTCTTACCAATGTATACTTTTCAGCAATTTAATTAGCAAAGGAATTGAAAGGATAAACGCAAGCAAGTGGAGAACATTAACTAGCAAAGTACGGAGATGGGAAAACTACTATCTTGGGAAATTTTCTTAAGGGTGGTTCCTCCAACAAGCAGTGAGGCTGCTACATGTCTGGTCTTTACCGTCAACTCTGTTGAGATGAATTCCACACCACTGCAGCCAAAGATACTTCAACAGCGACCTCACATGGGGTGCTGCGAGAACTGGGTTGCTCCTAAGGATGTTGGCAAAGCGCTTTGAGTTTACTAGAAGTTTCATTAAAATTTGTTGGTAAGTTAGGGGTCTCGACTCTTATCTTGTGAAGGCTACTTTGAGGGCTTTGTCAAGGGGAGGATTAGGTCTAACCCAGCCCAAAGGTGGATGGCAATAAGCAGGGGTGAGCAGGCTGAAAGTTGAGTGGTCGAAATTTAGGTCTGAGAAAAAAAGAGAACCAGTGTGCAGTCATCCCCCAAAAAGCCCAAATTAAATAGTGTGCCAAGTTTCCACCCACCAAAGTAATCCACAGGGATCCAGCTTGCCATGGGCGAGATATTGTCCAGATGGTCGCCAAGCAAGACTCCCTCCTCCCGATTGTCCTTCCTTCCTTGTCGGCAAAGTGGTGGAGGATGAGTGAGAGGCAGCCGCAGAGGGGAAACTCCATCCGGACCCTCCAAGGGGAGTAGGTGGTCCCAGTTAGGACCTGGAAAGTTATGACAGTGGTGGGTTCAAGTGGGCTATGGTGGGCAAAGGGGTGGCACGCATGGGGGTCTGCAGAGACCACTTATCCAGCCAATCTCCCCGCCAACTCCAGGAATTCCAGCAGGTCATTAGACTGTGCCGTGGAGTTTCATCTCGAGACCCTGTAGCTGAGCCACTTGCAGCTGGGACAACACCTCCCTATTTAGGTTTGGGGCTGCTGCCGATGTCTGTTGTAAGAATCTGTGGTTGTCTTTTTCATTTTTATAGAAAAAGACTACCCCTATTAAACATATCATAAAATTCACTGTTGGTTATGTACATTCAGACAGTCATTTCAGAGGTAATCATTCCGAGGAGTGCAAAAAGAATAATTTATGGCTGGGCACAATGGCTCACACCTGTAATCCCAGCACTTTGGGAGGCCGAGGCAGGAGGACTGCTTGAGGTCACGAGTTCAAGACCAGCCTGGGAAACACAGCAAGACCTCATCTCTACAAAAATATTTAAAAATAGCTGGGCTGAGTGGCATACATCTATAGTCCTAGCTACTTGGGAGGCTGAGGGAGGAGGATCACTTGAGCCAGAAGTTTGAGACTACAGTGAGCTATGGTTGTCCACTACACTCCAGCCTGGGTGACAAAGTGAAACCCTGCCTGTAAAAGAAAAAAAAAATTTTGTACACTTACATGGGATGTTGGTAGCGGTGGTGGGTGGTGGGGCACCCACTCAATTCACTCAATTCTGCATGAATCTAAAAAATGGCTCTAAAAAATAAGGTCTATGAAAAAAAACAATTTATGAACATTTCTGGACTGGGCACAGTGGCTTATGCCTGTACGAGCAATTTGGAAGGCCAAGGTGAAAGGATTGCTTGAGCTCAGAAGTTCGAGGCCAGCAACATGGTGAAACCTCGTCTCTACAAAAAATACCAAAATTCGCTGGGCATGGTGGCGCACACCTATGTTCCCAGCTGCTAGGGAGGCTGAGGTGGGAGAATCACTTGAGCCCTGGGAGGCGGAGGTTGTATTGAGCAGAGATTGTATCACTGCGCTCCAACCTGGGTAACAGAGTCAGACTCTGTCTCAAAAAGAAAAGAAAAGGAGAAAGAAAGAATTTCTACCCAGAATTTCCTGACAGCCACGTGCAGAAAGCATCCCATCGTTTGCTTGCCTTCTTTCCCTCCCGAACCTCCCTGTATTATTCAGAAAGACTTTGTCAGATGAAAGCGAACGTTCAGTGCTTTTCAGCAACTAAGTGTCCACCACTTCTCAGCATTTTGTCATGGTTACAAAGGGAATCCTGGTAACATTTTTCCTGGAGATTAATCACACCTCAAACAGCTGACCACTCAGAACTATAAAGTTTCCACTGTTGCAGGCCTCACTTGACAGTCAACAGTGCTATATTAATTTGTTGTGGCTGTTGAAACAAATTACCACAGGCTTGGTGGCTTAAAACAACAGAAATTAAGCCAGATGTAGTGGCTGTGGTTGCAGCTACTCGGGAGGCTGAGGCAGGAGGACCGCTTGAGCCTAGGAGCTTGAGGCTACAGTGAGCTCTGATCGCACCACTGCATGCCAGCCTGGGTGATAGAGTGAGACCCTGTCTCAAAAAGAAAGAGAGAGAAGGGAGAAAGGAGGGGGGCTAAGGAGGAGAGGGAGGGGAGAGAGAGAGAGAAAGAAAGAAGAAAGAAAGAGAGAAGGAAGGAAGGGAGGGAGGGAAGGGAGGGAGGAAGGAAAGAGGGGAGGGAGGAGAGGGGAGAGGGAGGGGGAGGGGGCAGGGGAGAGGGAGGGGGCGGGGGGAAGGGGGCAGGGGAGGGAAAGGGAAGGGAAAGAGGAAGGGGGACGGGAAGGGAAAGAGGCCAGGCACGGTGGCTCAGTGGCTCATGCCTGTAATCCCAGCACTTTGGGAGCCTGAGGTCGGAGGAGCACTTGAGGTCAGGAGTTGGAGACCAGCCTGGCCAACATGGTGAAACTCCATCTCTACTAAAAATACAAAAATTTGCTGGGCATGGTGGTGGGCGCCTGTAATTCCACCTCTTGGGTGGCTGAGGAAGGAGAATCACTTGAACCTGGGAGGCAGAGGTTGTAGTGAACCGAGATCACACCATCACATTCCTGCCCGGGCAACAGAGCAAGACTCCATCTCCAAAAAAACAAAAAAAAAGAGAGAGAAAGAAAAGAAAAAGGATAGGACAGGACAGGACAGAGAAGACAGCCAAAGGCAAGCTGTTGGCAGGGCAGCACTCTCTCCAGAGGCTCCAGGGAGGACCTGTTTCTTGCCTCTTCCAGCTTCTGGTGGCCACCGGCATTCCTGGGCTTGTGGCCACACCACTTTCTCATCCTGTGTCAAATCTCCCTCTGCCTCCCTCTTACAAGGACACCTGAGATTGCATTCAGGGCCCACCTGAGTAATCTAAAACCATCTTCACATCTCAAAATCCTTAACTTGGTCACATAGGCAGAACTTTTTCCATCTAAAGCGACATTCATAGGTTCCAGGGAATAGGACCTTGATATCTTTGGTGGCCACTATTCAGCCAGCCACAGGTGCTAAAGGAAGTCTTGCTCTGCCAATAGAAACATTGCATTTCTCATTGGCAATTAACCTGGTGAAATAACTCCTATTGTGTAGTATATTTGTGAGGTCTTTTTCCCTCAGGATTTCATGTACGTTTTAGGATTTAAGTTCCTTGAGAGCAAACCATGGTACTCAAACTTCCTTGGTCACTTCAGTGTGCTGTCATTGTGCAGGCCCACGTGTGGGTGGCCTGAGTTTTGGGAGATGAGTGGGTTTTGCCCTACATCCCGTTTATTCCATGCCTCTGCGGTTCTGGAATAATAGGCACCAACAGCTACACGTGCTGGGCACCGTGGCTCACTCCTGTAATCCCAGAACTTTGGGGGGCCGAGGTGGGCGGATCATTTGAGGTAAGGGGTTCGAGACCAGCCCAACCAACATGGTGAAACCCCATCTCTACTAAAATACGAAAATTAGACAGGTGTGATGGCGGGCACTTGTAATCTCAGCTACTCAGGGGGCTGAGGCAGCAGAATCACTGGAATCCTGGAGGTGGAGGTTGCAGTGAGCCGAGATTGTGCCACTGCACTCCAGCCTGGGTGACAGAGCAAGACTCCCTCTCAAAATAAATAAATAAATAAATAAATAAATAAATAAATGTGGAAAACTGAGGCCCAGAGAGATTCAACCCAGAATTCATGCTTAGAGCCATTCTTCATGATGCCACTAACGCATAGCTATTATAATTTAATTCTCTTAATCCTGTCAGTTGTTTTACAGATGAGGAAACTGAGGCACTGGCAAGGCACTGGGGCCAAGAGATTCTGAAGCCCATGCTCCTCACCACCGTGCTTAGCTTAGTTATTGAAGCTGAGCTTTTCCTTTTTCACCCCCATCATTTCTATGTCGCAAGACTCACCTCTGACCTCAGATGAGACACCAGCCGCTAAAATGGCCAACTCCCCTGGACACCAAAAAATTTTATTTCAACATAAAATTAAAGAGGAGACAGAATATCCTTTAAAGACACATTATTTTACAGCGATAAAAAAGGAATGTTTTTAGGTTATCAGCTAAAGATAAACCAACAGGAGCTATTTTTGTTTGAAAACTAAAGCAATTTAATAAAACAGATTTAGAGTTCTATTCCTTTGAGGCCTTGTAAAAATTATTAGAAAAGAGGAAAGAAGGATCAAAAGGAATACCCTTTAATGTGCAATTTGGTTACATAAGATTGTATTCATAATTAAGAAATGTTGCTTTATACTAAACCTGAAAACTTCCCATAGAAAGTAACAGAAAGTTCACCGGGCTTTTGGAATTGGATGGACCTAGTTGGAATCTTGAGTTTCTAGCTTCGTAGCTATATGTTCTGGATAAGTTGCTTTACTTCCTTGAGGCTCAATCAACTCCTTAATAAAATACAGTGGGACTTTAAAATCACATAACCTGGCCAGGAGCAGTGGCTCATGCCTGTAATCCCAACACTTTAGGAGGCCAAGGTGGGCGGATCATTTGAGGTTGGGAGTTCGAGACCAGCCTGGCCAACATGGCAAAAACCCATCTCTACTAAAAATACAAAAATTAGCCTGGCATGGTGGCACATGCCTGTAATCCCAGCTACTCAGGAGGCTGAGGCAGAAGAATCGCTTGAACCTGGGAGGCGGAGGTTGCAGTGAGCCGAGATCATGCCACTGCACTCCAGACTGGGTGACAGGGCAAGACTCCATCTCAAAAAAAAAAAAAAAATCACATAACCTGCGCCAAGCCACTGCATTGTGTCTGGCACCCACTGAGTGAGTGGTCCATGGTAAGGTCGAAGCAAACATGTCCACAATTAGACCTGCCATCACTGATCTCATTTCCTTTTCACTCTTTGAGAAAAATTTTTGTTCCTTTTTATCGCTGGCATCTAATGAGGGTGGACACATCTTAAGATACTTTGATCAGAGGAAACTTTGTTCTCTGGCATTTCCTTTAAGACCATCTGCAATATCTGCAATCGGTTAGGGAATTAATAATAAGAAGAGGTTTCTTCTGGTGGGGGTGGGACAGGATGGCTGGTGAGGACAGCCCACAGTCTCTTTGGGAGCAGCCATATTTAGAGCACTGTATTTAGTTAAGAGCGGGTGACCACACGCAGCAACGCAGGGCTGAGCCACATATCTCTAGACATGTCCACTAGAAGTGAGCTCCTGATGTTGGTGGCACTATTCTCCTTCTGAGTGGTTGGCTGATGGAACATCCCAGCCTCTCTGGCCTTCCCCATCACTAATACCCACAGCCCCTCTCCCTCCCACGGATCAAGGTGGCTTTCAAGGTGGGGGTGCATTAGGAAATGGTGCTGCCCCTACAAGGACCTAAGAGGTAAATTAGCAAATGGGGTTCGTTGGCCATTGGCTCAATCCAATTGGGTTGGATGGAGCCCCTGCCTGGCCAACTGGTGGCTGAGTTGCCCACCGAGGTAGTATACACTCCTTCCATTTGTGATTGTCCTGCCACATGCAAACCATCTTTACATGCTTGACCTCATTCAGTTCAGACAAACACTGTACAGTAGGGAGGGCAGTGATCATTGAGCTCATTTTACAAAGGCCAGGCTAGGGTGGTGACCGACTCACCTAGCCACGTACGTAACAGTAGTAACAGGAGGGTCAGGACCAGAATCCAAGTCTTCATATCAGGAAGCCCTTGCGCCCATCTCTAACTGGCTCCATGTGTCAGCTAAAACAGGTGAACTATGAATAGACCACAGAGATGCCAACAAAATAGAAGCTACCCCACCACCACCACCAAAAATAAGAAGTGTCAAGGTGTCAGTTCAGGGGTGAAATGATGGATCCATGGTCACTGAGAGCCCAAGATCCTATCTTTTTACTCCATTGTCCTAGATTTGGTTCAGGTCTCAAACTCACCTCTTAGTCCAAAGTGGCTGCGGAACAAGCGATTGCATTAGTATTCCAGGCAGCCAAAAAGGAGAAAGGGAGGAAGAGGGGCCCATCCTGTCCCTTTTAAAGATCCTTCCAGGAAGTCCCACACTACACTTCCACTTAAACCTGATTGGCCAGGCTTGGTTGCGAGAGAAGGTGGGAAATGTAGTCCTTTATTTTGAGTGACCATACGGCCAGGTAAAAGTCAGGGTTCTATTACTAGGGAGAAGGGGAGAAGGAACACTGAGGAAGGCAGCTAATGGTCTTGGCCATACTCCCTGCTCCCTTTCCTCTGGTGCTACCAGTCATTCACTCATCAAATACTGGAGCACCTTCTGTGTGCCTGGCTGGGTGCGTCAGGGCCAGGAGTACCAAGGAAAACAAGCCTGGACCCTCAAGGTCCAGGTCTGGTGTGGAGGTGGGGGCCACCTCCCACTCAGTGAGATGTTGGAGGTTTGCGTAGTGAGAGCTGAGTCCAGGGCCTGGCGCTGAAGAGCTGTGGGCAGGGTTGCAGGAAGAGGTGAAACTGAAGTGGAGGACAGAAAGAAGAATGGGGATTTCACCACAGAGAGAAAAGGAGGAAAAGAGGAAGGCCCACCCAGGCAGAAGCGCAAGTGGACCAAGCCTACCGCTGACCCAGCATTAAACAAAAATTATGGGAGGCTATTGTTTTGGACTGAGATCCTGCACTAGGCCCCAACAGACCAGATCAAACCAAACCAAAATGGAGTCAGTCATGCTAAGAGCCATATAATCAACCCAAAACTTTAATAAGGAAGCAGGTAGGTCCCCAAACAGATTAGTTTTTCCTGAAAACAGGAGCTTCTGGTCTACCTGAGTCAGCGTGATTAGGAGGTCCTGAAGTAACCTGATGTTAACCCATCAGCTTCTTTTCTATTGTTCTGTTTCCTTGTCCCCACCTTACAAAGCCCACTGTTCTGCAATTGTCCGGTGGGAGCTCTTGCTCTGTTTTATAGAAGGGAGGCTGCCCCATTCATGAATCAAGAATAAAAGACAATGAGGTCTATGACTAAACGTGTTGCAGTTTTGTCTTTTGACATTGGGCACAGGGTGCGTCTGTGAGTGATGTGTGTGTGTGCGGTGTGTGTGTGTGTGTGTGTGTCCGTGAAAGCCATCTGGGTGGGAAATGCAAGCAGAATGAACAGAAGAATGGAAGTGTAGATAGGAACAGGATGGAAAAAGATACAACAAGCAATGCTGGCCTCTGTCACCATCGTGTCACTGATGCTGACGTCTTGAAGATTTTATGTCCCAGACTTCGAAGTACAAAAACTCGCTTTACTTTACTTGGCTCAGACTCGACCGCACAGCTGTGAAAAGTCCAGTCTCACAGTGAGACCATGAGGGCTGGTTCCTGTCTCTGCCTCCCACCAGCTGGGGGACCTTAGGCAGGGCCTCTCTGCCTCAGTTTCCTTATCTGCGAAAAGGGGATAATGATACCGTTACCCTCTGTGGAGGCAGCTGTGAGCTCTTGGGGAGTAAGGGCTGAAGGATTTGCTGCCTCGCGTGCGCTGTCTCCTGCCCCTCCTCCCACCTTTCCCGATGGCTCCTTCCCAGGTTGGGCTCCTGCTGCCTCTCCCTCTGCCCATCTTCTACAGTGTAGGTCTCAAAAGGAGGGTCAAGAATTGCCTGGGGATGTTCGTATCACAAATTCCTGGTCCTTCTCCTGCAGGTTCTGATGCAGTGGACCTGGAATCCAGCCCAGGAGTCTGCATTTTATTTTTATTTTTATTTTTTAGGTTGGTTTTTTTTTTTTTTTTGACACAGAGTCTCACTCTTTTACCCAGGCTGGAGTGCAGTGGTGCGATGTCTGCTCACTGCAACCTCCACCTCCCGGGTTCAAGCAATTCTCCTGCCTCAGCCTCCGGAGGAGCTGGGATTACAGGCATGCACCACCACGCCCAGCTAATTTTTGGTTTTCTTTTAGTAGAGACAGGGTTTCACCATGTTGGCCAGGCTGGTCTCAAACTCCTGACCTCAGGTGATCCTCCTGTCTCGGCCTCCACTAGGATTACAGGCATGAGCCACTGCACCAGGCCAGAGTGTGCATTTTAAATGGCCTCTCCTGCTTGCTCATGTTTGAGAACTCATCCTCCTTTCTCTTCTCCTTCTAGACTCTCCACCGTCCATCCTCTGGCTTCACTCTGACACAGATGAGATCTGCATGGGGGAGCTCCCTCATGGTGTGATGGTGCGTGTGTTTCCGGCAGTGGGTCAGGAGCTCTCCAACGTCAGGCCTGGGTCCCTGCCATCTCTGCCTGTGGGGCCTGGCACAGAGCAGGGCACTAAGCAAAGCCCCAGGAACATTTGTGTAATCAACTCGGGGTGAGGTGGAGAACTCTAAAGATCCAGGCATCTGGAAGTCTTCGGGAATGAGACATTGACAGCTACGTTTCCCTATAGACAGAATTTGAAGAAAGCTTGGGCAGAGGCAACGCTTTTGAAAGAATCCCAGACTCTTTGTTTGAATTATTTGGTTTCTGAGATTCCTCACGTATGTCTGTGTTATGTATGTGCTTGTTAAACAGACTGTGTGAAACGGCTGAACCTCTTCTTCACGCCTGAGGTCATCACCATGAACATAACATCATCACGTGTGGCATCCCATGTGGGACGCTGTGGCTGCCGCAGTGTCTGGCGCATGAAGAGCACACGGTGAGTTCTCAAGTCTGCTTCTCAAAGACCGTCCCTCTTGCTCAAAGGTATTTCTGCTGCTGACAGCCTTTCTTCCTTTCTGTTTCTAATATGTTGTAAGCTTGAAAACCAAACAAATGTGTTGCGAATGTGTGAATGTGTGTAATAGATCAAGCAGGATGTGCATGAGGGACTCTGGGGCTCTCCGTGGGTGGAGAATGTGGATGTCGGCTTCTGGCCTTCACAACGCATTTCAGGTCCTTTGTGTTTGTTCTCGGTCATGGTCCAGCGGGTTGAGGGATTGCTTTGGTCCAGGTGGGGTCCTGCTAGTGGGCTTTACCAGTCTCTACAACCAGCGGTGCATGCATCCACCCAATAATTTAACATCAAACTACACATCTACCAACTTCATGTACCTAAGGAGTGGAATGATAGCAAGAACTCCGCCTTGAAAACCCCTAACCTCTGAGCCTTCAGAGAGACCGATTTGAATAAGAACGCCATCTCCTGCGCGGCCTGCCTTACTGCAATTAAACTCTTTCTTTATTGAAACAAACAAACAAACAAACAAAAAAACCCAAAACATAAAAAACGAACAAAATCCCTTCAATTAGTGATTAATCATCTCCCCCTAGTGGTAGAAGGGTGCATAGGAAAAGTAACCAAGCAAAAACAAAACTCCCAAATGCTCTTCAGAAAAAACCTACACCCAGCCTGGGCAGTACAGCGTGACCCTTGTCTCTAAACAAAAGATAAATAAATTAGCAGGGCCTAGTCCCAGCTACTCGGGAGGCTGAGGTGGGAAGATCGCTTGAGCCCAGGAGTTCAAGGCTGCAATAAGCTATGATTGTACCATTGCACTCCAACCTGAGGGACACAGCACGTCCTCATCTCTAAAAAAACAAAAGCAAAAACAAAAAACAGAAAAGCCACGGGCACTGTTGGGATGATCAGTGGTTTAGTCCAGTCCTTATGTCACCTTCTACCTAATTTTCCAAGATGGCCAGATCTTCCACAAATTCCAAAGTGTAGCTTTAAATCCCAAAGCCTAGAAAAGCGCTTGTGTTTAGCACATGAGTGTCTACTGGTCAGCAGATCCCCCGCCTTGGACTTATGAGGCACACAGGCGGGTGGGCATGAGGGAGGAAGTGGTGCCAAGGTAGCAGGTCTGATGCCAGGCAAGGCAGGAGCAGGTGATACCCTACACCTGCAGGGTGGGCAGCAGAGAGGCCAGGCCCCTGGGGCAGGAACATGGGCCAGGGTGGGTGGGGTAACCTGCCAGGGTGCAAGGAGGCCCTGACAAAGGGAGGATGGTAGGCCACGGCCCAGGGTCAGTTCTAGGCCCCATCTGAGCATGTCACGAAAGCGTGGGGATGGCAGAAATCCAAGGGCATCCCACCTCTGCTGTGGTCTTCCATTCACGTTCTAACAGGACCCCAGGCCGCAGCAGGATTAGGCAGAATAAAGTCACCAGGGCTCCTGGCAAAGGCTGGAGCGGCCTCCTTCAGAGAGAATGAGGTCTGGGCTTACGTGAAAGTCCACTTTGACTATGGTGAGCACTGCAGCTTGTAGGAGCAGGGTCTGTCTGTCCTCAGAACTTTGTAAATTCTTTCCTGCTTCCTAAATTGTCCTGAAGAGCATCCAGCAAGCACAGTGCAATTTAAGATGGAACTCCCCTGACTCCCCACATGGAAAACGCATGTTCGACACAAACTGGGCCAGGACGGGGAGACGTTTACTAACACACACTCCTGCAAGTTTCCCATGCAGCCATCAGCAACCAGACCAAACACTCCGCACTGCTTCCAGTGCCAGCTGCTGCCACCTCACTCCCCATCCACTCTGGGGTCTTGCGAAGAAGTGGGAGAGCATGAGCTCTTGTCACAGGGATCTGCGTGTGTTAGGTGCTGAGTAAAACATCTTCCCATCCTCCCTGCCCTTGGTTCCAGTGGCTCCTAGGGTGCCCTACCCTTCATTTCTCATCAGCAAATCCCAAGGAGCAAACAGGTGAGGAGAGGACAAAACACACCCTAGGGCTCCCAACGATTCCTCCCTGCGAGGACCCTCATGGTTAACACAGGAGTCACCTTTCCTGGACACACACAGCCTCCCTCCACCCTAACAATGAAAACACTCCAAAACACTCTCACAGGGGTGTAGCACCTGTAGGAGGAAAAGACGAGAAAGGAGGGTATGGGAGGGCAGCCTATGAGGGGGCCTGGGGTCGGGGGTAGCTGGCCGAAGCACCCAGTGCTGGGGACCCCACTCCCACAGCAGATGTTTCTGCACCACCTTGTCCTCTATGGAAGCCTCTCACCTGGGACCCCCCAGCTTGAGATGGTGGGGGAGGTGTAAGTTTACAAAACCCCCCGCTTTACAACACGGGGTAGAGGGTGCTGTGTAAGAGAAAGAGAAAGAGATACACAATTTGACTTATTCCAAAGGCCACGACTCCTTTTTTTACAAAGGCATTTTATTTTAGTAAACAAAATACTGGTTATTATTATTTTTTTTAATTTTAATTTTACCTTTTTTTTTTTGGAGACGCAGTCGCTCTGTCACCCAGGCTGGAGGGCAGTGGCACGACCTAGGCTCACTGCAACCTCCACCTCCCGGATTCAAGCAATTCTCCTGCCTCAGCCTCCCGAGTAGCTGGGATTACAGACGCGCGCCACTACACCTGGCTAATTTTTATATTTTTAGTAGAGACAGGATTTTACCATGTTGGCCAGGCTGGTCTCAAACTCCCGATCTCAGGCGATCCACTCGCCTCGGCCTCCCAAAGTGCTGGGATTTCAGGTAAAAGCCAGCATACCCGGCCAGTACTGGTTCTTTTAAAAACATATACAAATTCACACTATTTTAAGTGAAAGGTCTAGGTTGGGAGTTTATCCTCTGACAAATTATTCAATAATTAAGTCTTTCTTCTCTTTCTTCTCAGCTGGAGTCCACTCAAGCTGACATTTACATGGCAGAATCTAGAAGGGAATACCAAAGGGATGAGTAGGAAATGTTTGATAAGAGTATACCCGATGTTTACTGCTCAGCATAAAGACGTATGCTCAGCCATTTAAACTTAACAAGCGGACACCACTCAAGTCTATCACTCAAGTCTATTTATTAACCAATGTATTTTTAGCATCAGTTTCCCTTCCATCTGAAACACCCCACCCCCCTTTTATTTATTTATTTATTTTTTGAAACAGTCTCACTCTGTCACCCAGCCTGGAGTGCAGTGGCACAATCTCAGCTCACTGCAACCTCTGTTTCCCAGGTTCAAGTGATTCTCGTGCCTCGGCCTCCCAAGTAACTGGGATTACTGGCACGTGCCACCACGCCCAGCTAAGTTTTGTATTTTTAGTAGAGATGGGGTTTCGCCATGTTGGCCAGGCTGGCCTTGAACTCCTGACCTCAAGTGATCCACCCGCCTCGGCCTCCCAAAGTGCTGGGATTACAGGCGTGAGCCACCGCGCCCGGCCTGAAAACGCTTTTTGTTTGAAGCAAGTCTCTAGTCTTTAAGAAGCTGCCAGCCTAGAGAGGAAGACCAACTCCCTGAGTTGCTTCTAAGCCATCCAGGCCTGACTTAAATGCAGGTCTCTGCTGATGTTTGTGGGAGGAACAAAGCCTTTATGATCTTCCATCTCATCTTTTCTTCCTTTGATCAGTTTAGCACACAAAATGGGATTGTCAGGAATATAAATTCAATCAGCAACATTTTAATTTAAACTGCCTTCCCTCACCCTTTTTAATTTCTCTCCTCCCCATCGTAATGCCTACTCCTAAATTTCAGTCAATCAAACACCTTAAAAAAAAAAAAAAAAAGAAAGAAAGAAAGAAAGAAAGAAAGTAACTTCTTCTATCTAGCAAAAGCCTACAGTTCACTGGGGACCAGCGAGTGGGCAGCTGCCGGAAGTGGTGAGTAACAGAGTGAAGCATCCCTACGAGCTCACTTGCCTGTATTCAGGAAGGTAGCACAGCTTGGGCTTGGCCATGCTGATCGAATGCATTTGACCTGGGATCAATTTCTGACTCTGTTCTTCACCATGTAGAGAGAGCCATTCTTTCAATCTGAACATGCCTCACAGAGTCATCAGGGCTGAATAACACAGTTGTGCATGAATGCTTAGCAAAGTCCCCAGCACAGAATAACCACTTAGTAGGTGTTGCTACTATTCCTCATCAGTAGGTCTTTAGCCTCAACAAGCCTGACGGCACTGCAAGGGAATTCAGCATGGAATCTCAGAGTGGGCTGGGTTTGGGAGGCCACCTAGCCCAGTGGTTCCTACAATGACCTGTTGCTGAGAAGACAACCTAAGGATTATCTAATGGGTTTTCAAAAGAACAGAGGCTGGGCACAGTGGCTCACACCTGTAACCTCAGCACTTCAGGAGGCTGAGGCGAAAGTATCGCTTGAGCCCAGGAGTACAAGACCAGCCTGGGCAACACAGCAAGACCCCTTCTCTACTAAAAATTGTTTTAAAAACCTAGCCGGGTGTGGTGGCGTGCTCCTGTAGTCCTACCTACTCGGGAGGCTGAGTTGGGAGGACTGCTTGAGCCCAGGAGGCTGAGGCTGCAGTGAGCCGAGATTGTGCCACTGCACCGCTCTAGCCTAGATGACAGAGTAGGATCCCCTATCTTAAAAACAACAACAAAAACCAACACCCAAACCTAACCAGAGCCATTATGGAATCTCTCTGGGCTGAAGCTGGGAATCTTCATTTAAACAAACACCTGGGCAATTCTGATCATTAGCTAGGTTTGGGAACCACAGATCTAGAACCCCACCGCCACCATATTTGAATCCTTTTTTTTTTTTAGACAGGGTCTCGCTCTGTCACTCAGGCTGGAGTGCAGTGGTGTGATCATGCCTCACTGCAGCCTTGAACTTCTGGGCCTCAAGCAATCCTCCACCTCAGTCTCCTGAGTAGTTGGGACTACACACCCAGTAAGTGTGCAGCTAAGTTTTTTTTTGGTTTTTTTTTTTGGTTTTTTTTGTTTTTTTTTTTTAATTTTTGTAGAGACAGGGTTTCACTATGTTGCCCAGGCTGGTCTTGAACTCATTGGCTCAAGTGATCCTCCCACCTTTGCCTCCCAAAGCACTGGGATTACAGGCATGAGTCACCACACCTGGCTGAATCCCCTGATTTTTAAAGTACAGAACTCAACCTGCAAAGTGAAGAAACTGCATCAACACACTGGAATCAAGGTAACTGTGAATTGTCATGTGTTAAATCTGTAACAGGGGCTTAACAGGAACTTTCTGGTGCCTTGATGTATTGTAACTCCCCAAGTGTGTTCTAAGCCCACCAGTGTGCACTGTGATAGGCACTGGGTGACAACGATGAGTGTACCCTCAGGCCTGGTGAGGAGGTCCTTGGGAAGAACCTAATAAGCAAGGCCAAAGGCCATGGTGGCTGAGGAATGGCCTGCAGGGGGATGGGGAGTGGGCACATGTGGCAAATGAGGTCTGGGTTAAGACCAGACTGGGAAGGGATTTATTTGTCATACCATGGAGTCAGACTTTATCTTAAAGGTAACAGGGTTTCTTAATCTTGGAATTTCAAATGACCTGTGACTCCCCACATCTGCAAACTTCTCCCCACACACAAATGCAGATGGTTTCAGTATGTGTGCTTCTCTGGGAAGAAGGTCCACAGCTGTCACTGAGTCCTCAATTCTTAACCCAATACCTGTCAAGAACCATTGCCACCGCAGGTTTCAAGAAGGATGAACTAATGCTCCGTGCACCTTGGCTCAGCAGCACTCACATCCCAGGACCAGGATCTGCACACCTGGCCCTTTATGGAGCAGTTCTACCTTAGAGAACAGGTGAGGCCACATGCCCCCACGCAGCCCTTCAGACCCGACGGACAGGGAGGTCTCAGACCTCTCTTGTTCATTGATTGGTCACCCCAACCCACTGGCCAGCTCCCATTTGCAAGGTTGGGTACTGTGGACTCACCTTCAGTTATCTTTTTTCTCTGATTGCTTCTTCCTTTCAGCCTCCAGTTTTTGTTGTTTTGCCTCCAACCTTTTTCTTTGATACATTTTCACCCCAGCAAATGTCAGGCAGAGAATTAATGTTTTTGCTGCCAAGATATACAGCAGCAGGGGCACGTGCTCAAGAACCTTCAAGAAGAAAGAAGCCATGCTAACTAAATGTTCCATCACCGATATGGGAGGTTTCTTTTATGATCCTTCAGTCAACAAATATTTACTTAGCACCTATTCTGCAACAGGCACGAGGATAGGGGGCTGGAGCTACACTGGAGACCAAGCAGAAAAGGTCTCTATCCCCATGGGGCCAACAGTCAAGTTACAGCTCTGCTCTTTGCTGCTTGCTTGCGGCTGGCTTCATGGAGGGGACCACCGGTCATCCACAGGCGTGGGGACTCTGGTCTCTCACAGCTCAACCGTGCAACCTGCTGATCACCCAGGCCCTTGCTTCTGAGGCAGCAGCCAGATCCAGTGAAAGGAGCTGGAGCCCGGAGGCCTGGGTCAGAGCTCTACTTTACCACCGACTGACCGTGTGACCTGGGTCAGGCAATGAGCTCCTTTCTTTCTGAGCTCCTGCCCCTTCATCTACAAAGTAAGGGTGAATCAGACCTTGCTTCTGGAAACTGCAGCTTTAGTACTCTGGGATTTTCTCTTGTTTCTAGAGACTCACTAGCACTGGCACTTGCTGGTAAAATAAAACACGACAGAACTCAAAACATTAAAACATGGCTACTTACTAACTGCTCTTGCAACCCCATTCACTAAAATAAAGTCTAGGGAAACACTATGCATTTGAATTACTCACTCTTTGCACTAGTAGGTTTTTTGTGTGAAATTCTATATATTGCAAATAGTACTTCAAAGCAATATTAGTTCCATACACATGGTTAGCATGACCTGAATGATATGTATGTGCTTTTTGTGTGATTAAAAATTCCCTCCCAAATAGTGAAAAGGTATGCTCTGGTTGAGCAATCATTATTTTAGAGGACCAGGTAGGATTTTATCCCAATGAAATCCTTATTTCTGTCAATCACTTATTATATGAAATACCAATGAGATTCCACTGTGGGGGATACATGTGCACCTCCCTCTAATAGTCTAACCGAAGTTGATCTGAACCTAGTTAGTGTGTACAATATGCTCACAGAACCGGGGGGCTGGAAATAACTTTCAAGGGGACCTACTCAACCCCCTGGTTATATGAGCAAGGAAAGAAGAGCTCCTGGAGGTTGAGAGGTTGAAGGTCCCACAGCTCCCTCATGAGGAGCCAGTTGGAAGGACATTCTAACCCCGGGGCCAGTCTCCCTTCCACTGATGCCTGATTTTCAACAAACTGAAATTCATGAAATCACAGTGTATGTAGATGAATGTTCCTATGATTGTATCGAAACTCTTTATGACTCAGAACTAGATGTGGATTTCACGCTTAGAAGCTGTAGCATCAGCTGCTGTAGACTGGGAACTCACGGCATGCAAAGTGCCTTATGCGGCTTTCCCTTCTGCCCTTAGCCACCTCCATGAGCAGATGGCTCGCCCTGACTGCGGTGGAGCCGAGAAAATGCAGAGGCGGGGAGGCCAGCAGTCAGCGAGGCAGGGCTGACCCAGCTCCAAATGCTCCAAAGCCCAACTCTGTAGCATCACGCTGTCCTGTACTATATATGATTCATTCCTCACACCCATCCACTTCACATTTACAATATGCAAATACACTATGGCTTGGCTACTGAATTTTCCAGAGGCAACTAGACTCGCTACCTCTGAAATCATTTAACTGGTTATGTATGGATATTTGCAGAAGGATATAGCATGATATGATAGAAATACAATGAAAATCATGGGAGGAGGCAGGGACGCAAATACTTAAATCGTTTTAATTTTACTAAAACAGTAAGAACACAAGAACACTCAGTAATTAGCTAATAGTTTTCAACCATGATATCGTTTTAACAGTAAAGAATAAGCACAACACATACACTTCAGAAAGATCACTCTGGCATCAGTACAAAAGACTAAAAAGTTCCAAAAGTGAAACTTTTCAACTTTTTACTCTGGTAAATATAAGGAGCTTTAAACACTGACTTCATTTCCAGGTTCTTCTTCCCTCAGACCTAGGCTAATCCCCTCCCTCCAGTAAACCCTGAAATCCTGTTTTCTTGAAGGTTCACATTTTAGAGGTGAAGGTTTGACGCCATGCATACAAACCAGCTATGAAAAGAATGTTGTTGTATAAACTTCTTTTTGTTTGCTAGGATTTTCCAGGCTACCTGAGGCAATGACTCACACTGGGAAAAGCTAATCTCTTCCAGCTTTCTCAGTCTCTCTGAATAAACCTATGGGGCCCTATTATTATTATTATTTTTCTCGAGACAGAGTCTTGCTCTGTCACCCAGGCTGGAGTGCAATGGCACCATCTCAGCTCACTGCAACCTCCACCTCCTGGGTTCAAGCAATTCTCCTGCCTCAGCCTCCCAAGTAGCTGGGATTACAGGCATGCGGCATCATGCCCAGCTAATTTTTTGTATTTTTAGTAGAGACAGGGTTTCACCATGTTGGCCGGCTGGTCTCCAACTCCCGACCTCGTGATCCGCCCACCTCGGCCTCCCAAAGTGCTAGGATTACAGGTGTGAGCCACTGCACCTGGCCGGGGCCCTATTACTAATATAACAAAGCCCATGTTACTGCCCATAGCTGTCTACAATCCAGATAGGAAACTTAGCTTTAGCAATTGCAGGAATGTACTCTCTCATCCAGAAGTTAGAAAACCCATGGAAATGGAAACGCATCAGCCAATGGACCCTAGTGGGAGGCTTCAGTGTTCACTTTGTTTTACAGGCAGTGGAGACGCACGGCAAGAGGCAGAAGTGTGGACTGAGAAGGACGCAGCACAAGGGCAGCAGAGGTCAAGAACATTCACAGGGTAAAGCGAAGAGCTCCAGGGCCCCCTTCCTGCCCCTCTCTTAGGCACTAACCTTCAGTGGTATGAACCCCTTCCTCCAATTTCCTTTTAACAAACCCCTTACATCTCTTGAAACATACAGACCTTCAGGGAGGAAAATGAATGCTGCCAGGGTGGACTGGATCTATATGAATATTTTTTTGAGACTCCAACTAGGCTGGAGTACAGTGGCATGATCACGGCTTCCCACAGCCCTGACCTCCCAGGCTCAAGCAATCCTCCCACCTCAGCCTCCCGAGTAGACGGGACTACAGACACATGACACCACGCCCAGCTAATTTTTTCTGATTTTTTGTAGAGCTGGGGTCCCACTATGTTGCCCAGGCTGGTGCTGAACTCCTGGGTTCATGTGATCTGCCCACCTCAGCCTCCCAAAGTGCTAGGATTACAGGGGTGAGCCACCATGCCTGGCCTAGATCTACATCAATTTTTAAAAACAAAACCCCAATATCTGTGAAATGGGAATAACTAAGTTTTTAAATAATGAGGCCATACTTGTTGCTAACGCACAGGTAGCACTGTTGACTGTCGCTGCCGGCCATGGCCCACTGAGCCAGAGGGGGAAGGCCACCAGACGCACTGGGGGCTACTGAACCTTCCACCTTCTGCAGCTCTCTGCAATCAGGGCCATGACTGTCTTTCTTTTTTTTTTCTTTTGAGACAGGGTCTCACTCTGTCGCCCAGGCTGGAGTGCAGGGGCATGATCTCGGCTCACTGCAACCTCCACTTCCCAGGCTCAAGCAATTCTCCAGCCTCAGCTTCCCGAGTAGCTGGGACTACACGTACGCATCTCCATGCCCAGCTAATCTTTGTATTTTTTTGTAGAGACGGGGTTTCGCCACATTGTCCAGGCTGGTCTCAAACTCCTGAGCTCAAAGTGATCTGCCTGCCTCGGCCTCCCAAAGTGCTGGGATTACAGGCATGAGCCACCACGCCCGGCCTGCGGCCATTCCTTTCTAACACTACACGAGATGGGGCTGTGTTTAAACACGAAGCTGCTCCCTGGTAGCCACTTCCCTGGTGCAGAAGCTGGGAAGGTTTGGGCAGACTTTGTTCCTGATGGCAGAAAAAACTGTCACAAGCAAGACTGGCCCGAGTGGTCACATGGGTTGGTGTCACTCTACAATTAAAGAGGAAAACTTCCCACGCATTGCCTTCGACCAGTGTGCACCAGCACCGCCTGGAACTTATAAGAAGTGCAAATTCTCAGGCCCCAGCCAGATCTACCCAATCAGAAACTCTGGGAGTGGGGCTCGAAATCCTTGCCTTAACTAGTGCTCAGGAGTGAGAAACACCACCTTGAGGCATGAGGTTTAATGCTTTGAACCCTGGCCCTTAGTACCAGTTACTGCCTCTCTCCTCTACTGACTTAGCCACTGCAGTGGGCGAATGACCTCCCTAAACCTCACCCCACACTGCTTTCCGCTCCTTCCCCTCTCCATCCTCTCACTGCCTCTTCTTTCCTTCCCAACCTTTCCACTGTGAGCTCTGATCCTCAAGGCATGCTAAACAAACTGTTCTATATCTTCCCACCCTTCACAGCTCACTCACTCTGCCATCTTTAACTTACACAAGTTCCTGGGCCCTCAGCCCTCCTGCAGGGCCTGCCGAGCCCCTCACCCCACACAGCTGGGGAAGATGGGAAAGCTACCTTCCTGGCTCCCTGATCCTGCTTCCAGACCTTTCCAGTTTCTCCTTGCAATAGAAAACCACTGGATGTTTTGAAGAAAATGCTTATAATAATTGAAAAAACACGTAAAATAAGATCCTATGCATGAAAACACGCCACACATATATACAGAAAAAGATGAATATACCGAGATTGTTAATAGTAGCCATTTCTAGATGGTGAGACAATGTATGATTTTTGCTTGATATTAGACTTTGCAAAGTGACTATAATATATTTTAGTGGCTGCTCTCTTAAACAACCTCCACCTCACCTTATTGACTTCCGGGACTTAAGATGACATTCTCCTTTCCCTCGGTGGAACCTGATTGCTGACCTACTCTCTGGCTGCCCTTGAACTTCTGCTCCCACCAGCTGAATCTAATGTTTCACAGGGGTCAGGTGTGTTTACTCGCCAAGCAGTTTATTTAAGTTGTACTTGATACTATGTTCCATAACTTATTTAAACATTACGCTTGTGAAATATGACTGTGTAAAGCAAAAGTTTTTATGAAAACTAAGTTGAATACTTTGAAAGACTCAAGTTTGCGTTGGAAAAAAAATGCTGTTGGCAAGTCAACTGTAAAAGATTAGGAAAGAGTATGAAACACTGGAAAGATTTTGTGTATGCACTGCTCATAAGATCTTAATCCACTGTCTTAGTCAATTCAGCTCCTAGAACAAAGGACCACAGACTGGGTGACTTATTAAAGAGGTACTTGTCACAGTTCGAAAGGCTGAAAGCCTGAGGATCAGGGCGCAGTACAGGGGGGTTCTAGCGGAGTCCTCTTCCAGGCTGCTGACGGCTGGCTTCTTGTTGTACCCCCAACATGGCAGAAAGAGGGTAAGAGAGCTCCCTGGAGCCCTTTTAATAAGCTCACTATTCCAAACATTAGGGCTCCAGCCTCATCACCTAATTACCTCTTACAAGCTCCAACTCCAAATATCATCACACTGGGCACTACGGTTGCAACATATGAACTTGGGGAAACACAAACATTCAGTCCACTGCATCTACTTTAAAGGAACCAAAACGGCCTGAGCACAGTGGTTCATTCTTGTAATCCCGACACTTTGGGAGGCTCAGGCAGGAGGACTGCTTGAGCCCAGGAGTTCAAGACCAGCCTGGGCAACATAGTGGAGCCCTATCTCTACAAAAAAAATGTGTAAAAAAAGAAAGCACAATGCAAAATTGCAGGTAAAGCTTTAAAGGTATAGTTTTTGTAAGAAAAGTGAGGAAGATTTGAAGTTAGTGAATGCACACTCGAAGAAAAGGCCTGGCCTTCTTCCAGAAGTCCAGCGAATAAATGTACATTTATGTTTTAACTTAAAATGAAACATAAATATTATGCTTTCACCTACTTTTTCTTTTTAATCAAGCTACTGGTGTAGAACTGTTATTCTGAATTTTCACAATCAGGAGGAAGAAAAAACCCCAAGCCATAAATATTTAAAACGATACTCACCTTCCAATTCATGGTAGACTGTGAATTCACTCCTGATCAACACAAGCCCCCAACAGACAAGTACATGAGAGGCAGCTGGAAGGTCTGATCTGGGCAGGAAGAAAGAAGCAGGTCAATTTGGAGTTCCTAGGGCAGACCACCTTAGAAAGATGTCTCTTTGATGGAGAGAGGGAATGTGAACAGAAAGTGAGCTCCACAGAGAGGTGGGCTGTGTCCTGACAAGGCGATTGAGAGACTGGTGGGAAGTGGATGGGCTGGGCGAGGGCCCAGACGGGCCTGGCCCTTGCTAAGCAGAAAGCTCTCCTCACCAGCTGTCTGTAGCCGCCAGCAGCACAGCGCCGCTTCTGAGGGGACATGGGCTCCCATCCCATTCATCTGTGAACCTAAGGGCCCAAGTCTAAAATCTGTCCCTCCACCTGCCTCCAGACCTAAACGCAAGCTGGTTTGGGAGTGAGTGTCTTTGTCAAGTCCTCTGAGTGTTAATTAAACTCATCTTGGTTTTTCGAAGATTATCTGGGAGCAAGGGAATAAGTGACAGGGCAGAAAAATTGTCAGATGCAATAATTCAGAGGCAGAATTTTCTCTAAAGCTTGAGGGAGACCTAGTAGAAGGTAGGGAAGGAAGTGATATCAGAGAGGATGGTGAATTGTGAATTCCAGAGTTGCAGAATTGTTCTTTAGATTCTGATTTTTTAAATGACAGCACTTTGGTTCAGAGGATATTACCCCAGGTCATATGCCACACCATGGCATATGGAAATGAGAAGGCAGGGCTGGCAGCCCGAGCCTTGGGATTCGCTCCAAGGCCTTGTAGGTCCCTACTCTTAGAATATGACACATACCCCCAAGAAGACTTCAGCTCTGGATGAAGAACCTACACCCTCTGGTAAGTGACTTCCCTCTAGAGCTTCAGTCCCATCTGTAAGTGAAGAAAGGTGTCAAGCAGATGGTGTTTAGTGCCCCTACTTCTTCTGAAATCCAATGCTTTATAGCACAATAATCATAGCTTAACTTTTTTGTGTCAGATGGAAAAAAGTGGCTAAAGTGCTTAGATGAGTTAAGACATTTAGCCCTCACAACTACCCCATAAAACAGCTTACTGCCTCCACTTTAGAGAGGAGGAAATAAAATTTAAGTAACACATCGAGGGTCTCGCAGGTGGGCCTGGGATTCGAACCCATCCAGTCTGGCTCCAGGGCTTTAACCTCGGCACCATCCTGACACAGGCAGAGAGCTTTGCATTCAAAAGTCAGGGAAACACTTCTCTTGAAATGTACTTACCGTCATAATTAAGAAAAGTGGCTGAAAATTTCAAAGGCCTTTAGATAGAATGGGGATAAGATGAACTTCAGGCAAGATGTTTTTATACAAACTTTCAATTACAAAGCTATCTAAGTATAAAAAGTTCATCCTCCATCTATTCAAGATTATAATATCTTGAAAACAAGCTAGCAGTTGGCACAAGGTAGCCAAGTTTTCCCCATGACTTTTTCAAAGTCAGATAAGGTAGCGATAGGAATTTAAATCATAGATCTGTTTAACTATAATGATGGTGGCTGAATGTGCTTGTTACCTTCATGTGTAAATGGCCCACTTGTCTTTAAGAAGCAGCAGATTCTGACTGCCCTAAAGAAATATGCTCCTAACATGTTATAACCTGTTGCTACAATTTTCACTTTGAGTATCTCTAGTAATCTTAGTGATTAGCTAATGTTGTATATTAAAATGTTAAAGATCTTACAAATTTTATTTTTACAATTCCTGCTTTAATTGAGTTGTATACAAATACAGTAGATGAGTCTGGCTGTTCCCTCAAAATTTTCAGAGGCAAAACTGCATACCCAGTGAATTGATGTACGTAGAATATTGATTCCCAAAGTCAAGAACGAGAAATAGGTCCAACGATCCTACAGGAGGAAATGAATGAAAAAACATCCAGTGGTCTGGCCCTCTGGAAAACATGTGCTATGTTCACTAGCAGTGTGACCTTGGACAAGTTACTTGGCCTCTCTCAGCCTCAACTTGCCCATCTGTAAATTCTCTTGCAGATTAGACTGTAAACACTAAGCACCATGGCCAGCACACAGAAAGCACTGAATGTCAGCCATTGTTGTTATGTTAAATCTCTCTCCTTCCATGACTGGACATGCCAACCTGAAGGATACAGGCTAGCGACATCCAGGGCAAAATGCAGTCATTCCAAGATAGCAGGGCAGGGAATAAAGATCAGTAGCCTGAGGACCAGGACAACTGGAGATCTGAGCTCTACTCTTGGTGTTACCCATGGTGTGGCATATGACCTGGGGTAAGTCATTAACCCTCCAAACCAAAGTGCTGTCATTTAAAAAATCAGAATCTAAAGAACAATTCTGCAACTCTGGAATTCACAATTCACCATCCTCTCTGATATCACAGAACCTGACTGCCAAAATATACTGGCAGCTGCCTCAACTTCATACCTGGAGTGATAAAATTCAAGCTCTTTAGGAAAGAAACATATTTAGAGTCAATCTGCAATTGTAGCAGAAGGGCTGTGGTGAGGTGGGAGTCAAGAGGGTGAACCACACTGACATGCTTTGCTCATTCCCACCCACTGCCTCTGAATTACCACTTTTCCCCACCTCCCTTCAATTACATGCCCAAGCCAGCCATTTTCATAGAGTCTTTTGCAAATGAGAAGAAAAAAGCTAAAAGTATCAGTAAGCTATTTGCTCTGCTGCCATATGTACACCTAATGCAATATTAGAAACGAGGGAGCTGGTATCTGAAGGTTGAACTGCAAAAGCCAACAAGGTGGGGATGTTTTTGAGGGGCATAAAATCTAAGAAGTGCGGGAAATTTTTAACTTTCCCTGGACCTATCCATGATCTTAGCTTAAAACACAAAAGTAACAAGTGGCTTAGATACAACTCCAAATATTTCTATTTCCTTCACCGCAAAAATACCCTGTCTTCCTTTGTCAGGTTTCTCTTAGAAACAAAAAAGCTATTCGCTTATTTTGGTTAGACCAACTAAAGCAATATGGATAATGTGTCGTCCACAATCTATTAATACTTTTTCTTCTTGGCACACTAACAAATTCAAGGATCAGTCTATCGCTTGCTGTCTCCTTCCAGCCACGAATCATGCTGCGCCCTTTGTCTGAGCTTTCTGAAGCTGTTCTCATTCCCGGCCTCTACCCTTTTCACCCAACCCTTCACCCAATCATAAGGAGGGGTAGGTCCAGAGAGGGGGCTGCCAGGTGAACCTTGGGCATCACTTGGCCCTCTACACGGAAGCCTGGGCCTACAAGAAACCAGCCCTGCCCGATCTCAGCTGCCCAGACTCCACAACTCAACATTTCAGGGATCCACCGAGAAGCGATGACAGGTGTCCGGGTCTCTCCCTGCTGGAAGCCCAGGCCTCGGAGGGCGACGTCGGTGCCTGTGCTCGCTGTGCAACCCTGGGCGAGTCGCTGAACCTCTCTGGGCCTCAGCTCCTCCTGGGTAACCTGGGGGCTAGTTCAGGGTCCTCTCCCCATACCCTTCCCCCAACACTCAGGGAGCAACACCCGCCCTCCCCACCCCCCGACTTCCCCCAGAGCTGCGGATGAGGACCAGGGGCTGTCATCGCTTCCCCCACCATTCCAGGGGATTGCTTGTCTCCCTAGACTCTCCGGGGACCAACACCGTAGGCTTGAACCAATCCTGGGCCCCGCCCGGGCCACGTGCCAGCCGGAACACGCTGCTCAACGGGTTGACGGCGCCCGACGGCCAGGTCCAGCAGGGGCGCCCCGCAGGTGGGGCCTGGCGGCCTTCACCTTCCGGATCCCCGACCCGGCGCGACCGGGAGCCGGCAGACTTTTGTCTAGGAGGGAAAACCCGAGCGCGGGGCCGGCCGCGACATCGCAGCATCCCAAAGAGCTTTTGGAATTTGGGTCACTCCCTTCTACCCCGACGTCACACACTTACTGCTCCCGGCAGCGGAGGCTCCAGCGCCTGGCCGCGCACAAACCACGACTTCTACCGTCCTGCCGGGGAAAACTACAGGTCCCGAAATGCACCGCTACGTGCTCAGGCGCAGTGGGCCGGTGCCGCCGACGAGAGTGCACTACTCCGTGCGCAGGCGCAGTGGGCCCGGGCAGAAGACCTGGGGCGCGCTGCTCACTGCGCAGGCGCAGTGAGCCCAGGCGGGCAGCCCTGGCCAGCAGCTCTTGTCCCTGTGGCTGGAGGCTGAAGTCCACGTAGGCCCCGGCGGGGAGCCGCTGGGGTGTAGGCCGGGTGCCTTTGTCCAAGCCTGGCGGTGCGTTCTCACTCTGAACTCACCTGAGCTGGAGGGTGGGTTGTTGCGGGACCCTTCCGCCTTCCGCTGTCTCGAATTCCCTGGGTGTCTCCTCGCTGCTGTCTGCAGCTGAGGACACGTGGGTGCCCTTAAGAAGTTTCCAGACGCAGTGTTCGTCATCTCTGACAGCGTGCATGCATTTTCCTTTGGGGTAACGATATGGTGCCGCGGTACTAGGTTTCCAGATTTCTTCAGTCAATATGCTTAGTAAACGCGTACAGAGTTTGAGCCCACTCAGTGCTAGCGCCATGTGAGGGCACAAACTGGGCACCCAATACAAGGAAAGAGAGGAATGTGCAGGGAGTTACCACCATGTGCTCTGCTCCCCTTCTAAGGATGAGGAAACTGAGGCCAGGGGAGAGTAAGGTGGCTGGCAATAGAAAACGCGCGAATGGCAGTGGCGGAATTGAGATTCGAACCCAGGCAGTGTAACTCCAAATCCCATCAGGACTCTTTGTGGTTATGTTAGAATGTTAGAGGGTGTGGAGGGAAGAACAAACTGAGGGGTGGAGGGGTTGGTTCTGTTAAGGGAAGTGTTCCTGGAGAAAGTTACAAAAATAGCTTTGTTCTAAGCACTAGTGGCTATTGCCTAAGTCTCATAACAAGGCTGTAAGGGACGTGCTATAATGATAACCATTTCACAAATGAGGAAATGGAGACACAGAGATTAAAGTAATTTTTTCGTGGTTTTAAAGGCCGCAGGTACCAGAGCTGGGACTTGACCCTGGGTAATCTGGGTATAGATTCTATCAAATCAGCCACTATCCTGGGCTCCTTTTAAAATAGCATCTGAGCTATGCTTTAAGAAATAAGTGGTATTCAGGTTATATGGAGCCAATAAAACAGGCAGAAGGAACTCTAAAAGCAAGTGGGGTAGAAAAAAACAGCAAGTTGTTTGAACTGGCATTTTCAGTTGCTGGGTTGAAAGTGAAAAGCCCAGGTTTGGTGGGAGTGGATCCTAGGGTGACAATCTTGGCAAATGGCTTCAACCACTAGACACCCAACATGCTTGGAGAGAGTCAGCATTTCTCCCATTCCCCAAAAGTGAAGTTGGCTGATAACCCTCTATGTTACCACCTGTACTTTCAGTGATGATAATAAAATGTACTTAATTAGGAAAACCTCGATTTTTTTTTTTTTTTTTTTTGAGATGGAGTCTCACTCAGTCGCCAAGGCTAGAGTGCAGTGATGCAATCTCGGTTCACTGCAACCTCTGCCTCCCAGGTTCAAGCAATTCTCCTGCCTCAGCCTCCCAAGTAGCTGGGATTACAGGCACCCACCACCACACCCAGCTAATTTTTGTATTTTTAGTAGAGATGGGGTTTCATCATGTTGGCCAGGCTGGTCTCAAACTCCTGAGCTCAAGTGATCCTCCCACCTTGGCCTCCCAAAGTGCTGGGATTACAGGCATGAGCTACTGCACCCGGCCAGAAAAACCTCGATTTTGCTCTCCATGTGTTTACCTGTGTCAAAGGTAAAGAAAGCCAGTTAAAGCAGTAAGGATTGACTGAAATCATTAGCTATTGCCAGAGGGAAGAGGCCCAGCTCAACTTCCCTTTGTGCAAAGGTAACTGAGTGGGGATGGGGCTTGAGCAGAGTCCAGGAAGTGGAAATGCATAGAAAGTGGGAAGGGGTTGGTCAGTGTGATCTGGGTTTGTTAATTGGCTCCTATCTAGAGTAGAAACAAACTTCTGTCTGTGATGGGGAGCAGTAAGTTAGAGCAAGGCACCCATCCAGCAAGGAGAGTTTGAATGTTTGCATTTCAGAGAGACAATACAGTTCTGAATGGTAGAAGATATACATCTCAAGGGAGAGAGAAAGGATTTATAATTGCAAACTTTCTAAAGTAACTGCCTTAAGAGAGGGATCAGGGGACTATCTGCCTGTCACCAGGTTTTGGTTGGAACAATTAGTAAATTCTTCAGGCCGCATTCACTTTTCTCGGGCAGGCGCTTTAGCTTTCAGCTCTTAGAACCTATGCTAGCGTTTATGTCTCTTAGTGTGCAAAGGTGGGCGAAATCATGTGTGCTGAGAGTCTGCAGTTTTTATAGGGCCATGGTTGGGCTCTAGTCAAGAAGAGGGCTCAGAGGAGCTTGACAGTTTGGTTAAGGAGAGGGTCTTTGTCACCTGATGGAAACCTCGGATTTCTGTCTGGATGCAGAGCAGAGGGCTGGGATTTAAAGCCTGATGGCTGCTCTGGCCTCTCTGAGATGGATGTTTCTGGGTGGGACAACATTTCTGGGTTTCTGATCTGAGGAGGGAAGCCACTCTTCCTACATCTGCTCTTGGAATATGGATGGTTTTCTCTAACTGTACTGAATGCTTCAGTTGGCATAATTGCAAATCTGTTATTAGGAAGTAGATACCTTGTACATATCTCACTCTGTAATTTTAAAGAGACAAACCTTGTGATTGGAATAACGAGTTCTACAAGCATTCTCTGAAGAAGAGCCTCTTTTTCTAAATTTTGTCCTAGCACCCTGAGGCTTGAGGCCTTGCCCATCGTTGCTGTGCCTTGGCTGGGGCATGGGGAGGAGAACAGGGTAAACTAGGAGGCATGAAGCCATGGGATGCTGAGGCCCCACATCTCTCTGCTGCCATTGACCTGCTACTCTCAGCTGCTCTGAGAGAGAAGACCTTGACCTGCATTAGGCATGCCCTCCTGTCCTTGTGCTGGCTGGCTGTGTCCCCTTTGCATTGATCTCTGTTAGGACCTTGTCACATTGTACTATGATGTTTAGCATCTGTCACTCAGGCTGGAGTGCAATGATGCAATCTCGGCTCACTGCAATCTCCCCCTCCCGGGTTCAAGTGATTCTCATGCCTCAGTCTCCCCAGTAGCTGGGATTACAGGCTCCTGCCACCACACGCGGTTAATTTTTATATTTTTAGTAGAGATGGAGTTTCACCATGTTGGCCAGGCTGGTCTTGAACTCCTGACCTCAGGTGATCTGCCCACCTCAGCCTCTCAAAGTGCTAGGATTACAGGTGTGAGCCACTGTGCCCGGCCTTGCTCATCTTTATACTCTTGGGGTCTAGGCCAGTGGACCAAGTAGGTCAATGTTGCCTGACCGAATTAGTGAATGAAATTGTCTCCTCTCAGTGGACTGCCCTTCTCTCATCTGTAAGTGAAGTGGTCTCTGCCAACAGTAGAATGATCAGCCCTGACATTCTATGATATCCTGCACCACATGGTGCAAGATATTAAGTAGTTCCTGTCTAGGTCTTCAGAGGGCATCAGCAATTTAGACCCTTTCTGTATCCTTTAGTTTCTTAAACATAAATGCTAACAACTAATTATAAATAGAGGAAAACTAAATCAAGTTAAAAGAATACATTTTTAAAGCGACATTATAACTTTTTATTTTTTTTTCTTAAATAATGAGAACTTTTTAAGATTAGTTTTCTGCAAAACTTTAAATGTTAGTTTTAAAATATGTTTTGTTATACTGGGTACTTCTTAAATACTCTACTTCTCTGGTATGGATTATTTGTCCTTTGAAATGTTTGTTCAGGTTCGAGACCAGCCTGGGCAACATAGTGAGACCCTGTTTTTACAAAAAAATACAAAAGTTAGCTGGGTGTGGTGGCACACGTGCCTGTAGTCCCAGCTACTAGGGAGGCTGAGGTGGGAGGATCACTTGAGCCCGGGAGGTTGAGGCTGCAGTGAGCTGAGATTGCACCACTGCACTCCAGGCTGGGTGACAGAGAGAGACCATGTCTCAAAAGAAAAAGAAAAAGAAAAAGAAAAATGTTTGTTCTGTCTTAAGACTTCTAAATAGGTTAAAGGCCAGGAAAACAATAAATGTAAAGTAATCTTATGGTTTGTTTATTCATCTCTTCAGACTCCACACTCATGAATTAATATTACAGATAAATGCTCCTATGTCCGTCTGGTAAGCAAGTGATAGCTTTTGAGCCTCAGCTTCTACATAATACATCTGGGTTATTTATAAATTGAATTTGTCACACACAAATGATGTTTCATGAGAAAGAAGATTCAATGATTTGTAAATCTCTCCTTTCTATCCCCACAGCCACTGCCCAGACACTTTACTTCAAATTTGGCTTTATTTTCATCATTGATATTGATTAAAATGACATTCACTTGCCCGGAAAGTAAAAGAGGTCTTCAGCACAAAATATTGCTCCAACAAGCAAGCATAAATCACTGAGATTGAAATGTCATCTATCTTTATTGGCCAACCACATAATCTCCATGAAAATTCTCAACAGAGAGCAAGGAACTCACTTTCTTCTAAGCAAAGACAATTTGGATTTGCCTCGTGGCACTGGCATCTCTTCATGTCTGGACGTCAGATGTTAGCTTGGTGCCTTTCTCCCTTATCAGGGGGACATTTTGAACCCAGCCGCACCAATGTTCTCATGGATGGTGGCCTTCGATTCTTCTAGATTCAAGATTTGGCTCTTGTACTTTTCCTGCCAGTCCTCTACAATGTACTGGTGGTAGGGGTCATTGGAGTGTTCCCGTCTCTTGGATTTCACAGTGCTCACCAGGATGGCCACGATGATGAAAGAGAACATTCCAATCATCACCATGAGGTACAG
Source organism: Homo sapiens (assembly GCF_000001405.40). Lineage (NCBI taxonomy): Eukaryota > Metazoa > Chordata > Mammalia > Primates > Hominidae > Homo > Homo sapiens. The sequence goes on along the minus strand of NC_000021.9, from coordinate 34,370,628 downwards.
GATGACATAGTAGAAGTTCTCAGCATCAACTTTGGCTTGGAGGGCCTCTTGCTCAGCTGTTGTGTTCTGGCGCCAATTGTCCATATAAGTAATAAAAATCCTTCGGAAGACGTCTTCCAGCGTCTGTGTGAAATTGGATAAAGTAGACATGCTTCCCTCCTGCTGCAATTTAAATAATAAAATAGGCGAACAAGGTTAGGAAAACGGATCTTTTCTGGATTTGGCTATGTAAAGGTGGGAGGGAGATGCCAGGGTATAAGTAATAGTATTTCTTCTTAACCTGGCTGGTGATTTAATGCATATTTTGTTAGTCTTTAAACTGACTGCGTACATTTTATTCACTTTTTTTACAATCCATGATTGTTACACAGTAAAAATTTAAATGGCAGAGAAAATTATATATATACACTTTGATATTTATATATGCATGTAAATAAATGTATGTGTACATATGAAAATGGAGAAAATATTAGAAGTACATAGATCAGAATGTTAACAGTGGGTGGTGTGCTTAAAGATATGTATTTTCTTCTTTATGCTTTTCTCATATTCCAAATTTTCATCAGCAGTCTTGCATTACTTTTGTTTTTTAAAAAATTGGTAACCTTACAAGAGCTAGAATAATGCCACATTCATAACAAGCACTCAACAAACGTCAGTGGAATGGACCAATGACTCATTTATGTTCTCTGTTTTTAGAGAATTGTGGGGCATTATGAGATAACATCAAGAGAAAAGATTGCAGGGGGCATTGACAGACTCTCCAATTTGTTCCATCCCCTATGTCTAAGTGGCACATTGTCCCAAGTATCCTAAAGGGAGGGGTGTGTACATCTATATTTGAAAGAAGCATTTTAGGTAAGTGATGCCAAGAAACAATCTGAGAGATTATTCCTATGTTTCAAATCCATCTCTCCTTTTCATCACCACTGGCACCGCCCAGCCTCCAGCATCTCTCACCTGGATAATACAATGCCAACAATGTAATACAACACAACCCTCCCCAGAGCCATCTCTTTGGGGTTATATGTGCCCCTCTCTGCCTTGAATAGCCATCAATGTGCCCTTTTTTTTTTCTTAAGACGGAATCTTGCTCTGTCGTCCAGGCTGGAGTGGGGTGGCACGATCTCTGCTCACTGAAACCTCCGCCTCCCCAGTTCAAGCAATTCTCATGCCTCAGCCTCCCAAGTAGCTGGGATTACAGGCACATGTCACCACGCCTGGCTAACTTTTGTATTTTTGGTAGAGACGGGGTTTCAACACATTGGCCAGGCTGGTCTCGAACTCCTGACTTCAGGTGATCCACCCGCCTCAGCCTCCCAAAGTGCTGGGATTACATGTGTCAGCCACCGTGCACAGCCAATGTGCCTTTTTGAAGAGGGAAATTATAGTGCAATTTGTTTGCTTTTAAAATGATGCGATGGTTGTTCTTAAAATCAAGTCCTAATTCCTTAACAGTATTTACCCCATTGGCTGAGCAGGCTCCTGACCACCTCCTCAGTTACCCTTTGCTCACTACAGTTCGGTCACACCTGACATCTTCCCTCCCTGTCAGTAAGCTCTCTTTCCTCGGGACATTATCACATCCTATTCTCTCAACCTAGAATGCCTTTGCCTTTCTCTTCCACCTGCTACCTCCTCGTTCTTTAGGTTCCAGCTAGTTGTCACTTCTGAGACTTCCCTGGTTCTACTCTAAATCACTTCCCACCACCACCACCATTTTCCTCCAACAGCATCTCCTTTTTCTTCAAAAGCACACATCACATATGCAGTCACTAAATGTGTGTGTATATATTCATATTACTTTTGTTTAAAAAAAATTGGTAACCTCACACCAGCTAGAATAATGCCATATTTATAACAAGCACTCAACAAATGTCAGTTAAATGGAGCAATGACTCATTTATATTCTGTTTTCAGAGAATTATATACGTGTGCTTTTTTATACATCTCTGTTTTTAGAGAATTGTGGGGCTTTAGACATAACATCAAGGCAAACGATTGCAAGGCAAAAATTTTTTGTTTTTTTGAGACGGAGTCTCGCTCTGTCACCCAGGCTGGAGTGCAGTGGCGCGATCTTGGCTCACTGCAACCTCTGCCTCCCAGGTTCAAGTGATTCTCCTGTCTCAGCCTCCCAAGTAGCTGGGACTACAGGCAACCGCCACTACGCCTGGCTAATGTTTTGTATTTTTAGTAGAGACGGGGTTTCGCCATGTTAGCCAGGATGGTCTCGATCTCGTGACCTCGTGATCCACCTGCCTCGGCCTCCCAAAGTGCTGAGATTACAGGTGTGAGCCACCGCTCCCGGCCAAGATTTTTTAATACATACATACATACATATATATAACATACATATATATAACATACATATATATATATATATATATATATATATATATTGTGTGTGTGTGTGTGTGTGTGTGTGTGTGTGATTATTGGTTTAGGGGCTCATCTTTTCCACTCGGCTGTCATGTCTGCCAACTTTGTCTAGCTCGGTATAGCAGATGTCTAACACATAGAAGGCACTCAATGGACATTTGATGCATGAATTAAAGTGCCAGGTACTATGCTAGGCGATGAAACTGCAGAGGTGACAGGAACTCTGTGAGAGGCTCAGTTGAATGGGAGAGACCAAATCAATGACAATGCAACGTGCAAAGAGTTGCAACAGGTATGGACAAAAAGATAAGGGGGCTCAGAAAATGGAGCTGAACACGGTTCATAGATGGGGCAAGTGGGTTTCAACACAGCTAGAAGGAGCACAGGCAGGAGGTAAACCTGTGACTAGCCACTAGTAAAAGCCCCAGGATCCCAGCAGTGGGTTTGCCTGCTGCCGTTCTAAAGACATGCCCGTCTCTTTAGCATGTGACTTTTCTTTCCTTCATGAAAAGAGAATCAGATCTCCCCATCTGGGAAAGGAATTTCAATCAGCTGAATAATCAAACCTACTAAACAAATAAACTTGCAGGCATTCTCCCACAGAACATCCCTCCCCAGGATTTTCCTCATTGAGAATTACCATCACCAAGATAATATACTCTTCTCTGTCTGATGTTTTAAGTTCTATTATTTAGAGAGCTCTAAGATCTTTGTCTCCCTCTCCTGGCCACACAGGCTAGTGGGTTGGAAGGAAACTTAACAAATAGATAAGATTGCCCCAGGGTATATACCAAGCATATTTCCTAAGCAATGTAACAGAGATGTGCTTTTTCCCCTTTAAAATGATATAGTCTGCTGTGAAAGTTAGCTGAGCTGGCTTTAATCCACTCAAGACTTTGCCACTGGCTCTTTTACCCTTTTATTTTCATTTTATTTTTTATTAACTCTTTTTTAAAATAAAAAAGTAGTGATGAGGTCTCACTATGTTGTTAAACTCCTAGGCTCAAGTGATCCCCCTGCTTCAGCCTCCCAAGGTGCTGGGATTACAGGTTTGAGCCACCATGCCAGACTTTTTTTTTTTTTTTTTTTTGAGATGGGGTCTGGCTCTGTGAGTATAGTCTTTTTCTCTTGTAGGAAGCCCAGCCGGTTGTTACCAATCCATAGTACTTTCCCTGACCTCCCCAGGTCTAGGCAGAGACCCTTTTTCTGCCCCTTCTGCAAATGACCATGTTAGTTTTGTTTTTTTCCTTTTTTTTTTTTTTTTTTTTTTTTTTTGAGATGGAGTCTCTTTTGCCCAGGCTGGAGTGCAGTGGCGCGATCTCGGCTTACTGCAAGCTCTGCCTCCCGGGTTTACGCCATTCTCCTGCCTCAGCCTCCTGAGTAGCTGGGTCTACAGGCACCCGCCACGAAGCCCGGCTAATTTTTTGTATTTTTAGTACAGACGGGGTTTCACCATGTTAGCCAGGATGGTCTCGATCTCCTGACCTCGTGATCCGCCCACCTTGGCCTCCCAAAGTGCTGGGATTACAGGCGTGAGCCACCGTGCCCGGCCTTGTTTTCGTTTTTGAATTACCCATGTATTGTGTGCTTATTCATGTGATCCTCAAAACCACTCTATAAACTCCTACCTTCAGGATGTTTAGTGAGATTCAGTAACTGAGTCCCGATGACAGGAGAGCTTGAGCCCCCGGAAGGCAGGGATTGCTTTACTCATCTCTGAATCCCGGGACCCTACACAGCGATGGGTACGTAGCAAATCTTTACTAAAAATCTGTTGAATGAAGGTGTGAATGAATGACAGTTCCTCTGTGGAATTCAACTGGAAACTACCAGAACAGTGATTCTTAATTTATTCTTAAGGGGTGTGGGAATTGGGGGTGGGGGAGGGGCGGTGTTAAAGATCCCTCGAAAAGTAAAATAAAATGATGTGACTTAATTTTTCCCCAAGAAAGTATACCTATGCACGTAGGAAGCTCTACATTCAATTTCAGGGGACTCCTGGGACCCCTAAGGCCCATCCAAGAGTCTCTGCCACAAAAGGTCTTTGAGATGAGGGACTTCAGTGCTGAATTCCACTGGAGTCATTTGGGTTTGTTTCCAGGTGCAGGCATGGCAGCGTTCACCAGCCTTTTAGAGCTAAGCAGCCCCAACTGCCCATTATTTGTTCAACCCTTCTAATGTGAACAAAGGCCCCACTGCTAAGCCGGTCAGGAGGTGCTTTTTGATAAGACTTAATCACAGGGATGAAAGGGCCTATAGGGATTAAATGTCTAAGTGCTCACCCGTGGCCAGGCCAAATAAACAGGATCCAAAAGGGATTTGGCTTTTGAATACGGATGCATGAGATGTGGCCGAGTGGCCCATGCCTGCTCCATGACCACAGGAAAAAAACAAATCACAGTGTGTGAAAGCAGCTTCGTTGAAGGACATTATGCTAAGACATTCCAATTATAAGTGGGTTGATTTCAATTTTTTATTCCCAGAATTACTGTTTAACTGACTGATAGACATCAACCATATTTGGAGGCCAGGCACAGTGGTTCACACCTGTAATCCCAGCACTTCGGGAGGCCGAGGTGGGAGGATCGCTTGAACCCAGGAGTTCGAGATCAGCCTGGACAACATAGCGAGACACCACCTCTACAAAACATAAAAAAATAGCTGGATGTGATGGCACACTCCTATAGTCCCAGCTACTCAGGAGGCTGAGGTGGGAGGATAGCTTGAACCTGGGAGGTCAAGGCTGCAGTAAGCCATGATCACACCACTGCACTCAGCAGTGACAGTGAGACCCTGTCTCAAAAATCAAATCGAAACAAACCATATTTGGTATACATACTTATCCTACCCCTAAGTAGAATATCATAATAGGCATTTACTTTAGTAATGCTAAGACAACTACCATTTATGTTCTCTGGAATTATATGAAATAGCCATTTATATAGGTTAGAAATGGTCAAATATGGGCAATTCATGTGTATCAACCTAGGAGGACCTACATTTCCAGTGAATGCTTCTTGCTGAGTCCTAGCACAGGCTGGGCCCCTGGAGATCATTTAGGCTGGTTTGCTCTCTGATAGGTGGAATAACTATAGCCTAGAGGGCTTAAGTCACCTGTCCAAGATCACAAGCCTCTCAAGTTGGCCACAGTGCCTGGACTAGAACTCACATCACCCAAGCCAGTGTCCAGCACTGACTGTCCTAGCAGAGGTCACACATTCCAATAACTCACTGTTTTCATTGCTGTGACCAGTTGGCTCAACTGGGTACAAGACATAAGATCAAGACCATGATTTGAGCTTACACATGTCATTAGTTGTGCCCTGTCTCCAGGCTACAGAATGATCCCCTAATTCCAGCCATTCCTGTCATGAATGTGTGTTATTCATGACAACAGCAATCAGGACACTATTAGGAAAGTAACACTCATTTGACCCCAAAGTCCAGAGTTTTCTTTTCTTTCTTTTTTTTTTTTTTGAGATGGAGTCTCACTCTGTCGCCCAGGCTGGAGTGCAGTGGCGTGATCTCGGCTCACTGCAAGCTCCACCTCCCGGGTTCATGCCGTTCTCCTGCCTCAGCTTCCTGAGTAGCTGGGACTACAGGCGCCAGCCACCACGCCAGGCTAATTTTTTTTGTATTTTTAGTAGAGATGGGGTTTCACTATGTTGGCCAGGCTGGTCTCGATCTCCTGACCTCAGGTGATCCGCCTGCCTCAGCCTCTCAAAGTGCTGGGATTACAGGCGTGAGCCACCGCGCCCAGCCCCAAAGTTTTCTTTTCTTGAAACATGGTAGATCGCTCACATCACCTGGGCCTATAAAAGGCAGCAAAGTCTTTCATTTTTATATCAAGAAGAGAAAACAATATGATTACCTACGTTTACCATGAATCCTCCATTTTAAAAACTCTCAAAATTTTCATTCTAAGGCAATTAACAAAGAAATGAGTAAGGAAAACACAAGAAGGAAAGAAGGAAGAGTGGATGAGGAGCCAGGCCATGTACCAGGAAAATCATTCCTTTTATCATTTTCTGGAAAAGGCACATAGATAACTTTGTTACTTAATTCCTCAAAAAATAAAGAATGTGTGCTAAGACTTACCTATGCAGTGTGTGGGCAGGATGAAATTCCTTTCCAAAGCCAGGCTGTTCTGAACCTTCTTGCTGGCGTTAGCGAGCTCTCTTCTGGGTTGCACACAAGCCTCAGCCTGCTGGGCACCTTCACCTTACAACCATCTAAGCCCTTGCAACTGCAGTCTGCAATCCTATGCTTTTATGAACCCACATGTTTAATCTAATCGTATGTGGAAAGTTAAATACTAACTGGCAGTTGGAATTCACCTTGGTGCCTGATGGGGTGTGTGCCTCAGGGACTCTGGCTTTGGGCAGAGTGGCACAAGTTCCTGCTCTGGGACCCTTCCTGCCAGCTCCAGCCAGGGCAGGGCCTGGGTACAGTGAACATCTTTCCCCAGAAGAAGTCTTCCTCTTAGGGTAGGCTTGGGGGACAACAGCATTCCCTGCCAGAATACGTGGGAAGGGCTGGGTGGGGTGGCTCACGCCTGTAATCCCAGCACTTTGGGAGGCTGAGGCGGGCAGATCACCTGAGATCAGGAGTTCAAGACCAGCCTTGCCAACATGGTGAAACCCCGTCTCTACTTAAAAATGTAAAAATTAGCCAGGTGTGGTGGCACACACCTGTAGTCCCTGCTACTCTGGAGGCTGAGGCAGGAGAATCACTTGAATCCACAAGGCAGAAGTTACAGTGAGCTGAAATCATACCACGGCACTCCAGGCTGGGTGACAGAGTGAGACTCTGTCTCAATGAAAGAAGAAAGAAGAAGAGGAAGAGGAAGAGGAAGAAGGAAGAAGAAGGAAGAAGAAGGAAGAAGAAGGAAGAAGAAGGAAGAAGAAAGAAGAAGAAAGAAGAAGAAGACGATGTGGGAAGGACAGGGCCCCAGGGAGAGGAGCCAAGAACAGCCATCTCTGGGTGGTTGGTATGGGTTGAGGGGGTCAGTATAATTCCAGGCAAGTGCCGTGTTCTGAAGACGCTAAATAAGCTAGATTCTGGTAAATACTCCTCCACGGGACCACATCCAAATGAGTTTATAACAACATTGTTGTCTTGTAAAAGAGAAACGGGCTGCAAGGGTACTAAGGTACTACATGGAGGAGCTGGAAGTTAAGTCCAACAAAGAGGTTTTGAGGTTTTTGTTTGTTGTTGTTGTTTTGAAACAGAGTCTTACTCTGTCACCCAGGCTGGAGTGCAGTGGCGCAATCATAGCTCACTACAGCTTTGAACTCTTGGGCTTGAGGGATCCTCCTGCCTCAGCCTCCCAAGTAATGGGACTACAAGTGTGTACAAAGCCTGGTTAATTTTTATTTTTATTTTTGTAGAAATAGGGTCTTGCTGTGTTGCCCAGGCTGGTCTCAAACTCTTGGCCGCAAAGGATCCTCCAGCCTCAGTCTCCTAAGGCGGTGGGATTACAGGTGTGAGCCATGGTGCCTGGCCCCCAGCAAAGTATTTAAAGACCTAGCAAGAGCTAAACATACTCTATTTACCAAAAGATCCTTTTCTATCATGGTGGGGACCCTTGGAATTGGGAGAACTGAGTCTTTATATTGGCTATCATTTAGGAGTGCTTACCATGTGCTTTTATCGTATTAACCTCAGGTAATCATTGCCACAACCTGATGTGGAAGGTACTGTGAACTTAGCCAAGGGAATCAGGGCACAAGAGGTCTGATGACATGGAGGTGGAGCCATTTGGATTTGAATCCAATTTAAATGGCAGCCACGGAAGTTACACTCACTCACTCAAAATCACTTCAAGGTCATGTGGGTGGTCATTACTCTGTAACTTGTCTCATGGTTTTGTAAAAGGAAGGTTCACTTTGTTTTAAAATTGGAGTTTCACATTAAATGGTGCTCTGAACCATGTGGCTTGAAGCACACTGGGTGGCAAGAGGAAGATAGCTAAGATTTAACATGATCTACAAATTATTGCAGAGTTAACGTTATTAGGTGTATTTTAAAGAAATACGAGGATCTCTGTAACTCCGCAAAAGCTTCTCATTAACACCATTTGTCCTCATGGGTTGTCTTCACTGAACAAGATAGGCAAACTCAGCCAGGAGGAACACTTTGGTGGTGTAACTGTGTTCACCATGCCTCTGCAGAAATGGAAGCAAAACGTTCAAGTAAGAATTCCGCTAGGAGACGGTGCCACCTGCTGGTGGGAACAGGGAACTGAGGCCAATCTTCTAACTCAGCCCTTGCGGTTTAACTTCACTCTTGAATTCTGGCGCCGAGGAGAGGGGAATCAAAGCAGCGTGTTGTGCTTTGGTAATTAAAGGCAGAACTGGACGGCGATGTGTCATGGAGGCTGGCAAACCAGGTGAGCAAATTACTTACTGTCCCTGGTCTTTGGATTCTTCGTCTGTAAGATAGAGATAAGAGTTCCTGCTCATTTGGCTTGTTATAAAAGTTAAATGTGATCACAGATATATACAGCACTTAGCACAGAACCTGGCACGAGGTAGGATAGTAAAATCTATAAATTGAAATGCAGCAAAATTCATTTCTTGTTTTAATAAAAGCAAATGTAGAATGTTTTACCCATTCAATGAAAAACTAGGTGGGAAAAAACACTTTAAGAAAAAACTTTTAAACAGAAATCACCAGCCGGACATGGTGGCTCACGCCTGTAATCCCAGAACTTTGGGAGGCCGAGGCGGGTGGATCACCTGAACTCAGCAGTTCGGGACCAGCCTGGCCAAAATGGTGAAACCCAGTCTCTACTAAAAATACAAAAATTAGCCAGGCGTGGTGGCACACGTCCGTAATCCCAGCTACTTGGGAGGCTGAGGCAGGAGAATCGCTTGAACCGGGGAGGCGAAGGTTGCATTGAGCCGAGATGGTGCCACTGCACTCCAGCCTGGCCGACAGAGCGAGACTCTGTCTTAAACAAACAAACAAAACCCAGAAATCACCAAATAAGGTGGTAGAAAGATATCTGCTGTGGCATAAATGTTTGTGTCCCCCCAAAATTCATATAGTGAAATTCTAACTCCCCATGTGATATTACTAAAAGGTAGGGCTTTTGGGAGGTGGTTAGGCCAAGAGGATGGAGACCCCGTGAATGCGATTAATGCCCTTTTAAAAGAGGCTACAGGGAGGTTGCCTTCCCCTTTCCACCATGTGAGGTCGCAGCTAGAAGGCACGGTCTATGAATCAAAGAGGGAGACCTCACCAGACACCGCATCTGCCAGTGCCTTGGTCTTGGACCTGCCAGCCTCCAAACTATGAGCAATAACTTTTTGTTATTTATAAGTCATCCAGTTTATAATTTTTACTATAACTGCCCCAATGACTAAGATAATATCTGAATATATCTATAATCACAATATCCTTTAAAATAAGTACCTATTAAAAGAAGTATTATTAAACTGAATAACAAAATAAAATCTAGCTATATGCTTCTTAAAAGATAAACATCTAGGCTGGGGCTGGTGGCTCACACCTGTAATCCCAGCACTTCGGGAGGGCGAGACGGGCGGATCACTTGAACCCAAGAGTTCGAGACCACCCTGGCCAACATGGCGAAACCTCATCTCTACTAAAAATATAAAAATCAGCCAGGCATGGTGGCATATGCCTGTAATCCCAGCTACTTGGGAGGCTGAGGCATAAGAATCACTTGAACCTGGGAGGCAGAGGTTGCAGTGAGCCAAGATCACGCTGCTACACTCCAGCCTGGGTGAAACAGCAAGACTCTGTCTCAAAAAATAAAATACAAAATAAAGATGCACATCTAAAATAAAAACAAATAAAAAGTTGAAAATAAGGTGATGAAAAAACATATCAAGCTAAGGCTAAAATGCAGACATCTAAGAAAAACTGAAATTTCAGGTGATCCATAGGATATTAAATGTCACTACAATTTGATAAAAGAAACAACCTGCGAAGAAGATAGTAAAATCATGGGCTTGTATATGGACTCAAAATATTCAAAGTGAAACAGGCAGATTTACAAGAAATTGAGGCATGCACAATGGTAGGAATTAGGTTTCAGAAACTGATAGATTTTTTTAAAAAGTAAACATATAGAATTGAGTAATAGAATTAATTACCTTTATAAAATAGATGGAGAGAACCCACACCTAACCAACAAATGATGTGCATTCTTTATAAGTGTCCATAAAACGGTTTTAAAAACTCACCATGTGCTGGGTCACAAAAGAAGTCCAACCAAATTTTTAAATATCAGCTTTATGTAGACTGGGTTCCATTACTACAATGCAGTTGAATTATAAATCAGCAAAAATATAGTCTGTACACCTTGATATATCTGAAAACCAAAAAATAAGTATATCATCACGTAACATATGGATAAAGAGGAAAACACATAAATAATAAGATATTAAATTACAAAGGAACTGCCATATATTTGAAAACTTCTGGGATGCAGACAATGTGAACCTTAGAGGCAAATTTATACAGTAAATGAATTCACTAAAAGGAAAAGAGGCTGGGCATGGTGGCTTATACCTGTAATCCCACTGCTTTGGGAGGCTGAGGCAGGAGGATCACTTGAGGCCAGGAGTTTGAGAACAGCTTGGGTGACATAGTGAGACACTGAGACTCTATCTCTATAAAAAAGAAATTGTTTAAAATTATCTGGGAATGGTGGTGCATAGCTGTAGCCCTAGCTACTCAGGAGGCTGAGGTGGGAAGAGGCTTGAGCCCAGGAGTTCTAGGTTAGACTGAGCTATTATGGTGCCACTGCACTCCAGTCTGGGTGATAGAGTGAAACCCTGTCTCTAAAAAATAAAAATAAATAAAAGGAAAATAATAGGAACTCATTAAACTCAAAAAGCAAAAGAACCAAAAAATAAACTAAAAATGTAGAATAAATGAAACTTTAGAACAAAAACAGAAAGGAACAAAAGAGAAAACAAATAAAAATAGAATCAACTAAATAAAAAGTCACTCTGGAAATACAATTTGAAGTTTTGGATGAAATATATAATTTGCCAGAAAAATATAAATTTCCAGAGTCAGCCCAAGAATAAATAGAATCTCCGCAGAAATCTATTTTTTAAATGTATCAATTTAGTGGATGGATTTACCAGCAGCATAGGCAAAGCTGAAGAGAGGATTAGTGAATTAGAAATCTAGTCAGCAGAAAATATCTACAGTGAAGCACAGAACAAAATAATAGGATACACCCAAGAAAGTATGAGAGATACAGGAAAAAGGACTAACAGAAGTACAGTTGGAGTCCCAGAAAGAGAGGAGAAAGTGGCTGAAGCTGAAGCAATATTTGAAGAAATAGTGAATGAGATTTTTTCCAAAACTGCTTTTTAAAAAAATCAAGCCATGAGTTCAAGAACTAAAAAGCTCAAAGAGAATTATTTCAAAGAAAGTCACACCTTTGCATAAAATGCTTAAAATCAAAAGCAATGAGAAAATCTTAAAAGCAGATGGAGGAAACAAAGACTGAAACACATGGATCATAAAAGGAAAATATTGATATATTGGGCCTCATCATTATTAAAGTCTTTTACTCCTTGAAGAACATAATTAAGAAAATAAAAAGGCAAGTAATATACTGAAAAAAATAACCACCATGAATTTGTATCTAGAATATACAACAGATTTGCATCTAGAATACATAAAGAACTCATCATTTGAAAAAAAATTGACTCAATAATAATGGACAGTAGGTTTATGCAGACACTACCAAAAAATATATACAATAAGCACATAAATGCTCAACGTCATTGGAAATATAACTTGTAATTACAATGAGATACCACTACGCACTCACCAGAATGACTACTTTTTTTTTTTTTTTGAGATGGAATCTCTCACTGTCCCCCAGACTGAAGTGCAGTGGTGAGATCTCGGCTCACTGCAACCTCCCTGTCCAGGGTTCAAGTGATTCTCCTGCCTCAACAAGAGTAGCTGGAATTACAGTGCACACCACCATACCCAGCTAATTTTTGTATTTTTAGTAGAGACGGGGTTTTGCCATGTTGGCCAGGCTCATCTCAAACTCCTGACCTCAGGGTGATCTGCCCACCTCAGCCTTCCAAAGTGCTGGGATTACAGGCATGAGCCGCCATACCTGGCCAGAATGGCTACATTTAAAAAGACTGACAACACCAAGTGTTGGTGAGGATGTGGGCTAAGTGGATTTTCATACATTGCCTTAGGAATGTAAAATGATACAGCCACTTGTAAACAGTTTGGTAACTAGATCAAAAGTTCCCAACAATGCCCCTTCTAGGTATTTACCTAGAGAAATTTTCAAAATATGCCACACAAAAACTCATGAATGTTTATAGCAGCTTTATTCAAAATAGCTAAAAACTGGAAATAAGCCAAATATCCCTCAACAGATAAGTGGGTAAACAAATTGTGTTTTATTCACACAATGAAATATTGCTCAACAATAAAAAAGAACAAATAAATGATACATGCACCAACAGGGATGAATCCCACAAAGATTATATGAGCAAAAGAAGTCAGACACAAAGAAGTTGTACTGTTTGATTCCATTTCTAGAAATTCCAGAAAGACAAAAGCCATCCCTCGTGACAGAAAGCAGATTAGTAGTTTTCTATGACCAGATGAGGGGAAGATTGACTGCAAAGGATTAAGAGACAATTTTGGAGGGTGATAGAATTGTTCTATATCTTGGTTGTTGTAGGTGGTTACCTGAGTAAAACTCATTGAACCATGCACTTAAAATGGGTGTGTATAATTTTATGTAAACTATACCACAATAAAGTTGATTTCTTTAAAATCCATGTATTTGTAGGGGACTTGCAAATGTGTATCTCCAGTCCAGTCCTCTTCTCTGAATTTCAGAATCAAATGTCAAGATGCTCACTTGACATTTTCACTCAGATGTCTAATAGGCATCTCAACCTCAGATGTCCAAACATAACTCAATTCTCCTACCAAACCTACTCCTATCCTATCACAGTAAAGTGACTCCACTTTCTTTCTAGTTGTGTAAGCCAAAAAACCAAAGAATTAACTTAGATTTCTTTTTTTTTTTTTTTTTTTTGGTCACCCTGCCACACCCCCAATTCACTAGCAAATACTGTTGACTCTGCATCCTGTTAAAGAAAAGACTCTGCACAGGTTGAACGTGGGTGTATGAGTTTGTGCTGGGTGACATCGAACCCACCAGACCCTTAATACCCCATCTCAACTTCTTTGAAAACTGTGCCTGGGTTTTTGTGCCATAAACTAGTACAATGGCCAATTGCAAAGAAGAGTCACAATCCGTCTCACCAGCCAAACAGACAGCTGTTATCAGAAGCTTGCCTTTTTCATTGTCATTTCTCACTGTTGCCTTAAACCTAGTTCTTTCCATTTTTGCACGAAAAGCCTCTTAGAACTTGTCTCTCTTCCCCTAGCCCCGAAGGTAATAAATTGAAATATGTTTCTTACTGCTCTGTTGGTTTTTTTGTTTTGATTTGACGCTCCAGGCTGGGCACAGTGGCTCCCACCTGTAGTCCCAGCACTTTGGGAGGCTGAGGAGGGTGGATCACCTGAGGTCAGGAGCTCGAGACCAGCCTGGCCAACATGGTGAAACCCCGTTTCTACCAAAAATACAAAAATTAGCCAGGTGTGGTGGCAGGTGCCTGTAATCCCAGCTACTTGGGTGGCTGAGGCAGGAGAATCGCTTGAACCCGGGAGGCAGAGATTGCCGTGAACCGGGATCATGCCGCTGCATTCCAGCCTGGGCCACAGAGCAAGACACCATCTCTAAATAATAATAATTATTATTATAGTAATAATTTGACTCTCCAAACACGTCCCCGCACAGCTACTTCTCAGCTCACACCTGGACTGCTGGCCGCTCACGCCTCTGGCTTTGCACTCTGTCCCTATTCACATATTTCTAAGAGGGACCAGTGGGATCTTTTGGAAACACAAACCACAGCCCGCAATTCCCCTGCTTGAAACTCTCCATTGGGTTCCTTTCACCCTGAAAATAAAACCCGGAATGCTTAGTGCAGCTGGCCAGGCCATGGAAAAACTGGCCGCTGGTCCTTTCTGCGAGCTCATCTTCTCACATAGTCTGATCCTGCTTCTCTGCTTTTTGTTTTGTTTTTGTCTTTGAATCTGTATTAGCTTCCCATTGCTGTTATAACAAATGACCACAAACTTAGTGACTTAAACAACACAAATTTATAATATTATCTTAAAGTTCTGGGGGTCAGAAGTCCAAAGTGGATTTCACTGGGTTAACATCAAGATGGCAGCAGAGCCAGTTTCTTTTGGATGCTCTGGGGGTTGAGGAGGGAGTGTGAATCCATTTCTTTACCTTTTGCAGCTTCCAGAGGCCACCCACATTCTTTGGCTCTTGGCCCTCTCCCTGGCATCCTGGCATCCCTCCAGCCTCTGCTTTTCTTTCTTTTTCTTTCTTTCTCTTTCTTTTTTCTTTCTTTTTCTCTTTCTTTCTTTCTTTCCTTCTTTCTTTCCTTCCTTCCTTCTTTCTTTCTTTCTTTCCTTCTTTCTCTTTCTTCTTTTTTTTTTTCAGAGTCTCATTCTGTCACCCAGGCTGGAGCGCAGCGGCACGATCTTGACTCACGGCAACCTCCGCCTCCTGGGTCCAAGTGATCCTCCTGCCTCAGCCTCCCTAGTAGCTGGAACTACAGATGCCTGCCACCATGCCAGGCTAATTTTTGTATATTTTTAGTAGAGATGGGGTTTCACTATGTTGGCCAGGCTGGTCTCAAATTCGTGACCTCAAATGATCTGTCCGCCTCAACCTCCCAAAGTGCTGGGATTACAGGCATGAGCCACCGCACCCGGCCCAGCCTCTGCTTTTGTGATCACATCTTCTCCCACTCCCTGAGCCCCCTGCCTGCTTCTTATAAGGAGCCTTGTGATTGCATTTGTCCCATCTGGATAATCCAAGATCATCTTCCCATCTCAAGATCCTTAACTTAATAATCACACCTGCAAAGTCCATTTTACCAGGTAAGGTAACATATTCACAGCTTCCAGAGATTAGGACAGGGACCTCTTCATGGTGCAATTATACGGACTGCCTCAGCATCTTTGCATACGCTGCTCTCTCTGCCTCTAATGCTTTTCCCCCAATCTTGGCACAGCTTCTTCCTTCTTCACATTTCCCTGATAGCACTTTGTATTATCTGAATTGTGTGGGGATGCCATGTACTGTTGCCCAGGCAAGGCAGGGCTTAACCCGGGGGCAGCTGTCACTTAGTCTACAGTGTGAATGGTGCCTGTGCATAGTCTCACAGCTGTGCGTGGCTTCTTTGAATTATGAAGTTTTCCTGTTTTATTGATTGTTTTTTTCTTTCCTGTCTCTAACAGAACTTGAGCTCCATGACAACAGGGACCTTACCTGTATTGCCCATTCTGTGTCTGGCTGGAAAAAAGCTCTCACTGTATCCCAAAAGAATGGTGATAATTCTAGATTCTGGCTGTGATGAAATCAACCACCTCATCTATTTACAAGGTACTAAGATTATCATTCCGATGAAAAAGACTCTGGAAAAGAAAGTTTTCACCTTTTCAAAACCATTAACAATACATGACGTTTCTAATTGAGCTCACAGAGTAGGAAGCTTTCCTTGATGCTATTAATGTGAGCACAATGGTTTTGTGAAAAGCTGGAAATGGGGGCATTGAGAATCTCTGGTAATTTCATTTAGCTATGCACTGAGCTTCTACTTTCTCTGTGCCTGGTTCAGAATATTAGAAGAGATGGCAATGATTCTGGAGTGGATTACACCATTTGACTGAGGAACTACTGGAATTTTCTTCTTCTCTAAGATACACACAAGCATGACGACTTCCAATGAACAGGCCTCACCAAGAACTCTCCAAACATGTAGGGTTTCTTTAGTTTATCAATGAAACAAGCAACTTGGTAGGATGCTTCTGAAATGCCGCTGCTGTGATAGAGCAAACCAAGTTTTGATAAAGTTGATTCTCTTCTGATGGAGCCTTCCCCCAAGGTGCTTTCCCAGCCTTGCTGGCTTCATGCTTCTGGGATTGAGAAGCTTGTCACCATCATCAACAGGCCTAGTTTGCAACGGAAAGCCAGAGAACGTCTCAGCTTCCTTGTGTTCTGTTTGCCCTGACATTACTGAACTTTAGCAAGACCCAAAGTTAACAAAGACCCCTGTCACAGGCCGAATGGCAGGGTATGTTCTTTGATTTCTGTTAGTGGAAAATGAATGTAACACAGAGATCACATGGGCTGTGAGGCCCCCCTGTAGCCTCCAGCACCCTTTCTTCCTGGAGCATGAATCTGGACGGAAATGGTGCCGTATTAGGTTTGTTTTACAAAGATGATTTTCAAAGAGGAAGAGGATCAAAAGAAACAGAAAAGAACCCCCAGCGTGCAGGCCACAGGTGTGTGGGGGTTAAAACTGGATGGGAAGGAGAGGGGGAAGTCCTGGAACTCAAGGAGGCACAACCGTGGGGGCTTCATTTTCCCCAGGAACTATAAAAGGCCAATGGGCTCTTGTAGGAAAAAAGCAGATCAGCACAGATGGGAGCAGAGAAAGGGCTCTCACAGCAAATTTTGCCGGCTTTCCAGTTTTTCCATAGATCAGACCACTTTTTGGCCTTTGCTTAGAACCATCAAGCTTCCTCCTTAGGCATCCAGCACAGCTCTTTCCATATATGTGGCGGTTTTTTGTTTTGTTTTAATAAAGAAAAATGTTTATAAGCATTGTACACATTGCATACTGGAAATCTGCCAAGAGAGTAGGTTTTAGGTGCTCTTACCACACATACCCCCCCCCAAAACACACACGAACATGGACATGTTAATGGTTGGTGTAATATGTTAACGGTATGTTAATTTGCTTGTCTGTGGTAATCACTCCACATATGTACGTCAGAACATCTTGTTGCATATCTTAAATACAGACAATAAAAAAAGAAAATCTTGGCTGGGCGTGGTGGCTTTTGCCTGTAATCCCAGCATTTTGGGAGGCCAAGGAGGGAGGATCACATGCCAGGAGTTCGAGACCAGACTGGGTTAACATAGTGAGATCCCATCTCTACAAAAAAAAATTTTAAAAAGAAAATCTTTGAAAAGTTAAAAGAGAAATATTGAAGAACAGTGAAAACAGGTGTTATAGAAATCATTTTAGTTCTATATAAAAACTTTTATTTGTTTGTAAATAAAAATATTTGATATTTACATTCCATCGTTATTAAATGTTGTATCTTTTTCTGACAGATATGTATGTATTAGTTCATTTTTACACTGCTATAAAGACATACCTGAGACTGGGTAGTTTATAAAGAAAACAGGCTAAACCTCTTAAACTTTGGCTCATGGTTCTGCAGGCTATACAGGAAGCATGATGCTGGCATCTGCTCAGCTTCTGGGGAGGCCTCAGGAAACTTACAATCATGACAGAGGGCAAAGGGGGAGCCAGCACTTCTCATGACCAGAGCAAAAGGAAGAGAGCTGGGGGCGATGCCACACTTTTAAAGAACCAGATCTCACGAGAGCTCACTTACTATCACGAGAACAGCTCCAAGGGGATGGTGGTGCTAAACCATTCATGAGAAATCTACCCCCATGATCCTCTCACCTCCCACCAGGCCCCACCTCCAACACTGGGGAATTACAATTCGACATGACATTTGCTGGGGACACAGATCCAAACCATAAAGACATATTTTTTGACAACATCTCCTTATTCTCACAGCCTTTCGTTTGGGCAGATTTTGAAGTGGGTTTTCCCTGGAACTTTTGTTTCTGATTCAGAGACAGAAGCCCAGGATGGAGAGTGCTCAGGGCAGGAAAAGCGCCCCCAGCTTCTCCCTGGGAACACCCCCCACCACCATGGAGTCCCACCTCCGCTTTCCCGATGCTCTCAGGTTTGGACTCAATGGGGACGGAAGCCAAAGCCAAGCACCTGCTCCCTTAAGAAATCTTTTCAAAGGATTCCATGTCCTTGAAAATTTAGAACAAACCCATGGTTCCTTGCCTTGTCTTAAAGGAAACTCATCTCCAGGCCTCTCTGGGATTCCAAAGTGGGGTGGCTTTCAGAATTTGCTTCCAATTAGCAACCTCACGGAGATAGCACAGCTTGACTGAGTATTCAGAAAGGGCATGGCCCAGGAGAGCCTGCTGTCTACATCTGGAGAACCCCTGCCAACCACAGTCTCGTTTATTGTCTTTCAAACCTCATTAGGCAGGGTGTTTACCATAGGGTCCTTTTTGCTAGGGCCAGAGAAAGAAAAGTCTAAATCTCAGGCTGTGGTATTCAAAATGGCCACAATGTGTCCCCACTGTGCTGCCGAGTGTGCCTGGTTCATACGCAGCAGTCAAAGTCCAGAAGTGTCACCTCTGCAGTGACAATGAAAACCAGCCTCATGTGCTCTGGGCAGGTGGCGCTCCCTCCGCTGCCTGCAGTGGCTGCCAACAGCCCAGAGAAAGGCTTTGAAATTTGCTTTTCTTTTTTCCTTTTTTTCCCCCAAATTTTAGAGAATGTAGGATACAACCATTTTGTACATTTCTCTCTTTTTAAGTTATTTTTTCAAAGAATTATAGATTCACAGGAAATTGCAAAAATTTTGTGTGTACCCTTCACCCAGTTTCTTCCAATAGTAACATGGGACATAGCTATAGTATAACATCAAAAGTATGAAATTGATGTTGATATAATCCTTGTAGTTACATAGACCACAGACCATATTCACATTTCACCATTTTTACATGCACTCATTTGTGTGTGTGTGTGTGTGTAATTTGATGCAGTTTTTTTTTGAGATGGAGTCTCTCTCTGTTGCCCAGGCTGGAGTGCAGTGGCATAATATCAGATCATGCAACCTCTGCCTCACAGGTTCAAGCAATTCTCTTGCCTCAGCCTCCCAAGTAGCTGAGGTTACAGGTGCCCGCCACCACTCCCAGCTAATTTTTGTATTTTTAGTAGAGATGGAATTTTACCATGTTGGTCAGGCTGGTCTTGAACTCCTGACCTCAGGTGCTCCACCTGCCTCAGCCTCCCAAAGTGCTGGGATTACAGGTGTGAGCCACCATGCCCAGCAATGCAATTTTTTGTGTGTAGCGGGGACAAAGTCTTGCTCTGTCACCCATGCTGGAGTGCAGTGGCATGATCACGGCTCACTGTAACCTCAAACTCCTGGGCTCAAGCAATACTCCTGCCTCAGTCTCCCAAGTAGGTGGGACTACACACATACACCACCACACCCAGCTAATCTTTTGTGATTGTTATTTTTTGTAGAGATGGGATCTTGCTAGGTTGCCCAGGCTGGTCCTCAACTCCTGGTCTCAAGCGATCCTCTCGCCTCGGCTTCCCAAAGTGCTGGGATTATAGGTATGAGCCACCACACCCAGCCTTGATATAATTTAATCTGATGTATAGATTTGGGAAACCACCACCAAAACCAAGGAACAAAATTGCTATATCACCCTTAAGAAACTCCCTAGTGCCACCCCTTAATAGTTGAACCCTTTCTGCAATCCCTAGGCCATGGTAACCACTAAGCAGGTATCCCCTCTATAAATCTGTTATTTTGAGAACGTTAAAGAAATAAGAACAGACAGTAGGCAACCTTTTGAGATCAGCTTTTCCTCACTCTATATAATGCTCTTGACATCCATCCGAGTTGTGTATATCAAGAGCTAGTTTCGTTTTATTGCTGAGTAGTACCCCATCATATGAATATTTAACCATTAAATATCTGTTACTCTGAGTTATTTCCAGCTTTTGCTATCACAAATAGAGATGCTATGAAAGTTCATGTACAGGTTTTGGTGTGAACATACATTTTCATTTCTTTGGGCAATCTCTGGGTTACATAGCAGGTACATGATTAATTTTATAAGAAACTGCCAGATGAGTTTTCAGAGTTGCTAGACCATTTTACATCCCTACCAGTAATGAATGAAGATCCAGCTGCTCCAAATCCTCACCAACAGGGCTGTGCTTTTTGTATTCCTTGGTCATGAACTCTTAGGATTCAAGAATGTTAGAATTAGCCAAGGGTGGTGGTTCACGCCTGTAATCCCAGGATTTCAAGAGGCAGAATTGGGAGGATCACTTGAGCCCAGGTTTGAGACCAGCCTGGGCAATGTAGTGAGACTCCTGACTCTACAAAGAAAAATAAAAATTAGCCAGGTGTGGTGGTGCATGCCTGTGGTCCCAGCAACTCGAGAGGCTGATGGGGGAGAATCACTTGAGCCTAGGAGGTCAAGGCTGCAGCGAGCTGGGCTTGTACCACTGCACTCCAGCCTGGGCAACAGAGCAAGACCCTGTCTCAAAAAAACACAAAACAACTATATGGGGCCTTAAAGATGATCTAGTCCAGCCTATTGATTCTACAGAAAAAGGAACCAAAATTCTATAAGCATCAATTCCTTCTTTAAAAATTCTTAGTATTTAGGCTGGGTGTGGTGGCTGACACCTGTAATCCCAGCACTTTGGGAGGCTGAAGTGGACAGATTGCCTGAGCTCAGAGTTCAAGACCAGCCTGGCCAATATGGTGAAACCCTGTCTCTACTAAAAATACAAAAATTAGCCAGGTATGGTGGTGCACACCTGTAGTCCCAGCTACTGGGGAGGCTGGGGCAGGAGAATCACTTGAACCCAAAAGGCAGAGGTTGCAATGAGCCGAGATGGTGCCACTGCACTCCAACCTGGGCAACAAAGCGAGACTGCGTCTCAAAAACAAAACAAAACAAATTATTAGCATTTTTCACTACCTTCCCTGTTTGCCCAGTCTCAGAAAGAACTGTCTCCTCTTCATAACATCTCTGGAAACTTGTCAAAGGTTGGGCAAGAACTTAGGTCCTTGTTCGAGCCTCTGGGAAAGGTCTTGCCCAGGAAACTTGACCTTGTGCTCTGCTTCCGTTAGAGAGCCCAGGCTCCAGCAGCACTTTCAGATTCTCATGTGTCTCGACTGTTCAAGCAACCCTGCATTATCCACTCTCAGGAAATTACTGGTGGCAGCAAAGTTCAAGTGCAATCTGAACCTACAGCCCACAGCCAGCACTTTCAGGTTCACCCTGCCCATCAGTAACGTCAGCAGCCATTGCTACCAGCTCAGCTACTCCCATTTATTGAGCAACTCCTGAGTGCCAGGCAATGTGCAAGAAACCTTATTTATTTATTTATTTATTTATTTATTTATTTAAAGTAATAGCTTCTTGTAAAAAAAACTTATATTTTAGGTTTGGGGGTACACGTGCAGGGGTTGTTATATAGATAAACTTGTGTCATGGGGGTTTGTTGTAAAGATTATTTTGTCACCCAGGTACTAAGCCTAGTATCCAATAGTTGTCTTTCCTGCTCCCCTCCCTCCTCCCACCATCCACCCTCAAGTAGGCTCCCGTGTCTGTTGTTCCCCTCCTTGTGTCCATCGGTTCTCACCATTTAGCTTCCACTTATAAGTGAGAACACACGGTATCAGGTTTTTGGTCCCTGTGTTAGTTTGCTAAGGATAATGGCCTCCAGCTCCATCCATGTTCCTGCAAAGGACTTGATCTTGTTCTTTTCTGTGGCTGCGTAGTATTTCATGGTGTAAGAAACTTTATATACCATGGCTCTGGTTTTATGCCAACCCTGCAAGGTAGTTACAAAGAACCTCATCTGACAGCTGAGAAAAAAAGGCTACAAAAACTCATACTCTGAATGAAAAGTTTTGGACAAGAGGACCCAGGTTCTTTTGCACAACTCACAATTCAAAAATGCATAAAATATTGCTTTTGGTGATAGAAATGGCCTTTGCTGCCTTTTTTTTTTTTTTTTTTTTTTTTTTTTTTTTTTTTTGAGACAGGGTCTCACTCTATCACCCAGGCTGGAGTGTAGTGTTGCAGTCAGGGCTCACTGCAGCCTTGACCTCCTGGGCTCAACAGATCCTCCCACCTCAGCCTGGCACGCGCCACCACGCCTAATTTTTGTATTTTTTGTAGAGATGGGATGTCGCCATGTTGTCCAGGCTGGTCTCCAACTCCTGGGCTCAAGCGATCCTCCTGCCTCGGCCTCCCAAAGTGCTAGGATTACAGGCGTGAGCCACCGCGCCTGGCCTTCTGCCACTGGCTAAGCTTAAAATGCGCGATGTGTTTCTCTCTTCCTGGGTTCTGTACCTGAAATTTGGGTAGCTGCCGCCAGGTGGCGCCAAATCTGAGCTTTATTAATCCAAGGGACCAGCTACACTTTGCCAGAGCCCTCAACTGATCTGACATCACGGTGCATGCTTCCAGACTAACTATGACATTTCTAGCACAGTAAGCTCTTTATTAAAATAGCAGACATCCTTGCTTCCTTGAAAATCATTAACTATTAACATCTGCACGTCTTTCTAAAAAGGATACACTTTACAGCAACCGGTAAAGAAATACAACATCTAGGTATAACATTAAACTTTTCTTACTAAACATTATTTTAAACCGCTGCTTATTCTAACTTCACCTGTTCTGAACACAGATGCTCTTGGGAAATGGATGTGTTCAGACCCTTACAGCATTTGGAGTGATTAAAAGCCATGCATTTCTTTGCAGTTATCTGTGCAGATGAAGTTAAAATGTATCAGTAGCTTTGTTTAATGCCAGGTTTGTTCGAGAATGTTTTAAGAATGTAAGCCCTTTTGTTTTGATTGTCAATGCCCATTTTCTCATAACTCATTAATTTCCCTCTATTTCTTTCTACATGGGTAGATTATTTTCTTTTTCTTCATTCTCCCATAAAAGGAGAAAAATAACTGCTCATATATGCTTCATGTCCCAGTGACCTCTCATGGTTATTTTTCCTAGTTTGGATAGTTCCTACACAGGAGTTTTCTTCCTCGTTCTCTTTTCTTTGAATTTTAAGTAGGGTGGCCAATTTGCACTAGTTTGCCTGAGAACTTTTCCATCCTGTGTCCTGAGTATCCCATTAGTCCCAGGCAAAGCAGGATGGCTTGTGACCCTAGCTTTCGGTTAGAGCAAAAGTTAGCCTACACTGAATTTAAGATGCAGATTCAACTTCAACCACTGTAACAGGCTTCATTGTCAGTCACAGACCTATTTTTCATTCATTCCTTCAGCAAATCCACTCTGCCATCCCAAATCCATCTCAGTGACTCTTAACAAGTCCATCTTTCATTGCAGGTTTTTTGTTTGTTTGTTTGTCTGATTTTTAAGGTGTAGTCTCGCTCTGTCTCCCAGGCTAGAGTGCAGTGGCGCGATCTCGGCTCACTGCAACCTCCACCTCCTGGATTCAAGTGATTCTCTGTCTCAGCCTCCCGAGTAGCTGGAATTACAGGTGTGAACCACGACGCCCGGCTAATTTTCATATTTTTAATAAAGATGGGGTTTCAGCATGTTAGCCAGGCTGATGGCGAACTCCTGGCCTCAAGTGATCTGCCGGCCTTGGCCTCTCAAAGTTCTGGGATTACACGTGTGAGCCACCATGCCCGGCCTCGCTGCAGTTTTTTGACACCAATGATTTGTGTTAAACATCTTCTCAGGCCCACAGTGCTGAACACAGAATCTAATCTCAATAGATGCTTCATTAATGGTTATTAAATGAAAGGAAAAAGTGGGCACCCCTCTTTTCCTTGGGGCTACTGCTGCCCTCACTCCAGAGCCTTAAAAGCCTCTGCTGCAAGCTCAAGACAGCTCCTGGGGGAAGTAGGAGACCAGTGGAATGTCATGATGTTATGTGGGATCTCAGCTCAGATAGGGACAGCAGTGTCCAAGAGTTTTTAAAATCTACCTCAAACTTCAAAATTCCTTGTTACCCTTCTGGGAATAAAATCTCCCCAAATTTGTTTTCCATGAGGTTTATATTTATATCTATAGAAGCTAGCATTTAGGAGGGATTCATAATTCAGAAGGGTCTTAATTTTGAATCAGACCTCAAAATTGAAGCCGAGGAGGTAGCGGTGACTAGGGTGGGGGGAGAGGAATTTGCCTGAGAGATTGTCCTCTATTCCCAAATAAGTTCTGTCTCTCTTTCCCAGCCAGACTCTCTATAAAAGGGAAAACTGGACAACAGGCAGTGGGAAAGAGAGCACAGCCTGGCAACTTTCTGTGAAACACGTACACCACGCTGTTTACAAATTCCTGTAGCCAGCCCCGGAATCCAAATGTAGACAACTCTGTTTATGTAACGAAAATAGACACTCCTGCCATGTGATTAAGGTGGCTACTGGGAGTTGGGCCCCTGTTAGGAGACATTTGCTGCAGCTGGGGCCGGAGGGGAGGACGGGACATGGGATCCCCCGGGACCTGGGGCAGGTACGAAGCTTTTTAAAGATGAGTTTTCTGGTCCGGAAATCTCCCAGGATAGGCACATCTAAGATGCAGCGGGGGAGCTGACAGAAGTCACAGGCTGGCCCTTTCTTTGCCGCCCATCCCAGAGGATGGCATTCTTCATCAAAGGGGAGATAGTCCAGCAAGCCGCAGCGTCACCCCTCCCAGCAGGGGACAATAAGTGGTCCGAGCCGGCCAGCTCCTTTCTCAGCATGGGGTTTGGAATGAGGCCCCTTCCTGCCCCACCGGAAGACTTCCAGCATATGGTTCCCATCAGCCACCCACTGTCTGGGTCAGTAAGGAGGCTTGAATGTTCCAGGGTCAGGAGATGCACAGCCCAATAAAACATTCCCTCCGAACGCTGATCCTGAACCCACCATTCCCTTCACACCTCTGCACCCCCAGTCTTGTGACTCAGATGGCCTTCATCCAAGAGCCTCATCTTGGAGATGCAGCTCAAATGGCGTTTCCTGTCCAAATGTTCTCCAACCCCTTCCCATCCAGAAGAAGCCATTATTCCCTCCCCTGGGCATTGTGGTCACCCGTCTCTAGGTCAGTCCACTCCACTCATAGTCACCTCCAACCCTGGAGTCAGGGCTTAGGTTTCATGATCTTTCCACCAGCCTTCGCCCTGGTATAGTATTCACCACAGGCAACCCCACTGTTACATGGCTTATCTTTCTGAGTCATTGGAAGGTGATGTCCAGGGGCCAAGTATTCGGTCCAGAAGACAAGAGCAGGAGCTGTGGTGCAGTGGTCAAAACTGGGGACGCTCAAGTTATCCCATCGATTCCCTGCATCCCGAAGAAGGAGGCCAACATTCTTATCCTGGCTTCTGAGGCCAGGCATGGCTGCCTGGCACCCGCCCTAGCTCATGCTACGCTGGGCTTCTCCTAGCTGTCTGCACTCCAGGCCTCTTGGATTTCTCAGTTATTAGAATGATCCCTGTGCCTTGGGGACTTCTACCCTGTCTCCTCTCCTAAGCCTGCCTTCCTGCCCCTTCATTTCTACTTCCTGCTGCATCTACTCACTGTTCAGGTGTCCACTTAAACCCCCCTCCTTAGGGACAACTTCCTGGATAGCATCTCCCCCTCAGTTAGATGAAGCCCCTCCTTTTACGTTTGCACCACATGCCAGGGACTGCTCTGTGTGACTTGTATGCAGAGGACAGGGACAGGGTCTAATCCGGGGAACCCAGCCTCGGCTCTCTGTGCCCCACTATCAGCACTCAACCATTTGCTACTTTCCTGCTTGACTCCTAGAGGACAAGAACTCCATCTTTTCCTCCAGTCTTCCCAGGGCCTAGGAGTGAAAGAACTAATAAATAAACCAATGACTCGACCGAAGAGGCCCTAGAAGAACCCAGCAGGGAGAGCCTTGAGCAACCAGCATTGATGTCACCTTGAGGCAAGACCAAGCTGGAACTCAAAGGTGGCCCACTACAAAAGGGGCTTCCAGGGAACAAAGGGTGACTGTTCTCTCCCCAAACCAGCGGGATCTTGCAAGGCAATTGGGTCAGAGGAGAAAAGGCCACAGAAAAACCCCACAGTTTTAAGCTGAGTGCTGTTTTCTCTTATTCCTTGGAAAAAGTAGAAGTGTTTGTCACTGAGTTCCTCAGGGGCATGCGGGGGGCTGCACATGTAGCAGAGGGAAGGAAACTTCCTGACAGAATCTTCGATCTTAGGCAGACTCAAGGAGAAAGAGGCCCCACTGAAGTCACACTTGGATGCCAAGCTCACGGTGCAAGGGAGGGCACTGTGGCTGCCAGGCCTAGCCCAGCACACACAGAGGGCATTCACAGCGCTGTGGCCACAGCCGGCTCCCACCCGCCCGCCCTGCGCACCCCCGGTAGCAAACAGAACGCTCTGTCTCGGTTCCTGAGTCAAGCCTGCACAGAATTAACTGCAATAATTGGCAGGTGGGCCTCTGGCTTCTGGGTTTTAATTCACCAGGGGCCCATGAAAAAGAAAAACTGGATGTTTTGCAGCAACGGTATTTAGCTTGGGATCCGAGAAGTTTCAGCTTTCCATGTCAAGAAACGAGCTGTGTGGCTGCAGCTGCCCTCAGCCAGCAAGAGCTCCAGAACAGCCTTGGAGAAAGAGGCCCCCTCCTGCCAGTCATTGGTTCCTTCCCAGGGAAAGAGGAGGAAATTGCCCTTTTCTTTGACCTGCTGCCCCTCTTGGGAGCACAAGATAACGGAGAAGAAAGGAAGGAGTCTTTCTGGAAGGATTTATTTTTCTGGATGGAAGGGGGTGATCATCACCTCCAGAGACTATCCAGGCATGATTCCCTTGTAATCATTCCCATGAACACATGTGATAACGGGGATGCTTATCCCAACCCTTAGCTGAGCCACCGTTTTAACACGAGCTGCTGCCGAGGCTGCAGGAGTTAGCCACGGCCACTGCTGCTCCTGCTGTGTGCCCACTGCAGGCATTACTAATCAACAATGGTTATCTTTTCCCCTAAGCCTTAGAATCCTTCTCAACCCTGTGGTCCAGGAAGGCATAGCAAATCGATAGAAGCTGGCATGAGAGCTGAACAGGATTGGCCACTTCAATTTAGTAACTCACAAGAGGCCCAAGTTATAATATATCATCAGAAAGCTTCTGGCTGGGCGCAGGGACTTATGCCTGTAATCCCAGAACTTTGGGAGGCCAAGGCGGGAGGATCACTTGAGGCCAGGAGTTTGAGGCTTCAGTAAGCCATGTGCATCACTGTGCTCCAGCCTGGGTGAGAAAGTAACACCCCGTCTCTTAAAAAAAAAGTTCCTCAAAGATAAGAGTGAAGTGATGCTGCCCTACTTCAGGACTGTGGCTTTGATGCCAGTTACTGCCCAAAGCCGAATCTTCAGGATAGAGTTCAAATGGCGTTTCTACCCCCTCCCCATCTGGAAGCAGCCATTGCTCCCTCCTCTGGTCATTGTGGTCACCCATCTGGGTTCGTCCACTCCACTCACAGTCACCTCTGGCCCCGGAGTCAGGGCTTAGGTTTCTGATGATGACCACTGGACGGGATTTCACTGGAGACCCAGGCACGGTGGCCCAGGGCTGGGACAGCCACTGCCAGGGACTCATCCTTTCTGCTCACCCTAACCCGCCCTTGAAACTTGTCCTTCAATTGGACTTTTTGCCCCCAGTTGGCTACAGCAGGGACAGAGCCAGCCACCACCCCAAAGTCAGTTCTGAGAGGCAGCTGCCCCCTCTGCAGTGGCTTCCTGCCAATGCCTCCTCATCTCTCTGGCTCAGCAGGCTGAGTCTGGGATCTTTATTGTTGGAAGCTAATGGGAAGTGATGGCATGAGAGGACTGCAGCCTCCAGGGGTGGGAAATGGTGAAGAAGTGGCTTCCCTGGGGTCAGGCCCACATTCTCCACAGAGGAGAAGGGCCTACATTCAGGCGCCAGGTAACACCAGCTATTCCTTCATGGACGATGGTCCTTGCAACCTTAGGCGTCCTTCCAACGGGCTTCAGCAGGATGTCTCCTTCTAGACTCCCTTACCCACGCTGTTTTTCCATATGTTAGAGACAAAAGCCGGAAGCAATTATAATAGTGCCGCCCTCTTTTCAGCCCGAGGCCAGGAAGGAGCACCCTGTGCCATCCAAGTTGGGTGCTGTGCCCTGAACTCTAACCTATGGTCCTAAGAAGGAAGGAAACCTTGGCAGCTCCCTCCTTCCCTCCCACCTCGCTGCGTGCTGGGAGAGCTAAGTGCTTGCGTTCCTGAGTCAGACTCTCTGGGATTTGGGCTGTCCCTTGAGCTAAGTCTGTTTCCTCACCTGCAAAATGGGAATAATGATATTATCTCCTGGGATCCCTGTAAGAACCAAAACAAATAGTCCACACAAAATGCCCAGCACACGCTGAACACTTACTGAATGCAGGCTACTCTTAATATGAGGTCAATATTTCAGCGACAGCATCCTCTGTATGGATTTTTTAAAATTGTGGTAGAGTACACACAACTTAACATTTAATTTTTTTTTTTTTTTTTTTAAGATATGGAGTCTCTCTCTGTCGTCCAGGCTGGAGTGCAGTAGCACAATCATAGCTCACTGCAGCCTTCTACTCCTGGGCTCAAGCTATCCTCCCAGCTCAGCCTTCTGAGTAGTTGGAACTACAGGTGTGCACCAACACACACCAAATTTACTATCTTGAAGTGTGCAATTCAGTAGCTTTGAGTATCTTCACAGTGCTATGCAACCATCTGCTATCTAGTCCCAGAAGTTTTTCACCACCCTTTAAGTCATTCCCTATTTCTCCCCTGGCCCTTTCTCCTGGCTACCACTAACCTGCTTTCTGTGTCTGTGGATTTGCCTGTTCGGGACATTTCATATAAATAGAATCATATGTTTTGTGGGCCTTTGCATCTGGTTTCTTTCACTTAGCATAGTGTTTTCAAGATTCCTCCATCTGTAACATACATTGATACTTCACTCCCTTTTATGGTTAAATAATATGTTATTGTATGGATAGGATATACCACGTTTTGTTTATCTATTCATCTGTTGATGGACATTTGGGTTCCTTCCAACTTTTGGCTATTGTGAATGGAGATACTATAAACATTTATGCACATGTTTTTATCTGAACACCTGTTTTGATTGTAGGGGTATACAACCTGGAATTGTTGGCTCACATGGGAATTCTGTGTTTAAATTAGTGGGACACCACCAAACTCTTTTCCATAGTGACCATTTTACTTTCCCACCAGCAATGTTATAAGGGTTCTAATTTTTCCATATCCTCGCCAACACTTATTTTCTCTTCTCTTTTTTTTTTTTTTTTTGAGACAGAGTCTCACTCTGTCGCCCAGTCTGGAGTGTGATGGCATGATCTCAGCTCACTGCAACTTCTGCCTCCTGGGTTTAAGCGATTCTTCTGCCTCGGCCTCCTGAGTAGCTTGGATTACAGGCACCCGCCACCACTCCCAGCTAATTTTTGTATTTTTTAGTAGAGATGGGGTTTCACCATGTTGGCCAGGCTGGTCTTAAACTCCTGACTGCAAGTGATCCACCCACCTTGGCCTCCCGAAGTGCTGGGATTACAGGCGTGAGCCACCGCACCCGGCCATTTTCTCTTTTCTAAAAAAAAAGTTGTGGCCGTCATCGTGGGTGTGAAGTGTTATCATACTGTTGTGGTTTGGATGTGTGTTTCCCTAATGACTAATGACATGGTGCATCTTTTTCATGTGCTTGTTGGCCATTTGTTTATCTTCCTTGGAGAAATGTCTATTCAAGTCTCTTTTTGCTGTTTTTCCGATGCATTTTAGGTCATTTACTAGCCAATGGGGTCTGGAAAAAGTAAAAAAAAAAAAAAAAGGCATGAAAGTGTGGGGTAGGGGAGGGTTGCAAATTCTAACTCACAGTGCAACCTGGATGTGCAGGAAATAAAGCCAAGTCCCTTGATTTTGTCTAAAACTTATCTGTCTTCTTTCTGGGTCTTTACTGCTGGTTAGTAGGAAAAAGAATTTTTAGTCCTATCTGCTTTATAACTTAGATCCTAAATTTAAACAGCTCTTGCAGTTATGTTCAGACTTTCTAGGAAAAACAAAACAAACACAAGTTATAAGTCACTGAAGTTTTTCTTCCCTGGCCCGAAGGTGGTCACAGCCTCTGAAAGTGTTGGGTGGTGGTAGGTTTGGAACCTCAAGGCAGAGAGGATGCCTGGGCCTCTGTGGTGCAGGAACTTCTGCCGCCTCCTCCTCCTCCTCCTCCTGGGCCACGTCCTGACTTCTGATTGCATCTTGCCACACTGCAGATGGTGTTCCAGAGGCTGTGGCTGTGTGCTCAGTCTTTACTTGGCTCTGTCAGAGGCCTCCTATTTCCCAGGACTCTGCCTCCCCTTAGAGGGGAGTGACTTCCCTTGGATTCTCCTTGCCAAGATCCCACCCCAACCCCAGCCAGATCCTCAATTCCCCTGGGTCCTATGTTCACCACAGGTAAACAAAGGGCAGCTCAGAAAAGCTAAAGCCTGGGGGTCTTCCTGCAAGCCACGCTGCATCACCTCCATGTTTGCGTGGAGGAGCTAACCCCAGGGCTGCTGTAGCATCCTCCCAGAGCCCCAAAGAGGGAGCCAACAGAGGGACAGACGAAGCCTCTGATGGCTCAGACAAAGAATAATTCAGGAGATGGTAACTAAACCACCTTGAAGGATGCGGGAAGCACATCGGGGTGAGATCTCTGCCTCTGATTCTCCTTAGCGCCCCACAGCAGTCTATTGCTTGGGTTGCCGGGGATAGGTGAAAGCCATGGGAGGTTGAAGGCAATACCTCAGGGGCAATTTCTCTCTGAATTAGAGGAAACATTCAAATGGCTGCCTTGAGCCCATCTCTATCATTGACCATGAAATCCCCCAACTTACTGCCGAAATGTACAGGGTCTACATTTGCAACCCCACCTGCCAGTACTGCAGGCTCACGAGAAGGTATATTCCCCTCCCTAGCTCTTTGAAGCTAATTCTCCCACCTTTGCTCATAATTCCCTATCCCTCCATATTCAAGAACTGGACTTTAATCCCAGGAAGAGCACAAAGCAGAGAAGATGCCCCGCTCTGATCTGCAGAGAAGTGGCTGCTCACTTGGTTTGTTGCTGCTGGCTCTGAAAAGCAGAAACATCTGTGCCGTCCACTGCTCGATGAACATTCATGCCCTCAACTGCCTGTCTGTGGCCTGCAAAATCGCAGGCATGCAGAGATCTGTGTGATGAGGGGGAGAGGGACCAAATCTGCATCCCAGGGAGCCCCCCCATGGAGGGAAAAGAGGCTTGAAAAACAAGTAAAAAAGAATGCTCAAGAAGATACCATTTAAGTCTGAGAAAAAGACTTGGAGCTAAAAGAAAACCTTCTTCTTTTTTTTTTTAAATTTTAAAAAACTCAGAAAATGGACTGAAAAGAGGAGGATCACTGTTGGGCAGTGAATTTGAGGTTTAGAGGATCAAGTAGAGGAAGGAGTTCACGACATAAAAACACAAAGAGGTGGAACCCAGGAGGGAATGGTAAGAGACTTAAAGGACAAAACGAGAGGCATGACATACAAATAGCAAACGTTCCAGAAGGAAAGAGAGAAAGAAAGAGAGAACAGATGGAAGAGAAGTGCTATTTAAAAAATAACAGACGAAAATTTCCCTGACCTGCCAGAAGACTTTAGATTGCATATTGAAAGGCCCAAGTCCCAGACAGGGTTATTTTTTAAATGACACACACCTAGACATAACTTGGTGAAATCTCAGAATTCTAAGGAGAAAGAAAATTGTTTACCTGGGTGAGGGAGAGCGAAGGGTCGGGAGGGAAGTACAGCTTGTTCTGATTGCATCTTTGTGTTGTTCTGATGAGTACTGTGAAAATGAGTGCTCATTATTTTAAAATTTTTTAAGAAGAAATGTCATCAAAATGCCTTTCCATGATTTTCTTCTGCCAATAGCCCTCTTAGCCCAGCATCTACAGAAACTCACCACCGCGGGCCCAGTGCCTTCCCATCCTGGTCCTCTGGCTCTGCTTCCTACACCTGGGCCCGACACCTTCAGACTGAGCACCTTCAGGACAGCCAGCGCTTCCTGGGCCTCGACTTGGAGCCTGGAGCTGCGCTTGGTGTTGAAATGCAAACATGAACAAGGCTTGATTCCTGCCTTCAAGGAGCGTAGGGTCCTCAACCAGGTCACGTCTCTGGGCTTTGCTCTTTTTGCTCTTTGCTGATTCTCAGAGGCATTGATGGAACCAGAAAAATTCATGCACTTTTCCCCCATCAGCCTATCTGCCCCCTCCTCAGCTGTGAGGAAGGTGGCCTGACATTTTAAACTGTGGCTTCCATGGTGACTCCCGCATGCCACTTCCTGTGACCCAGCTGAGGTTCTTCTGCAACATGGTGGGGTCACTTGGCCTCCCCCGACCCAACCCACGTCCCTTCCCCTCTCCGTGTGCCCACCCTCCTCACATCTGTGCCCCACACCCTCGCCAGCCACACTGTAAGTGGGGATTTCTTTATTCCGAGGAACGTGTTCTATATTTGTATGCTGACTCACCTCTGGGGCTTGCTTTCCAAAGACAAGGGAAAACAGGCCCCTAAGGCAAGCTACCTTGAAGCAGGGTTGCCCAGGTGGGACAAGGGAGTGCTTGAGGTTAAGAACCAAAGAAAGAGGAGTGAAAAGAGGGAACTCCCTGGATGGGAGGGTTTCCTCCCTTCTTCTCTGGTGTCTTTCTAGAAAGGGAAGAGAGTTGGAGGTAGAGAAAGCTGTAAGAGAAGCCAGCAGGAGACGTGGCAGGCAGGAGAAGGGAGGCAACCCCATGGAAAGAGCTGCTGCCCCAGACACTGACCTGCAGTGCCAGGACCTGCCAGGGAACAGCCCGGGAGGGTTGCAAGTGATGCTCAGTAGACACTGAAATGCCACCACATGGGACAAGGTAGAGTTTCCCATCACCATATGTGGCTGAGAGCCAATGAATCTATGTGTCTGCAGGTGCTTGGCTGGACATGATGGTATCCTTCCTGGGTGCTCAGTGACTGAGTGACATCGGATACACCTATCGGATACACCTTTAGCACAGGGTAACAAACACACTCCCTGCTTGCTTGCCATCTGCCCCCAGGCCCCCTCACCACTTCAAAGCCCACCTCCGCGATTGCCCCTCCACCTCTCTGGTCAGAAACTGGCCGGGGCCTGTGGCTTGGGACTCTTCCTAACTCCAAAGCTTCTTCCCAATTCCAGAGGCTGAAAAACAAGACCATAGGCCACCTCTCCTTCCTGACCCCTGAGATACACAGCTAAGCTGGAGCAAAGGCCCCAGAGTCCCAAATGAGGAAATGTCAAGGAACCCCAGGGCAGCTCGAGGCCACGTTGCCAGCACTGGCCAAGGTCTCAGGCAGAGGATGTAAAGACGCAGGCTTTCCACGGAGAGTATCTTCAAGGATTTGCACTCCTGCCCAACTAACAAAAGCCCCAAAGTGCCAGCCCAGGGAGGGGAGGGGCAGCTTTCTGTTTAGTCTGGCAGTGACCAAACGGGCCTGCAAGAATCAGGAAGCTGCCTGGTATGGATTTCAAGGCCCCTGAGTCCTCATGTTTATCTTTAGGCTCATTTCCAGGAGCTCAGCAATGTGTCCATTTCAAAATAATAATTACAATCGCCTGTCTTCTGTATGACGCAGACTTCGGAATCCATGTCAAAGTACAGTAGAACAAAACACCCTAGCGAAAGCAATTTCACCTGATGACTCTAGCGCACAAAGGGTGGAATTTATCATCATTATCAGAAAGCATGTAAGTCCCAAACACCTCAGTTAGAACAGGATGTGAACACGTTACAGTTGAAGGAGATAATTATGGAAATGCCAGAGCAGAATATTTTACAAAATTGGATGTTTCAGCTGGATCTGGTCATCAGACAATGGAAGGACCAGCATTCAGATATTTGATTACCTCCTGATGCTGAGGACTAGTTGAATATATTTGGTTCCGGAAATGTCCCAATGAAGCAAGAGAAAAATGGGAGAAAAGGCTGTGGCTGAGGCCAAGCCGTTCTCACAGCTGCAGAAATGAAAGACAAGTCCCAGAGCACCCTCCACCCCACCCCCCAGGCCCCACGTGGCTTTGAGAGACTGCATGAAGCAGAATTTAACAACAGCCTGTGCCAGGCTTGGTGGCTCACGCCTGTAATCTCAGGACTTTGGGAGGCCGAGGTGGGTGGATCACTTGAGGTCAGGAGTTCAAGACCAGCCTGGCCAACATGGTGAAACCCTATCTGTACTAAAAATACAAAAATTAGCTGGGCATGGTGGTATGTTCCTGTAGTCCTAGCTACTTGGGAGGCTGAGGCAGGAGAATCGCTTGAACCCAGAAGGCGGAGGTTGCAGTGAACCAAGATGGCACCATTGCACTCTAGCCTGGGCAACAAAGCGAGACTCTGTCTCAAAAAAAAAATGAAAACAAACAAACAAACAAAAACACAACAGCCTGGCCAGTGAGCATAAGGCATTTGCAAAACCCCCAGGAAGACCCCTTTTGTTGGCCCATCCTACCCCTAAGGCACACCATCTCTGTCTCACTAACAATGAAAAACACCAAAGCAACCTTTCTGACCACTGGCACTGGGCACCCAGGCCCCGGGGCACCCGGTCACTTAGCTATCTGCTTTCCTGTGTCCTTATGAACAAACACCAACCTCCCAGCTTCACACTGACATTTCTGGCAGAATCAGCCTTATTATTCCACCTGAACCAACAAGAAACAAAGCCAGTCAAGACATTTGCCTATTGGCATTGCAAAGTTTTGAATGCCATCAGTCATGTGGAAAATGTTGAGCCGAGCCTGGCAGAGTCACCCAAGGCCTTCATGCAAACAACAAAAGGCTGCTGGGCACTTTGGAGCCCACGTGGAGGAGGAACCACTCATCACAAAGCCAGGCACCGGCCTCCCCTGATGGCCCTAATGAGGACCAGGTGACCATGATGAATGCGACCATGCTGTGTTTGTCAAGTCTGAGATTACTGCAAAGCCTGGAATGAATGAGTCTACAAACAAGCACATCTATCTGCCCAGAAGCTGGAAAGAATAGGATGTGGAGAAGGCGGGGGCTGGGGTGGGAGGTGTCATCAATTACTTGTGGTTCTCGGAGAGCCAAGGAATATGCTTGGAAGGACAACTTCTGAGTGCCTGGAGAAGTCTTTGGTCAGCACCCCCGGTCTTCTGGATAATATCAGAGTCTTTCAGATCATCCAAGCCAGGCCAGATGGAGGCAATATTGTGCAGTGGGCAAACTTGTCTCTGCCTTTCTCTGTCCTTCTCCTAACTCTTGCCCATCTTCCTTCTGGTCTGTCTCACACACACACAACCCCACACACAAACGCACATACACACATGCACCAACAAGAACAGTTTAGGGTCTTCCCTTCTCTCCTGCCAAACCCTGTTCCTAGGAAATGATCTGATCACAGGTCAAATGTTAATATATTTCTATTATAATGGGAGTAAATGCCATCAGATAAAGGGTTGGAATTTTCACTGTGAAAACTAAAGAATGAGCTAGGAGCAGGAGGCAAGAATCACGCTGTGTCCAACAATGCTTTGGAGGAGGGTGCTGGGAGAGTCGCTCAGCTCTACCCCTAACTTGTTGGGGGTGCCTTGGGCATTGGGCTCCTTGTCTTGGCCTCAGTTTCCTCACTGGCATAAGGAGGGGCATGACTTAGGTGACTGCAGTGTTCCTCCGTTGGTACATAAAGAGTGAAATTTATCTAAGAATTCTCAGAATGCATTTTGGTCTCAAACACCTCAGTAAGAATAGGATGTGGACCAGGTGCAGTGGCTCATACCTGTAATCCTACCACTTTGGGAGGCTGAGGAGGGAGGATTGCTTGAGGCCAGGAGTTCGAGACCAGCCCAGACAATATAGCAAGACCCCACCTCTACAAAAAATTTAAAAATTAGCTGGGCATTGTGGTGTGTGCCTGTAGTCTCAGCTACTTGGGAGGCTGAGGCTGGAGGATCGCATGAACCTAGGAGTTTGAGGCTACGGTGAGCTATGTATGATTGTACCACTGCACTCCAGCCTGGGTGACAGAGCAAGACCCTGTCTCAGGAAAAAAAAAAAAAAAAAAAAGGATGTGAAGACGTTATAGCTGAAAGAGACAATTAGGGAAATGACTAGACCATAATCTTTGCAAAATTGGGTGTTCAGAGAATGCACCTTCCTGTTTCTTGACCAGTCCATGGGCAGCAGGGCAGCAGAAGCTTCCTATGAGCTCCTGAGAAGTAACTGGGCACGTTCTTGGAGATGTGGAGATTCCATAGCTAGCCTGCTTCTCAGGCCCCAAGCGATATTGCTTTCCAGAGAGGCCAGCCTTGGAGATAGGATGGGCCCTAGGGGACAGGCCATTGTTTAAAAACAGTTGCATTCATGGTGCCCTTGGGAGCATTTTGGGGTCATATAGGCGGTTTGGTAGTATAGATGCTGGGGGTTCTCCATGTCCCTAGGGAAGCCACGGGAAAAATAGACTTCCCTGCCCAAATTCCTCAAGCATCCATTCGAGTCCTAACCCCTCCACGAGACATGCCCAGTCTCCTTAGCTCAGGTGCTCCCTGCTTTCTTCTTCTAGAGCTTTTTGCTGTGCCTGGCTCAGGTTTACCTCAGTGTACTCCCCTGCGGGGGCAACATTCACACTGCAGTTTAGATAACTAACCTGGATGAAGGATGCCCCCTGCCACAGTGGGAGCCAGTGGCCCTGCCTTCTTTAAGTTGTCCCCAAGCAATAGTGCACGTATCACAGGGCTCGACACTGCAGACAGTTTCGTTTTGCTCATGGTCTTACTCCTGTCCCCAGCAGCGCCTCAGTCCTGTCACAGCAGGAGGCTCAGCTCCCTCGCCTGCAGCTTCTCTCTTTGAGCCTCGCACACCCTGTTGACTTGACCAGACTAGAAGTCTGGGCCACAAATGACCATTCCTTGTTATTCATAAGCTTTGTGGGTTTTTTTTTTTTTTTTTTTTTCATATGAGAGGCATTTGGGTGTCTGGGAAAGAGTTTTTAAAACAACTTTTTATAGCTAATGAAGAATTTTTAAATATCACTTAGAACAAAAGGCCTCTTTGAAGCCCAGTCCCCAGAACATTGTCACAATGGACTCCCTGTTTACTGGCTACAAATTGTTTACTTTGCTACAAATTGAATGCAGAGAGAGGGCTTTGGGGGCGTAGGGCTGCATAGATCTCAGCCTCGAAAAGAATTCAAGGAACCTCAGGCCCATTCCACATGCTCCACCTCAACTATGCGCTAAGGAATGGTGTTGTGTTTGGCATGGTTCCCCATCAGCTCCGATCTGGCCCTGGTGCACAGTGGGCGCGAACGGGTCTCTCATTATAACTCTGGAGTTTAGGTTCTAGGCTGAAGGAAATTAACTGAACCATTCAATACTTTTGACCTATAGGGAAGACTGATTAGTTAGTATGGGATGGAAGGAAGGGGTGCAGGAAGGAGAGAGACATGCTCTGTCCTCCTGGCCTCATGTGGGTGCTCTTACCTTTAAACCTCCCCTGCCCCAGGCCTGGCTTCTGAGAGGGGATCTAATGAGACTTAATGACCGCCTTAGTCCCATTTTTCTCCTTAGTTCATCCTACTTGCTGTCTGAAAGGGACTGAATTGTATCCCTGAACCCCACCCCTCCCAATTTATATGTTGAAGCTCTAACCCCAAGTAACTCAGCATGTGACTATATTTAGAGAAAAGGCCTTTAAAGATGTGATTAAGTTAAAATGAGGTCTTTAGGGTAGGCCCTAATCCAATCTGACTGGTGTCCTTATAAGAGGAAAATTGGACACACAGAGACACACCTGGGATACACACAGACGGCCACCTACCAGCCAAGGTGAGAGGCCTCAGGGGAAACCAGTCCTCCTTTCAACAGGTGACCCTGGACTTCTAGCCTCCAAGACTATTAGGCAATCAGTGCCTGATCAGTGCCTGTTGTTGAAGCCACTCGGTCTGTGATACTTTGTTATGGCAGCCGGAGCAGACCAAGACACTGCGTAAGATCAGAGATTCTGACTCTCTCCGAGCTTTAGTTTCCTGGTCTATAAAATAGGAATATCATCTGTAATTCACAGGCTCTTGTAACGGTTAAGTGTGACAGGGCACATGGCACAGGATCTGTGCACAGAGCAGGTACAGGCTAAATAATTATGATGATTAAAATTGTCGTTACTGCTATTAGAGACCAAGGATGTTCATACATTACTTACAGATCTGTACCAAATGCCATCCCTAAAGTCTCTCCATTGATTCAATGAATAAGTACCAAAGAATTTAGTGTTTTGGATAGCCCTGGAGATTCTACACTCTCTCTGGGCCACTGTGTCACACAACTCTGGAGGGCACTCTCAGAGGTGTGTTGCCCCTAAACCAATTCCCTCTTCATGACTTTACATCCTCACCAATTTTAAAGCATGATTGCTCTCAATTGGTCATTGTCAGCTTCCAATGGCCGGCCACTCCGCTCCTCATCTGCAAGGCCCTCGTCTCCTTGGCAAAACTTCTTGAACCACCACTGCTCTGTACATTCCTTGGCAGTTCCTGGGCCAAAAGCATTGCTGATGTTTCCAGTTTTCTCCACTGCTTTATGACCCGTTTTGAACTCAAATAAGAAAATCACTCAAATTTGCTTTTTGTCTAACATCATTTCCATAGTCTAAAATAAACATAAACAGCAAGTAACGTCATTAGCAAAAAAAAAAGTGAGAAATGCCCATTAAAATGATGTATAACATAATTACATTTATTTAAGAATATGTTCCAATGTTAAACAGCAAGTTCCAATAATGCAAAAACGGCAATTCCTTTTGCAGTCACCTAATAGCTTCCAAGAAGCAGAAGAAAGAAGCAGTGATCCAGGTTGATTGCCCCGGTCCAGTCCTGGCCCCCACACTTATTCTCTATGTGGTTTTGGGCAACTTACTGAACCTTTCTGTGCCTCGGATGCCGCATCTACAAAATGGAGATGATAATGGTACCTTCCTGCTACAGAGCTTCTGAGGATGAAGTGGGATCTTGTAAGCACAGAACAAGCATTGCCATCATTGTTTGCACTCATGTGGTCCCAAGGAAATATCCTTTCTCTTAGAGGTAACATTTTAGTATGAGGCTCTTAAAAGTGGAAATCACTAGTTTAAGAGCCAAAGAAGTATATCTCTAACAGTGGAATCACAGGCACTGTGGAAGGCCAAGGGTCCTTCCTTGCGTCCTCCAAATCATATCCCCCAGGCAGCTGCCCACATGTGCTGGCCACACTGAGGAGCCCAAGGAACAGCCTCATGAGCTGGTTTTCGCAAAGTGGCCAGTCACCTCTCACCAACACTGAACTCAAGGTTTTAATTCATTAGATATGCAGTGGGGGTTCCTATGCTGTTTAAATCAGCTCAGTGAAAGACTTACCTTTGCAATGGAGACCATCATCTCAGAAATGCAACAAAAGAGAGGCTGGGTCCCTGGCCTCAGGCCTACAGAATGAGAGGGGAATTGCGTGGTGGGAGAATGAACAGCTCTGGGGGTTTTGCCGTGCACAGTTGGAGCTGTTACCAGCCCAGATCACGACGCCTTGTTTATTGATTTCACAGGCTCACAGACCATAATATGATGAATATCACTTTTCCACTGGGGCGAAAGTCACACAGCCAAAGAAGCGAGGCCATCATCCAGAAAACAGAAATGTTTTTGTCTGAGTGTGCCATTGGAGACACTGAAAAACAAGCTCTTCAGGTAATTACCGAACTTCAGCAAAGTGAGGCTCTTGGGTGAATTATCTGCATAATTGCCTTCGCTCTCCAGTTAGTCCATGAAGACGTGATCTCGGCAAATCACCCACTCACCTAAGCCAGTACATTTGAAGTTGGGCAACAATAGTAATGATGATGCCGATTTAAGAAACGAAGAACCAGGCTCTGCTGAGCAGCAGAGGCTGCCGCAACTGCTTGATGTTTACGGACTTGTATTTAAGGACAATTCCTTTGGCAGTGGGTTTGATGAATGTTTTTTATGCTATGTCTACAATAATGCTGGAAGTTGTAATTCTCACCTTGAGGATTGTCTTGTTCCCCCAGCCAAGCTTGTCATCTTAGATGCCTTTCCATGGTCTCCTGTACCCTCACTCCTGGGGGTGTCCGCAGCAGGCCTGTTCCTGAGGCAAGCCTTCTGGGCTGTTTTGACCAAACTGGACGCCATCTTGTAAAATCGGCACGCTTGCATGGAGACACCCTTCCTGTCCCTGCCCTCTGCTGGCCAGTCAGAGTTAAACTCCTTGGGCGTCCAGAGCACTCGAGCACCTCTCTGCCTCTCCTAAACCCCTCACCACCATCAGGATCCCAATAGGAAACATGTGGCATGGCAAAACGAGATCACTCAATGATGGAATAATTACAAAAATAGGAGGGAGTGTAGCGAAGCCTCCTGGGGTGGTGCAGGATACCAGGGTTAGTAGTGTTGGCGCTGTTATGAATCCATACAGAAGAGACAAGGAATGTGAAATACCCAAACATGGTATGGGAGGGTCACGCACAGCAGGCCACCTTGAGAGGAGCAGTGAGGGACACAGCTGGCCTAAACCACTTTGCGGGAAGGGACCAGCCCTTGACACCTCCTGCCTGCCTCTGATCTCACGTTGGGCACCCCACTAGCTGAACCCAACCAGAAGGCAGAGTCTCCATGATCCCATACATGCACCTACACAGGGCAGGCTCCCAGGGCAGAGAACAGGGGCACCAAGCAGATGTAGGAGGGTAGAGAGAAGATATGCGGCAAGCATAGAAATCAAAATTCAACTGTGAAAAGGATCCCAGCTGAGAAGTTCAGAGTTAAATTTCCTTGGATGTTGTAGCCAGTACACCCTACATCCTAAGAAGAGCCAATTGATATAAAACCTAGAGCTTGCTTCCTTGACTAGGCTGAGATCATGCTTTTACTTTGGGTCTGATAAATTATCATAACCCTAGTGATACAGTTTGGATTTGTGTTCCCACCCAAATCTCATGTCAAATTGTAATCCCTGATATTGGAGGAGGGGCCTGGTGGGAGGTGATGGGATCATGGGAGTGGAGTTCCCCCTTGCTGTTCTTGTGATAATGAGTGAGTTCTCACAAGATCTGGTTGTTTAAAAGTGTGTGGCACCACCCCCTTTGCCCTCTTCCTCCTGCGCCAGCCATGTAAGATGTGCCTGCTTCCCCTTCACCTTCTACCATGATTGTAAGTATCCTGAGGCCTCCCAGCCATGCTTCCTGTACAGCCTGCAGAAATGTGAGCCAATTAAACGTCTTTTCTTTATAAATTACCCAGTCTTAGGTAGTTCTTTATGACAATGCAAGAACAGACTAATACACCTAGGAAGGTATAGAAATTTTTGTCTTATATAGTCACTGCAAGTTCAGGATGAGAAAAGCATAAAAATTAGTAAAAATATAATGAAAAAAATCAGGACCAAATACTAGTAACTTTATAATTGTTTTACATGTAACTGTAATGAAGTTTCATTATCATTGTGATAATATCCAAATGGTTTGAAGCATGTAAATGAATCCAATATATTAGACTTGTGAGTTGAATTGAGTGATTAGAAAAATTTTATTAAAGAAGTTTGTAATTAATGTTTAAATACTGAGGAATTTTTAAATTTGTAAATTCATAAGTTTTATTAGTTGGGTGTGTTTAAATTTTTAGAACAATATTTAATAGGCTTATGGGATTAATAAGTTATGCATTAAATTAAGTAGACATAGTATGAGTATTGGTCAAAGCCCTTGGATGTCCACAAGGGTGTGTTGATGTTACTATGGACCTAATGACATAGGGTCCAACCCAAGCATCATCATGTCTGTGAAGATTTCATTGTTCCCTGTGGGGATTTCTCATCTCTCAATTCTTTAGCTGCTTAGACCCTTTTGGGGGGTTCCTGCTGCAAAAGCAAGTTTTTGCTGTTTGTTATTTGGGGTGTTTATACCTTGAATCCCAAGGCTGTTAAGTCTTTGGGAGACAAGCACGCCCCCTGAAACAGTCTTCACTTCTTTTCCATTTTCCATTTCTCCAGGCTCAATATTAGACACATATTATCTCCAGGCTCAATATTAGACACATATTAAGGACTCGTGTATGACACAAGCCCGTCTTTTGAGGAGCCTTCAACCCTGTTAACAGAATTCATCAATGTTTTAAAAAGCTTGTTTTTAAAAGTTTGATGCATTCCTACTCTGTGTCCAATGCTACAACAGGCCATGGGGACACAGCAGTGAAGGAAACAAGGTCTCTGCCCCTTAGCAGGTCACAGCCTACGCAATATCTCACAGAACTACAATTCTGAGCAACTTGTCCTTAGTGAGATGTGCACGCATGACAGTAAGTGCCACAGGACTTGAGAAGGAAGCCATTACTGAGTGACAGTGGCAGAGTGGCAGGGTAGACCTTAGGGAGTCAAGAGGGTGGAGGTGGAGGATGTATTCTTATTCCACATAATAAGAGAGGTAGACATTGATTTCTGTTCTGGCTATGTCATGTGTGAGCCACCATCTATTAGGGATACTGCTGAGAATAGAACCCTACAGAGGTGATGTGGGGAGACCAGAGCAGAGTGAAGACACTCTTGGAATTTCAGAGTGTCACCGGTTGAGGATAGATTCATGAGTCACATCAAAATAATATTAAGTATTAAAAGTAGTATTTTAAATTCTAGACATTAATTCTAGACATTCCTTTCTGCTCACCAACTTCTCCCATTCTATAAATGAGGGCATTGCAAAGTTAGGACTTTTCTATCTGATACAGCCAAGGTTGGGGTGATATGGAGATGTACAAAGGGGAGGGTGGAGAGCAGCAATAGGAAGGACAGAAGTGCCGG
This sequence comes from Homo sapiens, assembly GCF_000001405.40. Taxonomy (NCBI): domain Eukaryota; kingdom Metazoa; phylum Chordata; class Mammalia; order Primates; family Hominidae; genus Homo; species Homo sapiens. The sequence goes on along the minus strand of NC_000021.9, from coordinate 34,327,621 downwards.
AAGAGTGTGGGGAATCTTTCTTAGGAAAAACTACTTCTGAGGATTCCTGAAAGGGCTCAAGCCTTGGAGGGTGTCTCTACGCTCTATGCCAGCCATGAGTACTAGAGAAGCAAAAACTGGGGGTTACATGTCCAGGAGGACAATTCAATAATGTTTCAACTTCCCTGCATGCACATCAGTGCTGAGAGTAGCCAGATGTCTCCCAGGTGCCCAAAGTTGCACAGAAGCAATAGAGAGCGTGCCAGCTCTTAGAAGCTTTCAGGGCCCCGGGAGGATGCTGCGTTGACATACATTGCTGAGGACAGGGACCTGACAAGAATGACAGAAGCCTCAGGGTGCACCAGGGTGCATGGAAGACAATGAATGGTAACCTGGTGCCAGCCTCCTGCTCCCCAACCCCCAGAAATCATCAGCATTCCAGGGGAAGGGAGAACAGGGCAGGGAGGAAGAATCTGAGATGACTCTGGGTTCACCAACATTTTAGTTTTCACCATGTAGCACAGTAAGAGCTTGTAACAGAATGTAAAATTGGTTATTTTAAAAATTAAAATAATGAACATTTCTGAGTTCATGACCTGAGATTTGTGCCACATATTTAAGACTAAAAGGAAAAAGTAGAGACATTGAAACAGACATAAGAAGGTAAGACAAAAGCCAGGAGAGGGATATGGATGTCACAGAAGTCAGAGGAGGAAAGAAACTCCTGAAGCATGGGTGGCGGTCTGGGATGCCAAATGCCACAGGACCAGGGATGAGCCACAGTGTCTATGTCGTGAGAAATGAGGCAGTGGGCTTTCAAGGGACAGAGGCCATAAATACTAACAGTCAATGCTTCTCTAGACTCTACCAGCTGCCTCTGTCTGCAACTTGTCATGCATCTTGAACTTGAGGAGATATGGGGGCATGCACTTTTTTTTCAGGGAATCTGCCACTCTTGCTCACAGACCATTTAGCCCTTTTTCGAGCCTGATACAGGCTCATGATCAGCAAATGTGACCAGACACAGAACATACATTTATAAGCATCGATGAAGAGGATTCAGCCCAGTTTCATGGTCCTAGAGAACTTCTAGTCATCATGATCCATCAAGACCAGTATGGGAAGCTGCCTAAATGCAATGCTTTAAAGTGGAAGGTGCAAAGGGAGGTCAAGTAAGCCTAGGACAGTCATTAACTGATCCTGCACTGTGACCAGATTTGGTCATTGTGTTGATCAGGCCAATGAATACACCCAGGTCGAATGTCAAACAGACACCCATTGACTGTCTGTATAACATTGGAAAAATCACTTACTTCCCTCGGTCTTCTCTTTCGTAAAGGAGCCATTCTGCATTCTCAGAGACTTATTCTGCTCTCCCATCTTCAGTGCTTGGGAGCTGTCTGTTGGTGTATTATTGTTGAGTCCAAGGTACTATAACCATTGATTCCCAGACCATAAAGAAATGTTTTCCAGTTGGTGTGGGTTTGGTAAAATGAAAATTCCTATGCACTGCCTGGGGAATGTGATTCTGGAGGAAAATTTGGCAATAAGTATCAAAAGCCTTGATGATATCATACCTCTGACTCAGCAAACCCCTTTCTAGACATTTATCTAGGACAGGGGTGTCCGATCTTTGGGCTTCCCTGGGCCACATTGGAAGAAGAATTGTTCTGGACCACGCATAAGATACACTAACACTAATGATAACTGATGAGCTAAAAAAATAAAAAATAAAATTAAAAACCTCATAATGTTTTAAGAAAGTTTACAAATTTGTGTTGGGCTGCATTCAAAGCCATCCTGGGCTGCATATGGCCTGCGGGCCATGGATTGGACAAGCTTGAGCTAGGAAATCATCATGGATATATGAAAACATATGAATAATCATGGACATATGAAAACATGACAAGGGTGGATGTTTATTGCTATGCTGTAGACAGTAAGGGAAAACTGGAGACAACCTAAATGTCCAACAATAGGAGATAATTACAAAATTATGACACATTCATACAACAGAATACTATGCATAAAATTATACTGTAGATGACTATTTAATGACATGGGTAAATGTGTACACTATGATGATGCAGGGCAGGGGTTACAATGAGATCTGATCTTTGGAACATCATTTGTTCCATTTATATGAATAAATATAAAGGAAAGGATGTGGCCTAAGTGTTAACAATGCTGTCCTCTAGGTGTTGAGGTTAGAGGTCATTTTAATTTTGTTCTTTGTGCTTCTCTATGTTTTCTGCAATGAATGTGAACTATGTCTGTAATCAAGGTTTTAAATATATATTTTTATATAGGGCATTTTGCACACGCCCCTTTTTATATTCTGATGCCAATGAATCCTTCAAAAATGTTTCAGTAAATGTTCAAGACCAGCCTGGCCAACGTGGCAAAACCCCTTCACTACGAAAAATACAAAAATTATCCAGGCATGGTGGCATGCACCTGTTGTAGTCCCAGCTCCTTGGGAAGCTGAGGCAGAGAATCACTTGAACCCGGGAGTCAGAGGTTGCAGTGAGCCGAGATTGCACCACTGCACTCCAGCCTGGGTGACAGAGACTCTGTCTCAAAAAAAATATATATATATATGTATACACACACACACACACACACACACACACACACACACACACACATATATATGTGTATATATATATACACACTTGTATGTATGTATGAGTAAATGCTTCATCAACAAAGGGCGTTTTGTTTCTCTCTGGCTCTGAATCTTTTGGAACGTGGTTTATTTGATGTTGGGGAACTTTAGGTGAGTTCTTTCCAGATAGTTGGGATGTTTTCAGTAGAGAATGGTGAGAGTAGCTGAAGGTCATTGTATTTGATTGAAGGACGGAGGGAAATGAGTTTCGTGGTAGTTCATACTCTTCTTCTCTTCACCTGTAATGCAAACAGTCTACAATCAAGTTTACAATAATAATTATCAGCTATACAAACAGAAGCCAGAGTGGGTATCTGTCCAGGAAGGTTGCATAGCTGATGATGTTTTTGTAAATAAAATTAAAAAGCGTTATTTCTACATGCCAGCCACGGAAATAGTTCTCCTCTCTAGTGGATTGTTGGCTTTTTGCATCCCAAGATGTTAAAATGTAATTGTTATAGAAGAAAAAAAAGAGGTGAACGCTTTGTGACTGCCTTCTACTTTCTAAGACCCAATTAGTTAAAAAATAATGAGCAGCCTCTCTGCCAGTGACCTTGTACTAAAAATCCTGGAAAATATAAAGACATGCTGTTCCAGTTATCTCACACTATGTGACAAAAAATTTCAAAACTCAGTGGTCTTCAACAATGATTTTATTATGTTCTGCATTCTGTGGATCAAAAATTTGAATAGGACTCAGCAGTGATCATCTGTCTGTGATCTGTGATGGTCTTGATCATCAAGATTTGATCCATGATGGTGTTGAAGCTGGACTCACCTGTAGGCTCTTCACCTCTGGACTGGGTTGACTGAAGGCCTGAGTTTGGTTGGGACTGGTGGCCAGAGCACCTACACATGACCTCTCTACATGGCTTGGGCTTCCTCACAACATGGTGGTTGGATTCCAAGAGGGGGCATCTGAGAGGAAGTATCTAGGAAAAGCAGCAGAAGTTGCATGGCCTTGCCTCTTCTAGCTTCAGAAGTCATGCAGCATCTCTTCTCCTGCATTCTTTTGGTAACAAGCAAATCACCAATTCTAGTCCAGATTCAAGGGGAGAAGAATTTGACTCCACCTCTTGGTGGCAGGGTGGTATCTCTTGATGGCTCCTCATTGCAGATGACCACAGATGTGAGATGTGTTGCATGTGTCTTTGGTGCAAGGCCTTCTTGACAGTAACAGTTGCTCCTGAACTTCTTGTGGCTGTTAAGATGTGGTTATATTGGCCAGGCATTACCAGAGCTTCTAATTTTTCAGGAGAAGCCTGCAAAAATGTTGATTTTTATCTGAAATCTCTCTTTTTATAATGTTGGCAATTGTATTCATTCATTTTGCATTGTTATAAGGGAATACCTGAGGCTGGGTAATTTATAAAGAATAGAGGTAATTTGGCTCACAGTTTTTCAGGCTGTACAAGCATGGTGCCGGCTTCTGCTTTAGTCAAAGACCTCAGGAAGCTTCCACTAATGGCGGAAGCCAAAGGAGAGCATTCCTGTCACATGGTGAGAGAGGGAGCAAGAAGAGAGCAGAGAAGGTGACAGGCTCTTCTAGCAACCAGATCTCATGTGATCTCATCAGCAAGAACTCTCTCATCACCTTGGAAAGGGGATCGGGCTCATTCATGAGGGATCCGCCCCTATGACCCACACACCTCTTACATTGGGGATCACATTTCAAATGTGAGGTTTGGTGGAGACAAACATCCAAACCACATCAGCAAGTAACTCCAAACATTCTAAGGATGCTTCCAAGCTATTGTCCAATGTCACTTCTTCCATAAAGTTTCCACTTAATTCCTTATTAGAGTACCTATGCTTTCTTTAAGTGGTGGCACTTTTCTTTACCCTATTCTTTTCAACTTTTGGTATGGAATGTGAAGGAGAAAAGGTGAGAAATAGAGTGTCAATTAGAGAGGGAGTCAATGCCGGGAGCAAGGTGAGGATGACATTGATGGTTCTAGGAAAGAAGCAAGGGAAGGACCAGGGTTTTAGAAGAAGAGCATGACAGGGCAGGGGGAGGTCATTCCTGACTAGGAGAGAGGCTGTGTCTGCTTCTCTGAAGGGGAAGGTGGGAGGAGAAAAAGTGTGCACAGGAGGGCTTGTCCAATAGGAAACAACACTGTTGAGCACAGATTATGAGCCAGGCATTATCATTATCCTGGGTGCTCTCTAAGCACTGGGGACATCAGTACATGCATCATGATCCCTCACGGGGCTTCTAACCTTCTAGTGGGTTGCACTATCTTCTAGTGGGCCCAGGTGTCTGCTGAGAATAAGATGGGAGGTGGTAACTGCCCAGAGGGCCCAGGGGAGCCCTGGAGGCAGGAGTAACCGCCATGGGCAGTGAACTAGGAGCTCTCTGGAGTTGATCATCAGTTGTGCAGAAATTCCAGCCTTGCAAACAGGCACCCATGAGGAAAGTCCTTCTGAGGCTTGGAAGGAGGGACCTGCTAACATTCAAGGTGCTCCTGAGTTGAGGATTAAGGACAGAGAAGGCCAATGGAGTGAGCTGTGTGTGGCCTTTAAATGGTGGGGCTCCAGGAGAGCTCAGGGTGGGGACAGACCCTCTAGGGCACCGGTTTCTCACGGGAGGTTTAGTGGAACAGCTGTGACACAGCCCAGAGGCCGTGCCCATCTGCAAGCTGTGTCAAGGGCCAGTGTTGTGCCTGCACTCTGGCAGGCTGGAGGACAGGTCGGCCTTGTCATGAGATCATGTGGGCTCATCCCTCTGAGGAAAATGTTAGCTCCACAGGCAGTCAAATCACATGTTAAGAATGTGGTAGAGGCTGGGAGTGGTGGCTCACGCCTGTAATCCCAGCACTTTGGGAGGCCGAGGTGGGCGGATCACGAGGTCAACAGATCCAGACCATCCTGGCTAATACGGTGAAACCCCATCTCTACTAAAAATACAAAAACAAAATTAGCCAGGCGTGGTGGCGGGCACCTGTAGTCCCAGCTACTCGGGAGGTTGAGGCGGTAGAATGATGTGAAACCAGGAGGCGGAGCTTGCAATGAGCCGAGACCGTGCCACTGCACTCCAGCCTGGGCAACAGAGCGAGACTCCGTCTCAAAAAAAAAAAAAAAAGAATGTGGTAGAAAACTGATAGTGCTAACGAACTCTTCATTTAAAAGGAGAAACAAAATATTCATGTGACTTTTATATTTGGTCCAATTATTAAGGACCAGAAGGAAAGGTAACAGCTGCAATTCAAATGTGTGCTTTCATATTCTGTAACCGTATAACAAGCAATTATTTTTCTCAAGGAATTTATTGAAAATGTTGGTTGTTTTTAAAAGAGGTGAGCACTTACAACCAGATTGTAACAGGACCTGCAAAGATTCACAAGGAAGAATATTAGAATGTATCAGCAAATGAATAAAAAAGGGGCTAAACATGCATTAAAATTCAAATCCAAGAGAAAAATTTTTCTGAGCCTACAGATACTGGATAATCAAATTAGATCCATTTCTGTGGGATTCCTTATGTAAGAGTATTCAAAAAGTTGTTTAGTTTTTGTGAAATGAGGCATACCTTCCCAAATTTTATTTCCAAACTTAAATTTGAACCTGGAATAAAATTCAATTCCTCACTCACCATGCTATGCATCTGTTGGAAGAAAATTTGAAACAAGTTTTCTATTGTACAGCAAAATCAATGCCAATTCATCCTGATGTTTCTAATCAACATGTCTTATTTTCTTCTCTGTTCCCATAACTTTTAATTATTTGTGGTACTCTCCCAACAAACCCTTCTGTTCTTCTCTTTAGTGTCTCCTTCTGGCTTACGATTTATAGATGTGGAAGTCATTTGAGGCTGGCTATCACTGATCAATTACTAAGAAGTTTTTTGGGTCTTCAAGACTCCCTGACATTTTAACATGCAGAGCCCTGTCTTGTGGGCTTAGTAGTTCAGGTAGACTCTTTTAAAGAAAAGGTTATATTCTTAATTAAAAGAGAAACATGGAGCCACACAATTTCTTCATTTAGACTTGGAGAAAACAAATCATTGTCTTAGTGCCACTATCCCTGCTAAAATAATTTCCACAAATTGCTGGAGGCCTCAAATATTTGATCGTTGTCCAATAATTTGACATTGGCATCTTCCCACCTGGGCTTTCAGCTTCAGACTGCCTCTTGTCCAGCCCTGCCATTTCCCATTCTTGATCTCTTTGGGGTTGTTTAAAATATATGGGTATATTTTCAGCTTCAAAAATATTGAAAACACTTCCAGTAAGTTTTTATAATTATTGAGGTTTGAGTTTTGGAGAGCAAACTTCTCAAGTGGAGACCAGACCAGAGATATTCTGGAGAAACCAGCCGGTATTCATGCACCTGAAATGCTGGGGCCAGAATTGGGGCTGATGCTTTAATCCCAAACTGGAAACTTCCTGCTTGCCTCCTTCTCTCCCTTAATCAGAATGACATGAATTCAAAGGGATAGAAGCCCAAGAACTAAGGAGCCAGGCAATCTTCACTGCTCAATTTAGACAATTATGTGTTTGAATCCAAAGACAGCAGAAAGACACAACAAACACTCAGGTTGAATTAATCCATTACATATTAGTGACTGGGTTGAAATCTCTTTTGCTCCCTGGCTGTAGTGGATCCAGGTGATGTGAGTTGGTAATATATTTTTCCATGACAATTTTTCACAGTGCTGAGTAGAGAAATGTAATTTTGTGGTCTCTCAAACTATTCCGCACCATTGCTTTTTGGCAAACAGGGAAATGCCTCCCCATAGCAGTCATGTCTGTGTCCCACTGGACTGAGTTTGCACAACAAAACAGAAAAGCCCCCAAACACGTGCGATGCAGCAGGCCCTCAGGTTTCATTCCGGCTTCAATCTTTCTCCATAGGAACTCCAAAAATGTCAAGGAGTGTTGTGAAATCTTCCAAACAAAACTGATTTTAATTCACTCTAGTCAAAAACAAACATACAGCACTGGGTGGGAGTGCAGTGAGGGAAAGGTTGTAAAATAATTGTCTTCCCTTGTAGGTGATCAGACACCCCCAAATTTAAGGATGCTGTCTGGGAACTATCACCTAAGATGTATTTACCCTCCTAGGAAATGTCAGGATTAGGAAATTGATTCATGACTGAAAGGAGAGGTAGATAGAACCCGGCAAGGCGATGAGGAGGGCTGTGCAGTGGATGTCCTATTGGAAATGGTTTTAGGATAAGATGGCAACAGGTGGAGACGGGAGATAGGGTTTAAAGAAGAGAACATTCTCCAAAGATAAAACCATGGGGCTGGAGATTATGGGAAGAGAGAGTTAAAGGATGTTTGCATCTCCTCTCTTGACTCAGGACACTGAAGGACTTTAAGAAGGAGCAAGTTTTGTCAGCCACCTCAAAATGTAGAAAAATGAAGCCATCCCTTCCCCATATCCATTCTCCTTTACTTTCTTTTGCATTCACAGTCAGAGTTGAAGTGATTTCCTACAACAAGTTTTAAGAAGAAATGGCTTCATACATAGAATATAATTTCAGAGAGATCTACTGGGAAACAAAGCCATTTTTCTAAATTTTTTGAGACAGGGTCTCACTCTGTTGCCCAGGCTGTAGTGCAGTGGCGCAATCACAGCTCACTGCAGCCTCTGCCTCCTAGGCTCAAGCAATCCTCTCACTTTAGCCTCCTGAGTAGCTAGGACTACAGGCGCTTGCCACGATGCTTGACTAATTTTTGTATTTCTTATAGAGATGGGGTTTTGCAATGCTGCCCAGCTGGTTTTGAACTCCCAAGCTCAAGTGACCCTCCTACCTTGGCCTCTCCCAAAGGGCTGGGATTTCAGGCATGAGCTACCGTGCCTGGATGGAAACAAAGCCATTTCATCAAAGAAGACAAGGACAATATAATTAGTTATAATTTAATTGAGCAATGCTTCTTCTGTTTCACCTTTGAAAGCATCTCTTGGACTCTGGTTGGTGATGGTTGTGGGTGGGATAGGTATCTCACCAACATATGCCCATAAAGCAGCTGGAGTCCATTTTGACTGGTTGGTACCAGTCATTAAATATTTTTCGTATTTGCTATTGATGCCTTTATAGTCTCTGTGAGAGTAGTGAGGTTTCAACAAAACAAAGAACATTTGAGCCCAGGAGGCTGAGCTTCGATCCCTGTTTCACTACTAACAGAACGTGAGCTTCAGTTTCCTTTCTTCTTTCCTCTTTCCCACAATGATACACAACATCTCACATAACTCAGACACACCATCAACCAATCACTTCTCTAGAACGGAGTGCCAATAGCCTTTTTCATTCATCGGTTACTTCTCAGGCAGGTGAAAAGGAAACAAGCTGATAAACAGCAACCCAGTGGGGAATGTGTCTCCAGAGCCTACCTCTAAGTCAAACTTCGTTAACCCACCTTAGCATTGAAATTGGCAAGCCATTGCTACTCCCTTATAAAATATGCAATGTTATTCATAAGGAGATCATGTAGCTCCCTCTTATGTCTGTTGAGGTATCAGTTTCTAACCAGGCATCCAGTACCCCTCTGTATCTTTCCCTTTGGAGTCTGATAAGCATGGCTCATGAATTATGTACTTCTCCCTCCCAGGGAAGACGCCTCCAACTCCAAGCCCAGAGAAAAATCCACTGCCTGATATGAGCCTATCTTTCTGTGTTCTCAGGTTAGTTTCTTCCATATTACCAAAGAGAAGTTTAAAAGTTGAATTTCACAGACGTTTAGATATTTTAGGGTGATTTCTCCATATGAGGTTCATGAGTTTGCATTTGTGTAAGACGCCCTCTACATTTTTAGATCCAAAAACTTATCAATGCAGGATCGAAACTCAGCATCCTGGGCTGTCTTTACACTTTGAAGGACATTGCTGTTAAAGGAGCACTGAACTTGATTTGTGTTGCTCCAAAATTAGAACCAAGGGGTGGAGTCTACAGGAATAGTTTTCTTCTGAAAAATAAGGAAGAATTTTCCTTAATAGGTTAAGCTGCCTAAAAATGGAACTCCCTGCTTCAGGACAGTGGGGCCAGTTACTGGCCCTGAAAAACGGACACCTATGACAGTACTTCAAGAGGGTGGAGGCATCCATGGGGGAGGTGAAAAGAGAGGTTCAACACAGAATAGCCGATATGGTTCTCTCTAACTCAAAAGCCAGTGAGGACTCCCAACATTGAGGAGTCAGTTTATGATGCCAGGAAGTGGCTGGCTCTCTGGAAGACAGTGGATGCAAAATAATCCTTTCCTTCACTTGTTCAAGTCTTCCTTTGCTTCCTTCAGCAGAGTTTTTTTTTTTTTCAACTTTTATTTTAGAATCAGTGGGTACATGTGCAGATTCATTACTAAGATATATTGCGTGATGCTGAGATTTGGAGTACAAATGATGTCCTGCAGTAGAGTTTTATAGTTTATGATTTTATTTTTATAAATACCAGGGTTTTTGTTTGGTTTGGTTTCTGCTTTCTGAAATTTAGAAGTTACCATAAAATTTTAAAAATAACTTTCATATTCCTACCATTTAGAATTAACAAGTGCAAACTTTTTTGCCATATCTCCTTCTTGTCAATTTTTAGGAAGAAAAAAGGAAGAAAGGAAAGAAGGAATGGGGGAAAGGAGGGACGGAGAGAGGGGAGGGGAGGGAAGGGAAGAGGAGGAGTGAGGCAAGAAGAGATATTAGCTCATGTCCCCTAAACCACCAACCTCAACACCCATGCTTCTCTGCATCTCCCCAGAAACTAAATGATCATGTATCCATTGCATTCCTTAAGAATAACTTTTTTCTAGATACATATGCATTAATTAAAACACATGTTGTATGATTTTGTTTTTAAAAATACACACGTACATTGTCTGTAAATATCCCATCAATTTGCATCTTGCTTTTTATACTCTACCTTGTTTTTAGAATCTATTCAGGCTGATATAAACTTCGTATTTATTATCAATTGTTATGCGGCATTTCATCACAGGAAAATACTACATTTTATTTATTCCTTTCTATATCAAGGGATCATTTTTTTCCCTGCTATTACCAAAAATGCTGCAACAGACACCATTGTGTATAGGACCCTCATGGAAATATGCAGAAGCTTGTTCAGTGTGTATCCCAAAGCACAATTCCCAGGACATAGGGTAGGCACATTTTCCATTTTCCTAGATGCTGTCAAATTTCTCTCCAATATGCCTTTACCAATTTACATTTCCAGCAACAATTTATGAGAGTACCATTTCCCCTAGAACCTTGCCAACAGTTGAGATCGTTTGACAACTTGATTTTACCAGTACCATGGGTGGGATATGGCCTCTCTCTGTTCTTCTTCTTTCCCTTCCCTGACCTTGAGCGTCTTTTTGTTTTTTATTGGCTATTCACATTTACTCTTCTGGCAGCTAATTTATTTTTTCCTACTTTTATTTTTCTTATTCTGTGTTTTATATACAAATTCCTAGTCTATTTAATGTGGCTCCAAGCATCTTTTTTAAACTTTTGCCAACGGAAGTTTTTTTTACACTTTCTGTACAGAATTTTAAAGTTTGAAGTGGTTGAATTTATCTCTTTTTCTTTATTCTTTGGGCTTTGTGAGCTCCTTTTTAAAAAAAAAGTTTTCTCTATTTTAAGATCATGTAGATATGGTCCTTTATTTTCTTTATTCATTTTGAAGTATGTTTTTTACATTTTGGTCTACTGGTGTAAGGTGTAGTGTATTTTCCTATGTGTAAGTTGTATGGTATGAGGTAGGGACTCAGTTGCATTTATGCTGCCCCTTCTTCCCCAGTCCCCTACCCCCAACCCTGTAAGATTTTTATGAGAGAGTTTCTGCCACTCAAAGAGCTGGCCTGTTCTCATATTAGCTTAATGGTCTTTGGAATACACTTCCTCTGGGCCAGAAGGTGACTAAGTGATATAGTTCCAATTGCTGCATATTGCAGTAAACTTGAGTGTAAACATGGATAATAGACAATAGTCCTGACACACCACTTAAGTAGTACAGTCCTCTCTTCTTGGCTTGTACAGACCTCTCTTAGCTGTGCTTAACGTAGGTGTTATGGGCTGAAATGTGTCCTCTAAAATTAATATATTAAAGCCCTAAACCACAGTACCTCAGAATTTAATGAAAGATGGGGCCTTTAAAAGGGTAATTAGGTTAAAACGAGTCCATTAGGTTGGTCACTAATCCATTCTGACTGGTATCCTTATAAGAAGAGGAAATTTGGACATACAAACACCAGGGATTTGTATGTGCAGAGGAAGGACCATGTGAAGACACGGCAAGAAGACAGCCATCTGCCAGCCAAGGAGAGAGGCCTCAGGAGAAACCAACCCAGCCAGTATCTTGATCTTGGACTTCCAGTTTCCAGAGCTGTGAGGGAATAAATGCCTGTTGTTGTAGCTGTCTAGTCTGCAATATTTTGTTAAGGCAGCCCGAGCAACCTAATACAATAGGATAATCCCCAGCAAAGATAGACAAAGATGCTTGGAGTCAGATGCAGTTAGATTTAAACCTCCTAACATGAACGTTTCACTTAGCATAGTGAGGAATATGTGTAAAATTCATACTACAAGCTCACCTGAACAGAGAAAGGCAACCAAAGAAACTATATGAGGTCCAATGAAACAGTTCGTTTATTTCTCAATAAGTTGGTCTTTTTTTCAAGTTAGCAGGCAGGATCTGACCTATACCCGATAGGCTGTATTAACTTCCTACTGTCATTGTAACAAATTACCACAAATGTGGCTTAAAACAACACAAATATATTATCTTACAGTTCTGGAAGTCAGAAATCCTGAAATCAAGGGGGTTTTTTTGTTTGTTTTTTGGTTTTTTGTTTTTGTTTTGTTTTGTTTTGTTTTGAGACAGAGTCTCACTCTGTCACCCAGGCTGGAGTGCCGTAGTGCAATCTCGGCTCACTGCAACCTCTGCCTCCCAGGTTCAAGTGATTCTCCCGCCTCAGCCTCCTATAGCTGCGATTACAGGCAACTGCCACCATGCCCAGCTAATTCTTGTATTTTTAGCAGGGAAGGGATTTCACCATATTGCCCAGGCTGGTCTTGAACTCCTGATCTCAAATGATCTGCCTGCCTTGGCCTCCCAAAGTGCTGCAATTACAGGCATGAGCCACCATGCCCAGCCTTGAAATCAAGGTATTCACAGGGCTGTCTTCCTTTTAGAGGGTCCAGAAGAGAGTCCATTTCTTTGCCGTTTCTAGCCCATCGAGGATGAGTGGAGTCCTTGGCTTATGGCCTCTTCCTCTGTCTTAACAGTGCATCACTCCAACCTCTACTTCCAGGGTCTCATCCCCTTCTCTGACTCTCCTTCTTCCATCTTTTAAGGACCTCTGTGATTACATTGGGCTTCCGTAGTTAATCCCGCATCATCTCTCATCTCAAGATTCTACATCACATCTGCAAAGTCCCTTTGGCCATGTAAGGTAACACACTCACAGGTTCCAGGGATTCAAATATGGAGTTCTTTGGGGGCCATTATTCTGTCTACCGCAGTTGCAAAACAGTTCAGTGAAATAATTGTAAAAGAAAATAATCCTATTATGTTCAAAAGCAGAGAATTTGAAAAGAATGGAAGCATTGAAAGCCTTCTTGCTTTTTAACTCAACAGAAGAGCTTTTAAATTGGTTTTTAAAAAGCTGTCTATTAGTGCCAGAAGTTTTTCAAACTAGTTTCTAAGTCCTTGTTAAACTTAAAAGGTGTTGTTTTGGTTAATGTTCTGTTTGGTTTGAGCCCTCTGCGGAGGAGCTTTTTTCCACATTCAGTTGGATTCCATCTGCCAATGTGCAAATGGGCCTGTTTCCACTTAGTGTTGCCCCAAGGAAGACGTGTCCCAAACTACTGAAAATGCCTCCTACCCCCAATTTCTCTCCCACAGCTTATGCAACAAGTGAGAGGAAGGCCCCAAGTCGGAAGGGCAACGCTGTCGGGGACATAGGGAAACAGAAGCTTCTATGGCCCAGCAAGATTCAGTTCCTTCACTGCTTCTGTTGTTGACCCTCTCAGGCAGCGTGGGCAGCAAGTTCTCACTACCAAAGACCTCCAGTGTCATGTGGATAAAGTGAATGTCATGAACTGACAGCACTATATTACAACCTACCTAGAGCACTGAAGACACATGGGCGGGAAAGCCGCCTGCAGGCACACTGCGATGAGCACACCTGTGCATTTGCCAGAAACCATACTGGGAGCTTCAGACACAGACAGAGCTCCATCAAGCGCAGCTGAGTGATGGAGAAGGGAGGGCTAATTGTTCTGGAAGGCTGTTGCATTCTCAGGGGACACATGTTAGAACAATTTGCTCCCCGGGCTATCAAGAGGCCATGTTTATCCGCAGCTACTGCTTATGCTGTACTTCCAGAATGGCAAACTGCCTTGATCATCTGTGTGTGTTTCTACAATAGACGTGAACTCTGAATGCATACACGCATCTGACTGTGCATGTGTGTGCCAGTATGTGTGTGTCACTGTGTGCCTGTTCACCTGTTTAAATCTGTGTGTTTTCTCATGTATATGCTAGTGTGTGTCTACAGGTAGGTCCTTCTTTTGCAAAGATTCCAGAGATGGGATCTTCCAGCTGCCCTTCCAGCCTCTCCAGGCTCTCTTTGTTGACTCCCAGAGGTGCAGGTTTTGGTCTAACACCAGCCTTCCCGGCAAACCACTCCTGCAGTGCTTGGGGAGGCAGGAAATGCCAAAGGCATGAATTCCTTTCTTCCTTCCTTCCCTCTGGCCCCTCTGCAGTGGGCATGCCTAGGCTTTCAGAAGTAGGTCCTCCTTCCATTCCATGCCCTCTAAGCCCCCAAGAAGCCATTGCTCCTGCCTCTATCCTGGGGCCTAAGGTCTCTTCTCCAGCCAGGCAGGGACACACAGAGGGGCAGGCACCTGGCCTAGACCTTGTGTGTGACTTGAACTTGATTGTTCTTTTCGGCGAGTAACAGCTACTCCAGAGAGATAGCCAAGGTACCATCTCATTCCATTCTGCAAACTCCTTTATTTAAAATTAATAAGCTGTATTTTTTAGAGCAGTTCTAGGTTCACAGCAAAATTGAGTGGTAACTTTAAGAATTCCCATACACCCCCTACCCCCTCCATACAATATTAATATCTCCACCAAAGCCATCTATTTGCTACAATGACCTTACAATGACACATCACTGTCACCCAAAGTCCATAGTTTACATCAGGGTTCACTCTTGATGGTGTACATTCTACGGGTTTGGACAAATGCATAATGACATGGATCCACCTTATAACTTCATACAGAACAGTTCAGTTTCACCGTCCTGCAAATCCTCTGTGCTCCACCTATTCCTCCCTCCCTGCTAACCCCTGGCAATCACTGGTCCCTTTACAGGCTCCATAGTTCTACCTTTTCCAGAATGTCATGTAGTTGGAATCGTACAGTATGTAGGCTTTTCATATTGGCTTCTTTCACTTAGCAACATACATTTAAGGTTCTTCCATGTCTTTTCATGGCTTGAAAGCTCATTTCATTCCTGGATAATATTCCATTGTCTGGATGCACCACAGTTTATTTATCCATTCACCTACTGAAGGACATTTTGGTTGCTTCCAAGTTTTGGCAATGATGAATAAAACTGCTATAAACATCTGTGTGCAGATTTCTGTGTAGACATAAGTTTTCAGTCCCTTTTGGTAAATACCAAGGAGCACAATTGCTGGATTGTACGACAAGAGTTTAGTTTTGTAAGAAAATGCCAAACTGTGCAGATTCCTTTTCAATTTGGCATTTCTGCCTCACTTTATTTTTCACAAAACTATTTATTAATATGCAGTAATAGTAGTAATAGTAGGCGCTTGAAATCCTCATGGGATAGCACTCTTGATTCTTCCAGAATTCCCCAACTCAAGAATGTGGAAAATTTGTACAGGCTCCTGGCGCCTTCCCGAATCATATTTCCATCGGGAGTTAAGTGCTTCCTGAGCGTCTCGTACACCACGATCTAGCTGCCTCTTCAACTCGCACAAAACATCTAGCTCTTGCTTGAGAACTGCTTTTCACACACATGAAAACTCTAAGTTTTATAATTTCAAAAGACTTTTAGTAGTCAAGGGGAGGAGATCCACACACCACACTGGGATGAAGATGGAGGGTGGTAAATGATTTGTTCCCAATACAAGCTTCATGGTGTAATTAGCTCATATCAGTGCCTCAGCCAAATGAGGGCTTCTGAATCACACAGGGAAATTCGAAACTTCAAATTATAGGTCTACAAATTCTATACAGTACCTTTTTAAAAAGATCTTATGAAGTCAGTTCATATAATTAACCTGATCTAATCTGAGAAACATGCGATTAGCCTATCCTCCACATTGCACAGTGGCGTAGTGACAATAAACAATAAGAATACTGAGAACAGTATAAAAAAACACTGATTCATTCATTAAAAAAAAAGTATTGAAGAAGCATTTCTGGTTCTGTTGGTTTCTCCATTCAGAGATGAGGAAGCAGAAATTGGAAGTGGTTGGTTACCTACTGGTGTCCCTGGTAATACCATGCCACCACTCCCAAAGAGGCCACTCAAAATACTATAGATGATATTTAAAGAAAATAATTTTTTTAAGCACAGTTGAACTGGCTTCAGAACAAGTCATGCCTAGGAGGTCAGAAACTTTGAGAAAGCATTAATCTAGAGAGAACAGCTAAGGCTGAAGGCACTGGTCACCAAGTGGGGCATGGGCTATATCTTACTGGCCTGGCCCAGGTTTCAAGGGATCATGCGGGCACCAGGGATTGAGGAGATGGCTGGGAGACCCCTCATATAAGGCTAAGACCACTAAAAAGCAGTACCTTTAGGAAATGAACCAGAGACCAAGTACCTGCCCCTCCTTGCCTGTCAAGAAAAGAACTTGCCTGTCTCCACCTTGGGAACTGGCAGGAAAGAAATATGTCACCTGACAATTTCTAATAGCAAACCAAAATTCATACTACTTGGGGAGCTCTAAAGCCAACAACTTATATAAAGGAGCATCCCCAGGCATCCAAAAGAAACTACCGCACTGCCTTATTGATACTAGGCCTCAAAAAATTATCACAGATAAAGTTACAAGGAATTAGAGGTCAGGATCAACATTTACTAACCTCATGAAGAAACAGGCCAGCATGAATAAAATGAGCCATCATGAATGAAAATCCACAGAAATCATAAACTGCAGAATCAGACCTTCAAAGACCACAGATATTGGAAAAATCAACATGGAATATGAAATAAACTCATAAGAAAATGTTTCAGGAAATAAATGAGGTGATTGAATAAATGATGAAGATATAAGAGACTATCAAAATATGCAGACTTGATAAGGAGCCAACAAGGACTACTAGAAACAAAAGATAGACATGAATGTGGCACAGAGAGACATAGGTAGAAAATATATAAGCAGCTAAGAGGCACGGAGGATAAAGTGAGACAGTCTAACATGTTACCAGGTCTGAGTTTCATGAATTGGTAATAGAAACGATGTAGAAAAGGCAGTATTTAAGAAGATGATAACCGTGAATCTTACCGAATCGATGAAAGATATCAACCCTCAGATTCAGAAAGTCCAAAAAGCACCAAATTAGATAAGTACAAAGAAATCCTCACTTAGAGACATCACTCATGAGACTGTAGAACAGAGGTCAGCAGATCCTGCCACCTCGATGAAGTTTCATGGGAACTCAGTCATGCTGTTTGTTTAGGCGTTGTTTATGACTGCTTTCATACCACAATGGCAGAGTTAAGAAGTTGCAACAGAGGCCGTATGACCTGCAAAGCTAAAAGTATTTATTATATGGCCTTTTACTGAAAATGTTTGCCTATTCCGGTTGTAGAATATCAAAGAGGAGATACTGATTATTCAAATCATATGACAACTTAGCAGCAGAGTTAGAATTTCATCTTAGATCTCTTGACCAATGATTCTCAAAGTTGGTCCCAGAATAAAGACCAGCAGCATCAGCAGCACCTGGGAACTTGTTAAAGGTGCAACTTCTTAATCCCAGCACTTTGGGAGGCCGAGATGGCCGGATCACTTGAGCCCAGGAGCTGGAGACCAGCCTGGGCAACATAGCGAGACCCCATCGCTACAAAAAAATACAAAAATTAACCAGACATGGTGGCACACGCCTGTAGTTCCCACTACTAGGGAGGCTGAGGTTGGGAGAATTGCTTGAGCCCAGGAGGTCGAGGCTGCAGTGAGCTGTGATTGCGCCACTGCACTCCAGCCTGGGTGACAGAGCCAGATTCTGTCTCAAAATAAACAAATAACTTCTTGAGCCCCATATGCCTCTGGAAAGATTCTGATGTGTGTGAAAGTTTGGGAACTAATGCTCTTGACTAGTTTACTAGACCAGAGGTTCTCAACTTTCTAATGATTTTAAGAGTTCTCCATTACAATCACCTGCAGAGCTTTGATAACAATACCATTGCCTGCCCTTACCTCCAAAGACTCCCACCTAATAGGGCTGGAAGCAGGCCTGGGCATTGGTATTTTTAAAAAGCTTCCCAAGTGAGCCCTGTCTTCATTCAGGTAAGAACCACTGCATTACAGGTGACTGCCTTCCTTATTTTATCACTGGTGAAACAAACATGGAGAAAACCTGACAAATTCCCAAAACTTTGTGTTGGATATGTTATTTATGATTATGCAGACTAAATGAGAACAATTTGGGGGTGGGGAGGACTATTTTGCTGAGTTCATGGAACCGCCTAAATAAGTCAAAGTCAAATAAGTCAAAAAAAATCCCTCCTTTCCTTTCGTCTCCCTCATCTCCCTCCTGGAAGAGGAGCTACTGGGCAGTGAAATAACCAAATGTGAAACCATCTGAATGGATAGGGAAGCATACTTCATGAACAATCCATTTTATTGTAAACAATTGTCAGATAATGTAGGGTTTTGGTAATGCCCACCTACATGAGCAAAGGATAAAGGAACTGAGAAAGCTAAGATTTGGCCAGGCGCAGTGATTCACACCTATAATCCTAACACTTTGGGAGGCCAAGGCGGGAGGAACACTTGAGCCCAGGAGTTTGAGACCAGCCTGGGCAATGGAGCAAAACTCCGTCTCTACTAAAAATACAAAAGACATTAGCCAGAAGTGGTGGTGAGCACCTGTAATCCCAGCTACTTGGGAGACTGAGGCGGGAGGATGGCTTGAGCCCGGGAGGTTGAGGCTGTAGTGAGCTGTGATCATGCCACTGCACACCAGCCTGGGCAACAGAATAATACCCTGTCTCAAAAAAAAATCTGTGATTTGATGGGTTAGGAAACCTCAGCCCAAAATCTTCTGCCGTGTAGGTGCACGAGATGAGGGCAGTGGGGGGCAGAGTACTTATGCTAAAGTTCTCACGGATGTGGAGGGCTAGCAGGGGAAGGCAGACACCCTCCTGTCTGTTCACCCCTGATGACACTGACCTCTGCAGAAGGACACATCTCTTGCGGGCACAATATCTACGAAGGCCTGCCCTGCCCCCACCCACCCTCATTACAGGATCACTGCCCTCCTGACAGGCAACCTGAGAACCAGGTGACACCCAGTCATCATTGTCTTCTTGGCTTTTAGGTAAACGGGGCTATTGGATCAAGTATTTCCTTGAGGGAGAATAGTAACACTCAGGGAAAGAGAAAGAAGGGGCTGAAAACACTGCTGCTTCTTGAACAGGAAATATGGGACCTGAGTCACCTCAGGATCTTGTTAATCTCCTGACTGGTTCGGTAGGTCTGGGTGGGGCCTGAGACTCTGCATGTCTAGCAAGTTCCCAGATGAAGGTGATGCTGCTGGTCGTTGGACCACACTTTGAGTTGTGAGAAGCTAAAGTATGCTCCCCAGGCCAGGACCCTAGGGAAATTTCTCTCCACAAGCTTCCTGCAGCCTCTAGCTGCTGACCGCAAGAGCATGCCACAGTGGACACCAAGGTGTGCCCAAGGCTGGTTCTCTGTAGTTTCCACAAGTGTCCGGATCAATTGCCCTTCCCAAGCTTGGTAAAATTCCACTGGTGTAAACAGGAATGCTGAGAGTTCATCAAGTTTTTCACCTAAAATTTCAAAATTGCATAATGTTGAACCACCATAAAAATGAGTGGTTGCTATAATAGAAAAGCCCACAAAATGGCCACAGTAATTTGCATCTTCATAGTTTATAGGCAAGAAGTCTTCAACTTGAGTTGAGGGAGAAGTAAAATAAACAGCTGGGGTTCTTTTTACCACTCACCAGGATACTTATGCACTTATAAGACTGATGCCGGAAACCACATTTTCTTCTGCTCTGAGTTTTCAACCCATTCCCTGGGAGCTAAAGTTGGTGGCCATCATGGCACTGTGAGTGTTTGTTTAAAGCTCACCACACACTTGTGGGGACCAGATCTGGTTCCTTGTGGAAACCTTGGATGAGACAATTGTGAAAAATGTCATGAGCAAAGCTTAGGCAGAAGGGGGAATGAGGGGGCTGGAAAACACCAGAACTGGAAGACAGACAGACCCCTAGGGTCA
Source organism: Homo sapiens (assembly GCF_000001405.40). Lineage (NCBI taxonomy): Eukaryota > Metazoa > Chordata > Mammalia > Primates > Hominidae > Homo > Homo sapiens. Next base: position 34,307,526 of record NC_000021.9, on the reverse strand, counting down.
GAGGAAGCCATGGATCTCTGCTTGGGGGACTCCATACCAGAAGGCCGGGGAGCCTGAGCACAGACAGCTGATCTGAATCCAAATTTTAGCCTAAGGCAGAGTTCAGGATGGCAGTAAGGGGAACAGGGGTCATGCAGGATGATCACTCACTAGGTTGGGGTAAGCAAAATGTCTGGCGTGGGGAGCAGGGTTAGGAGAGAGAGCTGGTCAGGCAGCAGCTGGGATTGGATCACCGATTCCAGGAGGCAGGGGGGTAGCTGCCAGGTGACCTGTGACCTGTCCTTGAGAAACTAGGTTCTCACCTTGGCAGCTCCACCAGAAGTCCATTCTCTCTGGGGCTTAAAGAAGTCCAGACCACCATGGCCATGGACCTGGAGTTCCCTTAGCCCCTCTCTCCAGCACTGCTACGTCCTCTTGGTGTCTGACGAAGCCCCCATGGGGAGGAAGACAGGTGCACAGGTTTACACTGGGGGTCTATCTCATTGGGTTAGACCAAGCAACAGGACATTGTGGAGATGTGGCCACTGGGGACTGGGAATTCACTTCCAGAAGTTCATTCCCTGAGAGGTGGGATACAAACTGACAAGGTTCTTGCTGTCACCCTGGCTGGTCACTGGAATAGTTCAGGGGAGTGTTTAAAGAAATCATGATGCCCTGGCCCTATGCCCAGAGATTCTGACTTAATTAGTCTGGGGAGGGTCTCTGGATGATCCTAAGGCCCAACTGAGGCTGGGTCAGAGGAGCATGGGGAGGTGAAACAGGCAACCATTCCTATGCCTGTCACTCTCCCTCCCTTCTCTTTTTATGGGAAAGCCATCCTATGACTGTGTAGTGTCTGGCAGTCTTTGAGTTTTTATCCATAGATGAGGAATAATAAGCCTTGGGTTTATTTATTACTTTTTCCACTAAATACTTCTGAACACTAAGTTTTTAAAGTCTTTTTGCTTATTTGGCAATGACTAATCACTTGCGCTATATAAAGGGCTGTTCCCCAAGGGAGAGGCACGGAATGTCAGGAGATGACACGAGTGGGGAGAAGAAATGTTGAATGCCCACTCAATGATGGGCATTGTCACCTGCTCACAGTTGTGTGGACGCGGGTGCTGGTCCTGCCCTCTTCCTTGAAAGTGGATGTCTTCCTGGGGACTGAGTCATTTGGTAAAGCCCCAGGAAAATTAAATAAAATATGTAAAGTGCTCAGCCTCATACTTAGAACACAATAAATGCTCATAAATCATGGTTGTTTATTTCCAGGGCCCTCCGTACGTCAATCCAGCCTGCCACTCTGTTTTCCTACCATAGGAAGGTAAGCAAAAGCTGTCAGCAGCTTCGAGACGAACGTTGAATAAGTTGTGAGGAAAATGTAAAAAGAGTCAGAGATACAAATCTTTAGATTTTAAGAAGATTCGGGCTAAAAACAGATGAACAGTTGGAAGAACCTTAATTAGTTGCAGGAAAGTGTCATGATTCTGGAATGACAGGCTTCTCTGGTTCCTGTCAGGGACACCAGAAGCACAATGACAGGAATTTGGAGGAGAGGTAGAATTAAGCCACTTTCCAAAAGAAATTTAACAACCAAAAAAAAAAAAAGGAGGAGGAGGAAATATTTGTAGTCAGCATTTTGGTGTGACTTTGTCACGTTCAGTCACTGGTCTGATCTAGGCTATAATTTCTGTGAGAGCAGGGGTATTCTCTTAGGTATCCTTGTGCATACGATGTCTGCCAAATGGGAGAGAACCAACATGTGTTGAATCAGTGCAGGAGACATTACTCGGTATTTTCCCCTCACCTTACCTATCAATTTAAGCATTATTCAAATTTTAGTTTTGCATGGTAAGTCAGTGGATAGCTTTTTAAAATTAATATTGCTTTCAATTGACAAATCATAACTGTATACATTTGTGGGGTACAATGCAATGTTTTGATATACGTGTATAATGCGGAATGATTAAATCAAGCTAATTAATACCTCTATCATCTCACTTTTCGTTTTTTGTGGTGAGACATTTGAAATGGACTATCTTAGCTGTTTTGAAATATACATGATATTATCATTGACGAGAGCTGCCCTGCTGTGCAATAATCTCAATCACTTATTCCTTCTATCTAACAGAAACTTTGTACCCTCTGACCGACATCTTCCCATTCCCCTCAGCCACCCTTTCCCCCAGCCTCTGGTAACCACCATTCTACTCTCTACTTCTATGTGTTTGACTTTTTTAGATTCTACATATGAGTGAGATCATGTGGTATTTGTCTTTCTGTGCCTGGCTTACTTCACTTAGCATAATGTCCTCCAAGTTTATCCATGCTGTTGCAAATAAAAGAATTTTCTTCCACGGGTTGGGCCTCAATCAGAAGGACTTGGGCCCTCCACAAGCGGCGCCAGGGAGTGGGAGGCTGAGGCGAGTGGATCACAAGGTCAGGAGTTCAAGACCAGCCTGATCAAGATGGTGAAAACCCGTCTCTGCTAAAAATACAAAATTTAGCTGGGCATGGTGGCACGTGCCTGTAATCTCAGCTACTTGGGAGGCTGAGGCAGAGCATTGCTTAAACCCGGGAGGTGGAGGTTGCAGTGAGCCAAGATCACGCCACTGCACTCCAGTCTGAGCCACAGAGTGAGACTCCATCTCAACAACAACAAAAAAAAATCATGAATCATATTTATTTGTGTATATATGCCACATTTTCTTTATCCATTCATTCACTGATGGACACTTACATTGATTTCATTTGTTGGTCATTGTGAATGATAAACATAGAAGTGCAGATATCTTTCTGACAAACTGATATATACTCAAAAGTGGGATTGCTGGATCATAGGGTAGTTCTATTTTTAATATTTTGAGGAACCTCCATATTGTTTTCCATCATGGCTGTGCTAATTTACTTTGCCACTGACAGTGTGCAAGGGTTCCCTCTTCTCCACATCCTTGTCAACACTTATTTTTCATCTTTTTGATAATAGCCATTCTAACAGGTGTAAGGTGATGCCTCATTGTGGCTTAATTTGCATTTCCCCAATAATTAGTGATGCTAAGCATTTTTTTTTATGAACCTGTTGGCCATTAGTATGTCTTTTTATGAGAAATGTCTGTCCAGATCTTTTGCCAATTTTAAAAATCAGGCGAATTGTTTTTCTTGCTATTGAGTTGTTTGGGTTTCTTACATATTTTGGATATTCACTCCTTATCAGATGTATGGTTTGCAAATATCCTCTCCTACTCTATGGGTGTCTCTTCACTCTATTAATTGTTTCCTGCAATGGCTTTTTTAGAATGAAAACTTCTTGTCCCTAGTTTGGAGCCCAACTATTAAATTCCTCAAATTGCTAAGAAACTTCATTATTGTCGATGACTCTGCAGTCACCTGGTGTGGAGATGCCAGGAAGACATATGGTCATGCGTTTGGAAGAGTTTTATAAACTAAATAAAGCATCATCACTCATCTCCCATAGAATATGCTCTGATCATTAAAGGAGACTTTTAAAAAATCTTTAATGAGAGCAAGATGATTGAATATACTTCATTATTTTTGCAGGTCTTAGTTTTATTATTTGTGAAACAACAAAATGCTGGTTTTAGAGACATGGTTTTACTGGATATCCTGACTAAAAAAGTTACTGTCCAAATACAAGAGATTCATGCACATATCTGTACGTACTTACTGGGTCAGAATGCTCATTATCCAATTCTTTATACTAACCACCATAAAGGTTTTCTTGAAATTGGACTAGTCATTTTCTTTTTCCCTGATTCAGTAAAATTTTCTTGCAATCTAGTCAGAGGACAGTGACATTTTAATATTTTTAACAAATACATTAAAAACACTAAAATTCTTCCTCCGGAAGCTTTTTGAGCGGACTAAAAATTGTTTCCCATTTGAAAAATACACAGATGATGAATTTTTATAGTAACACGTCATTTTCAACAATACAGCAAAGTAGTAGAGATATTTCTAAGCATTTTGTTTCCAAAATGCTTTCTCCATAGGGTGATTTACTCTTGAAAATCAGTAATGTTCTTACTCAAAGTTAAAATATCCCCTTTAGCTTTGTAGATCATGTCTATTTATTACTGCAAAAATACCTGCCACCTCAGTGACAGCCACGTGCCACAGACAGCATCTGTGAATGTGCAATGCTAGTCACAGTAAAATAAACTAGATACCTCATCTCTAAGTTGGGCAACCCTTTCAAGTATTTTACAACAGATAACTAGCAAAGTTCTGTGTGATACAAAATGTCTTCACTAATACTTCTTCCCCTTCTGTTACAGAATACTCCAAATTGTATTGCATATGTTAACGTTTTTTGTGTTTATTTCATTGGTTCATTTTGTTTTGAAAGTTAGCCTCTTCACTGCCGTCCTCTAAAACTTTGTACCTCTGGGGACAACATCTTAGTAATGATAGCTTGCCTGTGAAAGGAATAGGAAATGAAAGTCACTTTGGACCTGTCTCTGTAGGATTATACTGGGATTCCTTTTATACTCTGGTCAAATTGGCTGCCACATCTAGGGTTGCACTGATACTGTTCTCTCATAGACCACTGTTCTTGTTACAGAAGTCACTTTGCATTAAACCTATCTTCTCCAGTCCATCTTTCTTTTAGAGGTTCACGAGGAAAGTAGTCCCGGATGTGTTCCATTACTGAGTGAAATTAGCAAATTCCATAAGATGTTCCTAACACCTTCCACATGTTAGAAACATCAGCACATCAATCCAACTATGGAGTAAACCTCCCACACTGTCTCATTTCTCCCAGTATTTATTTCTTCAATTCTTTAGTGATGTTTTCAAGGCATCTTCCAGCTGCATTTGCTGACTCAAGAATACATCTTAGTTTACTCATCAGTTTGCGTTCTACACATTAGTTTGCAGCTGTTGCCACTACAACAGAAATAACAAGTGTTGGCTGGGCGAGGTGGCTCACGCCTGTAATCACAGCACTTTGGGAGGCCGAGGCAGGCAGATCACCTGAGGTCAGGATTTCAAGACCAGCCTGGCCAACCAACATGGTGAAAACCCATCCCTACTAAAAATACAAAAATTAGCTGGGTGGGGTGGCGTGTGCCTGTAATACCAGCTACTCAAGAGGCTGAGGAGGGAGAATCGCTTGAACCCAGGAGGCGGAGGTTGTGGTAAGCCAAGACGGCACCAATGCACTCCAGCCTGGGCAACAGAGCAAGCCTCCTTCTAAAAAGAAAAAAAAAAAAAAGAAAAAAAAACCAAGCATTTCCTTCATAGCATATAGCTTTTCACATTTTACTATTAAATAAGAAATCTTTTTCAATACAGGCTTCAAACAGTGATCATCAAATTTATTGTGATTGTGGCAAAGTGCTGGATTGAAAATGATTAATGAATGGCTCTAAACATTCAAATTATAAAAATTTACTTTCATATTCTAGATAACACATTTTTCAATGTTTTACAAATAGTGTTCACTTCACACCAGCTTTAATTGATAGCACAAGTTGCAATACATATTTAACTTGAGTTTCATTGTTAATGGTAGAGAATGTAAATTCATATTTCAAGCAGGTTTGGGTTTTTTTTTTTTTTGGTCATTTTAATTCTTGTGTGTATGTGACTTTTTGCCAGAACAGATTCTATTCATATTGTTCTGCCTCATAATGTGGCCAAAAAAGAGCATGCATCAGTATTATCTGCAGCAAGCAGTTTCTCTATAGGTTTATTGAAAGCTATTTATCCACTTCATGGAGGTTGGTTTTGTTAAAAACAAGATGAACCCACTTACCCAAGCTCACAGATTTTGCAATTTGTCAAAAGGCTCTGAATGCAAGTGAATGGTTACAGGGGCTGCTGTCATCTCCTGCACACAGGGGCACATTCTCCTCTCAAGGTAACTCATGTGTTGGATGAGACATGAGACCAGTGACATGAGGATCAAATGTAAGCAGCAGTGTCATTCCATATACTGAATGTCAGCCACACTGAAGTTCTTTCTTATTGTTTTAGATTTTTAAAAAAGATCTTTTAATACACCTTTCTTCATAGCAATGGATCATCTTGAGCACATGAGATGTGTCTACCCTTCTCCAGAGACCACCATTCCTAACTCAGCTCTCTCCCTGATAAATAAATAGCAATATATGAATTATTTATTCCACAAATATGGACTTGTTAGCTAAAACCCAAATCTATCTCTTCTCCTTCCTAACACTCAGGAACTACATTTCCTAGTCTTTCTTATGCCTTATGTGGCCATGAGACTGAATTCCAGCCAATGGAATGTGCTCCTTCTAGACACAGGCCATGAAACCTCCCATGCCATCTTCCTCCCCATTCTCTGTATTACTACATCTGCTGTCAATGTCTAAAGCAAAGTTGGAAGCCATATTTTGAAGAGAACAGAGTCTCCATCTGTTTGGGCCCCTGAATGACTCTGTGGAGCAGAGCACTACTCCCACCCCTCCATCATCAGTTGAACTTTACATGAGTGAGAAATAAACTTGCATTATGTTAAGTCACTAATATATTGAGAGTCTATCTGTTACCGAAGCCAGAGTTAATTTAATTAATACACTTCTTATTTTAAGATGTTTTGATAGATGTTATGAGGGCTGCAAAAACAAACAGAAATAATCTTGACCTCAAGAATATAACTAACACATATATGCAAATAATCATATTATGAATCAGTCCAGAGCACAAGCACCATGTGAGTGGCCCAAATTAAGCACAATGGCAGTTTAAGCAAAGAGAACAATTGTTCTAGCTACTGTGGTAAGAAAATGTTTCATGGAGGCCTTTGCGATGGCCTTTGGAGGAAACAGAAGATTTCAGTAGACAGAGTTAAGAAGGGATTTTCTCAGAAAAGATAGGTATGAATATCCTCTTTGAACTGGAACCTTGAATGCCCAAGCTAAGGTGTTTGCAATTGATCCTGCAGGCAGTGAAGAGCCAACAAGACATTTTGAGCTGGGGAAGATGTAGTCCCAACGGTACATTAGAGAGAGAAAAGAAGGTAGACTAGAGGAAGCACAGAAGACCTGTGTGTTTATGAGATTGATTTGGAAGCAACCACAGTGGTCAGCCTGGTGTTAACAGTTAAAAGCTCAAGCTGTGGGTCGGCTGACCTGCTTGTGAATCCTAGCTCTTCCATTTGTCAACTATACAGACCTTGGATAAGCTACTTTACTAAGCCTCAGTCTCCCCATGTGCAAAAGGTGGATAATAATAGAAGGTACTCCCTAAGATTAATATGAACGGTGAGATAATGCATCTAAAGTATGCAGCACAGTGCCCAGCCAAGAGTAAACACTTCATAAACAATTGTCATTATCATTGGTATTCCCAATGTGAGATAATGGGGACCTGAGCTAAATTTGTCAGTGGTCATGGAAAAGAGGGCTGAATGCAGAGACATGCAGAGAAGGCAGATGAATCAAAAATAACTCCAAAGTTTGGTCTCAGTTGCTTAGAACCTTCTCCCACTGGAAAGATGGACTGGTTTTGTTAGGTAAAACATAACTGCATTTTTAGACAAGCCAAGTTTGAGGTATGAAGGGAAAGCTAGAGGCATTTGCAGATAAAGTAGAAGAAGGCAGTAGAGGGGAGAATTTGAATAAGTGAAACGAATTATTGGAGAAAGATTCCAAATGAGAAAGGAGCAGATGAGACCAACACATAGGTTAGGGTCTTGTCTGAAGGGAGATGAAGACACATACTCCTCTTTCCTTCTTCTGAGATAAAAGAGAAAGAAAAGAAAAAGGGAAGGAAAGATCTAGAAAAACTATGATATATGAAACAGAAAAGTTGAAGTAGCTAGTGGAACCTGACCTTGGCTTTTTCTGAAAAACTAGTGGTGTGGTCATCTGCTTGCAGTAGACATGGGGGCAGAGGTCTTAGCACAGGAAGCAACCACCACTTAACACTCACCATCTTCAATGTTCACCGAAGACCCGTGCCTATAAGACCCTGGGCTCTGTGCTCTGCAGAGAGAATTTTTAAAGGACACTGTTTTTAATGGGAGTTGTTGAATGATCAACTGCTTGTGGCTTACAAGGATGGCAAACACTCACTGTCCTCGAAAGACTAGATTTAAGTTAAAGGTCCAAATTGGCTTTCTTTGCTCTGATGTTGATGGGCAGAATCAACCCCAAGGGCATGGCCCATTAGAGTGTTTGCCGACTGAGACCATGCTGTAATTTGATCTTAGTGATCCCAGGGAAGCTACTAAGGGACTAAAGTCTAGTTTGCACAATTGGTGCTTAAAAAAATTAAAATTAAAATTAAAATAAAAAAAGATGGTGGGCTGGTGAGCACACCCATAGGGCAAGCCCCTGCCTCCCTGCACCAGCACACCTGAGCCAACACCAATAGGCCCATCACTGACTTCTCATACTCTAGACTGCTCCAATGCATCCTTTCACTTGATTTCATCTTTGGACAATGTGATTGAGGAGAGAGGGAGGTGCCTGTGGGATAGATACCCTTAGAGACGGTCCTGCCTGGCTGCCAGAGCTAAGTTTCAGCCAAAGTTGAACTTGAGCAACTCAACTTGGAAGCTCCTAGGTTGAAGACCTCCAACCGGGAGGAACAGTCACCCCACCAGAAGACACAGGTCACATGAGAACCTTCCTAATGAAGTGAAGCCTTGTTTGTTTTTCCCTGGTGGAGGTAATTGCATGTGACATTTCTCTGAATCATTTATTTATATTTTTTTCTTCTTTTTCAGCATAAGAAATTAAACAGATGGGAAAATCATGCTTAAAGAGTTTTCTTATTACTCCTGGCAGTCTTTGGCTTTGGGCAACTGGTCAGCATCTTTCCCTGGCTAGAAATAATGTCTGGAAGTGTTTATACCGCCTTCAGCTTTACAGAGGACAAGCAGGGACTGCATTTTCCCCATTTGTTCCCTTCATCAAAGTCTTTGTCCAAGTCCTAGTATAAAGATGTGTTCTTGAGGCCCTGGACCCCACTCAGAAGCTTTTTTGTTTAATTTGATTCTTCTTGTTGACATTAGGAGTGCCTTTAAACATTTCTCTGTCCCCATCTTCTAGCTGGAATCCAGAGTTCCTTGTTAGGAGGTTGGACATGGATGAAAACCTCCCTGATGGTGAACACAGCTGGGAACATGTGCAACTGAGGAGAGGACAGATGGGAGGTGGGGGTGGACTAAGAGAGGGCAGTTCCTTCTGCCATCATGGAGGAGATGCCAGATGGTACACCATGTTGTACCCATATCTCTATAGGTGCAAGCCCCGGGAAGATGCATCTAGGGGCTGTCTACGGAATCAGGAGCCTACTGTGACTCCCAAGAGGATCGGCTTCTCCAAAGCTCAAGCCAGACCTGAACCCCCAGGATATGCCACCCTTGAATATTTGTTCTCTGCTGCTAGGGTAGAGTTTACATTCAGAAGACAGAGTTAAGAAAGGTGACAAAACCGGAAGAAGAATGGGATGTGACTTGGGCACGGAGACTTTGGGAGTTCCAGGTATTGATTGAAGTTCAGGTGGCACCAGGATTGAGAATGGGGTCCAAGGGGACACCCCAGCTCCCTACCCCACATCCTGCTTCCTATCTGTGAAACTAGGGTCCCCTGTCCACGTCATCATCTTCTGTCCCCACTGAGAATGAAAGCAACACCACAGAAGTACATTGCTCCCTGGGGTACTCTTTCTGTCACCCTCTGATATTTGACCAGAATTCCCTTATCATACCCCACATCCCAGCCCGGGTACAGTGTCCCTTTTTACAAACTCCCACAGTACCCAATACTTAACACACATTGTATTGTAATATACCTGCTTAGGTCTTTCTTCATCACTAGACTATACGCTCTGAAATCAGTAATTGTCTTTTGCTGGGCTTATCACATCTGACTCATGAGAGAAGAGAGTTGAGACCTCCAAGTCCCACACAGGCATATGACATGGCAGACAGGACTCGAGTCGCTGTGTCCTATGCTGTCCTTCCTGACCCTGGAGGGTTCCAGTATTTGATTGGAAAGCAGACACGTTACTTTCAGCATGGCACACCCCATTGGCTCTCACACCTGTCTTTTCTTTGCAGTTGCTCCCTTGGACGATTTGAAGCCCTCTCTCCTCTAAGGGTTCTCAATGGATCAGAACCATTTTAGCAATTTGTGTGCTTCATTTGTCATAGTGACTGGGGGATGTCCTACTGATATTTATTTGGTGGGGGCAAAGAAGGCTCGACATCTTGCAATGCCTGGGACAATTCCCTGCAGAGAAGAGTCATCCACATAATGCCTGATGTTCAAGCGTTTCACCAGGGCTTCATGTAGGTAAAATCTCTGTTCTGTTTTACATACAAACACAAAGCATTCCTTGGAAGGTTTTTAAATATGCTGAATTTTCCAGGAATGCGACTACCATGTCAACAGAGGGAGGGTTGTATTTTGTTTGCCAAGAGTCAATCACTATTTGGGACACCATGTTACTGACAGCAGTTCCCCTTGTACAGTGTTTGAGTGGCCAACATAGCTCACTTGAGCAGGCTGCATTTCTATCTGTTTCTTTCTCAGGGAGGTGGCATAGTGGCCCAGGTATCAAGTTGGGCATCATATTTTCTACTTTATTCCTGCCTGAGCATTTACCTATGGAAACACATACTGTTTTATTATAAATAACTTTCTATTTATTTTTAAGTCAGAGCATTATGTCAACCTTTTAAAAATAATATGTGTAGAGAGGTTATATGATTAGTTATAACCTCTCTATGATTAATTACAACAGAATTATAATTCTGTTCTGGGTTGAGTTGTGTCTCCCAAAAAAGATATGCTGAAGTTCTAACCCCCAGGACCTCAGAACATATTTATTTGGACATTGGGTCTTTACCGAGACAATCAAATCAAAATGAGGTCTTTAGGATAGGCCTTAATGCAAGACGAAGGGTGTCCATATTAAAAAGGGAAATTTGGACATAGAAACACACATAGAAGGAGGATGCTATAAAAAGACACAGGGAGAAAACAGTCATCTACAAGCCAAGGAGAAAGGCCTGGAATAGACTCTCACAGCCTCAGAAGAAAACAACCTTGATGACATTTATGACAAGACTTACAGCCCCCAGAACTTTGAGACAATACATTTCTGTTGTTTAAGCCAGCAGTCCCCAACCATTTTGGCACCAGGGACCAGTTTCATGGAAGATAATTTTTCCGTGGGATGGGGTTGGGCAGGGGATGGTTTGGGGATGAAACTGTTCCACCTCAGATCATCAGGCATTAGTTAAAATCTCATTAGCGTGCAACCTAGATCCCTCACATGTACAGTTCACAATAGGGTTTTCGCTCCTATGAGAATATAATGCCACTGCTGACTGGACAGGGGACAGAGCTCAGGTGGTAATGCTTGCTTGCCCACCACCTACCACCTGCTGTATGCCCAGTTCCTAATAGGCCACGCACTGGTACCAGTCCATGGCCCAGGGGCTGGGGACCCCTGGTTTAAGCCACCCAGTCTGTGATACTTTGTTATGGCTGCCCAAGCAACTAATACAATTTCATTCCAGAAAAGTAAGGAGGTGTGAAATGTGTTATACAAAGAGGACACTGGGTATGATGTGGTTGAGAACAATTGCTCTATTCAGACTGTCAAGCAGAGCTGCTGAAAATGGCCCCAAACAGCAATAATAATACAAAAATCAGGCTTGGTTTGGCAAAGGACAACACCATAATGGGTAATTTCAGTGTCAGAAGTAATCAAAGTATTAAATATCTAGCAAAAGAAAAGAAAAGTAAGCCTCCAACTATGGAGACTTCCTGAACTTGAGAGGGATTGACCACAAAGTTATTAAAGTTTAAAAAGAAAGAAAGAAAAACTATTTCATACTTGGAGAACGCTCTTAAAACTCTTCTTGCTGTAGACAAATAGCCCCACTTAATGTGTGTATGGATTTTCACTGTTTCTGAAGCACTTTATGTACTTTGTTCCATTAAACTGTTACAATAGTCCCAAGAGGTAGGCAGAGCAGATGAAACTATTCTCATTTTATATATGAGAAATCTGTGGCTGTTAGAGTGATTTGCTCAACGTCAAATAAACATGACATTTTTCTTTATTAACTAAAATTATTTTGGCTGCAAGAAATAGCCACCAATACCAATGTGAGTAACTTACACATAAAATAATTTGATACTACAGTTACCCCCAGCCAAGGAAGCCATGAGCAATTGGCCTTGGGAAGACTGGAGCCACAGTTCTTCCAGGGCTTTCTTCATCCATGCAGCTGCTATGTAGATGACTCCACAGCCCACCTCCATGATCTGACTCCCTGATTGAATTTCAGATTTCCAGATGAGAATCTGACTGATCATTCAGGCATCTAACCCTGTGCCAAGCAATTGTGCCCAGGGCAGGGAGGTCATGTAGTATCAGCAAGGCCTATAGGGTTTTGATCTTATGGTTTAGGGGGAAGTTTCTAGAGAGAGGAAAATCCTTATGTAGATGAACAAGTCCAGAGAAAATCCATCCTTCTGGGCACTCAACACACTCTAACCTTCCTATGCATCCAGATATGCCCCCGGGTAACACAGTGCAGAACAAACAGGTACAAGCACACACACCCACTTGCCGGGGGAAACAACTACAGGTATATCCAGCTAAGAGTCCATCGATGGGCTAACAGTTCATCTAACATCACTCCTTTTCTTCCTGGGCTCACAGATTAGCTCATTTCCTAGTCTCTGGGGGAACTAGATGTGGCCTGTGACCAAGTTCTAGCCAGTGGAATATGAGCAAAACTGTTGAGCATCACTTCTAAGTCTTATCCGCTTTGCTCTTTCCCCTTCACAGACTTGATGCATATTAATATAGTGACCTTGGCAGATTCTGTATATTATGGGGAAAAAAAACAACATTGAAGGAGGCTGGGTCCCTGAGTCACTTCTCGGAGGAGAGGCACCAGCAGATCAGGGACATATTTGGAATTTAGGAGAGCAAGAAATAAATTTCTATGGTGTTTGAGCCCTAACACATCTTGGGTTTGGTTTTATGGCAGCTAGTGTTACCTTAGGCAATGCAGAGGATGATGCTCAGGACACACTGTTCAGAATGTTACCAAACTCCAGTTTGTGTTTGTTCCTTACCCCTCATTCCATCACAGTCATTTCTCCCTACTAGAAACCCTATGGACTCCATCACCATCATTATAAATCATATAAAGGAATAGGGAGACAGAAAGAAGAAACAATCCTAGATATGAATCAAGAGACCGAGTTGCACACCTGACTTGGTAACTCTACATCTTTTGCTCATGGGGATTCCTTTTTCTCTGGGAACCACAGAAATGGGCTGCTGGCAGCCAGGTTTATCCTGCATGAAATTGCCTCCTGAGGGCTGACTGGTATAGGAACAAATTCCTGACCTAAAAGGGCCAATCAACTTCTCTCTTCTAGGAATCTGAAATTTGAATGAGAGAAAGAGATGATGAGATGAGGACTAATCACATTAATAGCAAAGTTCCTGGGGAAAGAGCTATTAACTCCTGAGGCTGACATCACTAGAACAGCATAGTTACTGTCTTTCTCCAGTTGACTCATTCAACTCTTCCCTGAATTAAATGATTTGCCAAGCAACTTTCTAATAAATTTCTGTTAATGCTTAAACTTTTTGAGTTTTTTATTGCAACCAGAAGAACTCTATCTAATGAAGAAAGTAGTTCCAGAAGAAGGGATTTGTTGATCTTCACAGTATCCAAAGGAGGTGCTCTTCAACCATTCGCTCATTCATTCATTCATCCATATATTTAAAGAATATTTATTGGGCTCCTACCTTATGCCAGGCATATTGTGCTAGATGTTGAGGATTCAATGATGAATTTGGTCTCTGCTGTCCTGATGCTTGCAGCCTAGGAGGAAAAGGAGCATTGGTTGGATAATCTCTCTCATGAACATGCAGGTTTTGAGAGAAAGATTCAGGTCTATGAAAGAGCATAGCAAAGGATGGAATCTAGACTTGCGGACATGAAGAAACAACACTTGCACTAACTACTGAATACCTAGTAGGCATTGACTCCTAGGAGAAAGCAATACTTTACCCAAATCTTTACAAAACTCTGTGATGGGAGCTTAAATAGAAGTACACAGGGAGTACCATGTGGCCCAACAGAAGTATTTTAATTTCTCTGAAAGCAATGGAAAAGGTGTCTCACAGTAGATGAGATTTTAGTTGAGGACAAAGAGGTTTTCAAAGAAGAAAACGGGGTAGGACATTCCAAGCAGAGGAGAAAAAGCATGTGCAGAGGCATGAAGGTATCAAAGTGTCAGAACAAATAGTTCTGTGTGGCCATAGGATTCAGGTGAAGGATATTTGTGAGTGAGCATTTCAGTAAGGAAGCTCAAGGGCCAGGTCAGGAAGGGCCTCATCTAGGCCATGCTAAAGCAGTACGATTTTATCCTGTGGGGATAAAATCCCCACAGTGGGGAGCCCAAGAAAGACGAACACAGGGAAGCATTACAATAAGATGATTTGGAAAGTTCATTCCAGGTTTTCTGAAGAACAGATTCAACCTGGGAGAGAATGGAAGATGATAGGACAATTAGGAACTATGAACTGCCTCTGCTGTGTGAACAGCTGTTATCTGCTAAATGATCCACTAGAGGCCTGAGGTCTACTATAATCTCAGCATTCATTGGTAAAGAAACAGTTTGAAGTGTAACAGTTTGAAGTGTCTCCCCAAGCCTTCCTCTCCTACCTCACTCATTGCCGCCATCTTGGTTGGCCCAAACTGCCTCAGGTGTGGCTTGTTGTGTGGCTCCTAACTGGTCTCTCTTGATGTAATCTGCCCTTTTAATCTCTCTTCTCATAGCCAGCTGGTTATGCTCCTGGGACCTCTCAGCTGATCATGTTCCCTCAACTCAGGGAGCTATCTGCTGCCTAAGGGTCAAGCCATAGTCCTCTCTTCCCCACCACTAGCCTCTCACCCTTTGCTCACTGACTCTTCTTTACCTACGTTGTCTTTAATTCTCACCTCACCCCCAAAGGAAACATTATTGTCCTTATTTTATAGTCTCAGATAGGCCAAGTCACAGGTCACAGATAAAAGGCTACAGGCTTGTAAACTGTGGAATCACATTTTGAATTTAGACCTAGCTGACTCCGAGGCCCATGTCCTTTCTATTTGGGAATGCTAATGCTGAACTCCTGTTCTCCACAGAAACAGAACCAGCAGGATACAAGAACTGGCTTATGTGATTCTGGAGGCTGACAAGTACCAGCATCTACTGTCAGCAGGTTGGAGATCTGGGAAAGCCTATGGTGTGATTCAGTTTGAATCCAAAATCCTGAGAACCAGGAGAGCTGATGGTATAAATCCCAGTTCAAGGGTCAAAAAAGATGAGATGTGTTATCCACACTAAAGCAGACAGGCAGGAAGCAAAAGAGACCGAATTCCTCCTTCCCCTTCCTTTTGCTCTATTGAGGCCCTCAGCAGATGAGATGGTGCCCACCCACATTGGGGAGTGCCATCTACTTTATGGAGTCCATCAATTCAAATGCTGCTCTTATCTGAAAACACCCTCACAGACACACAAAGAAATGATTCTTAATCTGGGTATCCTGAGGCCTGTCAAATTTACACATAAAGTTTTCCACCACAACTCCAACCCTTGTCAACTTGGGCACCCATACACATCTCCTTAAACCATACTTAATCTCCAAATAAAGGTAATAATGAGGTCATAATTCCATCTAATATGATACAATCATCCTGCATACAACCAAAAATACACTGACCCCTTCCCCAGAAGAGGAAGTAAAGTCCTTGAGTGATATTTACTCTTTCCCTTGATACCCCTAATTTAAACACTGTGGTGTGAAATTAATACTTACATACTATGACAAAAGTCAGTGGATCTTATGTTGCATGGTAAGGGAACAGGAGAGGAAAGAAAACAAAGATACACACACATGCACACACACACGTACACACACACACATTCATAGCAGAATGAGGAGGAAATATTTGTGACCGTTAAGTCCATTTCTGTAACTACTTAATTGTTGTAGCTGGTATTAATAATCACTTTCTTCCATTACCCATTCTGTTTTCCCTTTGCCTTCAGCAAGCACCTCAGCTGGTTATGGTTCTTTACCCAGTGGGGTGACCCAAACATTCATTCCCCAAAGGTCTGGGCCATTACTAGCCCAGCCTGGATTGGACTGTTGTCATTTTCCATTGACCTTAATCACAGGACATAGTAATACTAAGAGATACCAGAAGGTATCTCCTATAATCCAGTCATACTCTTCCTTACCTTCACTGTGGAGCTATAGTACAATTTCCCCTTGGTAATCAGGACCAATCACCCAGCCAATAACACAACTTCCTTGCCTGTGGTTTTTGAGGCATGAGGAGCCCAAAGTGGCTAGGTGGCGGTCTTAACTTTCTATTCAATGGAATCATCGCTGTGTCTCTTGGTGGAAGCATTCCTTCCTCCAGAAATAAGACCTCTAGCCCAGCAGAGCATAAAGTCATAAGAATAAGAAGCAAAATTTTGCTAGTGGGTAATAGTGAGTCACTCCAATTTCCTTGGACCCAAGAATCCTGGCTATCAGAGAAGTAGTACCATGTATTAGATGC
Organism: Homo sapiens; assembly: GCF_000001405.40. Classification (NCBI taxonomy): domain Eukaryota; kingdom Metazoa; phylum Chordata; class Mammalia; order Primates; family Hominidae; genus Homo; species Homo sapiens. Next base: position 34,290,947 of record NC_000021.9, on the reverse strand, counting down.
TGATACAAAGCATAGAGAGCCTTCTGGAGAACCTTGCCCTAACTCTGCAAGGTATTACCACCTAGCTGACATGATAACTGCATCTACAAAAGGCCATTCCACTGTTCTATCGAGTTAGCTGCTTCAGGATGGTGGAGAACATGGTAGGAAGAGTGAATTTCCAAGCTCCTGACCACCCAGTCAGGATGACCCCAGCCTATGAATCAGTATATAATTGCATGTCTGGCCATTTCGCCTTCCAAGTAAAGTGAACCATCAGAAGTGTGGCTCAGATTTCTGCCCAATGGGAGGATTTCCCTTCACCACTGTCCTTCAGGGGTGGCCCAGAGAGGGGCTGTAGAGCTGCAGCCATCCGCTTTCAGGTGGTGCCTGGATATTGTGCAGAACCATCTGTAAACCAGGACTGGGTTCTCTCTTCCCCTCTCAACTGATTCCCTACATGTAGCCATAGGGAAACTCCCATGAAGCTGGGAGAAGGAGAAAAGGCATAACAGGGGTGGAACCACAGGCATTTGGGTCACTTTTTCATGTAACTTACTTGTGTTTTCAGGGCCCACTTGGGACCAATCATATATACCACTTCATTTGATCATGGAGTGTTTCTTTACATGCCCAATTCTATGGCTTGATGGGTCAGACAATATCCAAACCATGATGGGCAGCTCTGGTTTCATGATAACTTGGTGGCCTGTGGTTACATGGTCAGTCTCTATTAAGACCCAGTAGCAGGCCAAGAGCTGTCTCTCAAAAGGAGAGTAATTACCTTCAGATAATGGCAGGGCCTTGCTCCAAAATTTTAAAGCCCTGTGCTGTAATTTGCCTACAAGGGCCTGCCAAAAACTCCAAACAGCATCCCCATCTGCCACTGACACTTCAAATGCCATTGGATCTGCTGGATCATATGGCCTGAGTAGCAGAGCAGCAGGCACAGCAGCTGGGATCTAGTGCAGTGTTTTCTTTTTCTAGGTCCCACTCAAAGCTAGCAACTTTTTAGGTCACTTGGGTAAATGGCCGCTATCTGGTTAAGTGTATCATAATCCACTGTCATTCTCTATGATCTGTCTTCTGCACAGGCCAAATAGGAAAGTTGAATGGAGATATAGTGGGAATCACTACCCCTGCATCTTTCAAGTCCTTCATGGTGGCACTAATCTCTGCAATCCCTCCAGGAAAGCAGTATTGCCTTTGATTTATTATTTTTCTAGGTAGAGAACATTCTAATGGCTCTCAGCCTTTCCTACCATAATAGTTCTCACTCAACATGTTCAGGGAGGCATTGTGAGGATTCTGTCAGCTGCCAGCTGGCAGAATCCATTCCAGTGAATTCTGGAACTCGGGGAATAACCACAGGATGGATTAAGAGGCCTACTCAACCCAGTGGAAGATGGACCTGAGTTAAAACTCCATTGATCACTCGACCTTGATAATCCATACAGAAGTTTGAGGTCTCTCCATTCAGAGCCAATGATATGGTTTAGCTGTGTCCTCATCCAAATCTCATCTTGAATTGTAGCTCCCATAATTCCCACGTGTTGTGGGAGGAATCTGGTGGGAGGTAGTTGAATCATGGGGCAGGTCTTTCCCATGTTGTTCTTGTGATAGTGAATAAGTCTTAGGAGATCTGATGGTTTTATTAAGGGGAGTTCCCCTGCACATGCTCTCTTGCCTGCCACCATGTAAGATGTGACTTTGTTCCTCCTTCCCTTTCTGCCAAGACTGTGAGGCCTCCTCAGCATGTGGAACTGTGAGTCAGTTAAACCTCTTTCCTTTATAAATTACCTAGCCTTGGGCATGTCTTTATTAGCAGCTAGAGAACAGACTAATGCAGTAAATTGTTACCAGTAGAGTGGGGTGCTGCTATAAAGATACCCGAACATGTGGAAGCAACTTTGAAACTGCTAACAGGCAGAGGTTGGAACAGTTTGGAGGGCTCAGAAGAAGATAGGAAAATGTCAGAAAGTCTGGAACTTCCTAGAGACTTGTTGAATGGCTTTGACCAAAATGCTGATAGTGATATGGACAATAAAGTCCAGGCTGAGGTGGTCTCAGATGAAGATGAAGAACTTGTTGGAAACTGGAGTAAAGATCACTCTTGCTGTGCAGAGACTGGCAGCATTTTGTCCCTGCCCCAGAGATCTGTGGAACTTTGAATTGGAGAGAGATGATTTAGGGTATCTGACAGAAGAAATTTCTAAGCGGCAAAGCATTCCAGAGGAAGCAGAGCATAAGAGTGTGGAAAAATTTGCAGCCTGACAGTGCAATAGAAAAGAAAAAATCATTTTCTGGGGAGAAATTCAAGCCTGCTGCAGAAATTTGCATAAGTAACAAGGAGCCAAATGTTAATCACCAAGACAATAGGGAAAATATCCCCAGGGCATGTCAAAGACCTTCATGGCAGCCCTCCCATTATAGACCTAAAGCCTAGGAGGAAAAAATGATTTCCTGGGCCCTGTCCAGGGCCCCCCTGCTGTGTGCAGCCTATGGACTTGGTGCCCTGCATCCCAGCTGCTCCAGCCATTTCTAAAAGGGGCCAAGGTACAGCTCAGGCCATGGCTTCAGAGGGTGCAAGCCCCAAGCCTTGGTAGCTTCCAAATGGTATTGAGCCTGTGGGTGCACAGAAGTCAAGAACTGAGGTCTGGGAACCTTTGCTTAGATTTCAGAGGATGTATGGAAGTGCCTAGATGTCCAGGCAGAAGTTTGCTGCAGGGGTGGGGCCCTCATGGACAACCTCTGCTAGGGCAGTGCAGAAGGGAAATGTGGGGTCAGAGCCCCCACACAGAGTCCCCACTGGGGCAGTAGCTAGTGAAGCTGTGAGAAGAGGGCCACTGTCCTACAGACCTCAGAATGGTAGATCCACTGACAGCTTGCATTGTCCCCCTGGAAAAGCCACAGACAGTCAACACCAGTCCATGAAAGCAGCCAGGAGGGGAGCTGTACCCTGCAAAGCCACAGGGGTGGAGTTGCCCAAGGCCTCGGGAGCCCACCTTTTGCATCAGCATGACCTGGATATGAGACAAGAAGTCAAAGGAGATCATTTTGGAACTTCAATGTTTAATGACTGCCCTATTGGATTTCAGACTTGCATGGTGCCTGTAGCCTTTTCATTTTGGCCAATTTCTCCCGTTTGAAACAGGTATATTTACCCAATGCCTGTACCCCCATTGTATCTGGGAATTACCTAACTTGCTTTTTATTTTACAGGCTCGTAGGTAGAAAGGACTTGCTTTGTCTCAGATGAGACATTGGACTGTGAACTTTTGGGTTAATGCTGAAATGAGTTAAGACTCTGGGGACTGTTGGGAAGGCATGATTGGTTTTGAAATGCGAAGATGTGAGATCCAGAAGGGGCCAGGGGCACAATCATATAATTTGGCCGTGTCCCCACTCAAATCTCCTCTTGAATTGTAGCTCCCATAAACCCATGTGTCATGGGAGGGACCTGGTGGGAGGTAATTGAATCATGGGGGTGGGCCTTTCCCATGTTGTTCTCATGATAGTGAATAAGTCTCATAAGACCTGATGGTTTTATAAAAGGGAGCTCCCTGGCACATGCTGTCTTGCCTGCTGCCATGTAAAACATGACTTTTCTCCTCCTTCCCTTTCTGCCATGATTGTGAGGCCTCCTCAGCATGTGTAAGTGTGAGTCAATTAAACTTATTTCCTTTATAAATTACCTAGCCTCTGGTATGTCTTTATTAGCAGCATAAGAACAGATTAATACAGCCAGTGTCCAGCAGTCCCCAAAAGTTCTGATTATTTCCTTTTCCCTAAAATAATTACCTTTTTAAGGCTATATGTTCCTCTGGGGAAAGCTGGAAAAAAGATTAAACAGTATAAATTTTCTATAGTATAATGAGGGCTCTTCCTTGAGTGGGCCCAGTCTCACTCAAGGGGTTCTGAGTCTGTAAAAAGCTCAAGTATGGGAATTGATTGAGGGGTCATGAGTCTGTTTTTATGATTCAAATTAGACTTTTGTTCACTTGACCTATAACTTTTCTGCTTATACAGATCAAGTAAGAATTTAGTAGGCTTCCTATCTATTTCACTCATATGAGCACCATGATCAATTAGCTAATGCCAGAGTCTGCAGGAGTAGACTGTTCTGACTGCTGCTTTGACTCTGCTGTCCATTACGGTAACACTGCCCACCTTACCTTTGGCTGTTTAGTGCCACTACCTGGTCCCTGCCACCCAATAATCCATTTATTCCCATTGTGTTTAGGTTCCCCAATTCAGTAACTGTGGTTCTTATTGTGAGGTCTGGTCTACAGAAAAGAGCAATCACAGAGGTCTTCAAGAATGCTGTGGCTCCTCTCGCAAATTTACTCCTCACAGTATTGGTGAAATATATGTCTTCTACAGCCTCCCAGTGTGGGTGAGTAGATCCTAAATGACAAAACCGCTCTAACACTCCAATCTCCCTAAGCCTTTGATTCCCTCCCTCTACATTAAACTAAGGTAGGTAGGTCATTTCCAATTTGCTCACAGTGGTACACCTTTGGATCTATGTTTCAGCCAATCAACCAACCAAACAAACTGTTAGAGCCCTTTCTAACTCCATGAACTGCAATATTAGATGCAAAATCTCTGCTTAGTGAGCCCATGTCAATAAATTCAGCCTGACCCAATTTTATGTTCCTTCCACAATTATCCCACACTTTTAGTATACAGCCCTACACATGTTCCATGGACTTCTGCCTACATTAATTTAAAAACTCAAGCAGTTCTTCTGACTATAAGTACTCTCTTGGGTCACACATGGCTCACCTTTAGGGGCCTGTTAGAACTTAAGTCAAGTTATAGGTCTGGAAGCAAAGAGGGATGGTGGGAGTGGGTCCTGAAGAGAATCAGCATTGTCTTCCAAGGCAGCTGCCTCAAGTGAAGTCATTACAATTTCCTCAGGCAATGCAGGGTTAATCCTCCTGAGACCCAAGTGGACAGGCTGATACCACTGGGATGATGATGCCATTACCTGAGAGTGGGAAGGCCATGGCCACTGGGTTTGAGGAGGCCATTTCTGCTGGGGGTAAGGAGGTCAATTCCACTGGAGATGGGGAGACATCTGCCACTTGCGAAGCAAAATAATCAGAATTTAGGGGCTCAGTGTCCCCAGCTTCATCAAGGTCTTCCCGCACCTTCCTATCCCAATTTACAGGATCCCATTCTTTCTTAATCAATGCCCTCACTTTTACCCTGTGAGGCTGGGAGCTCAATTTGCGTTGTAATTCAGTCAGCTGAAAGATAAGGTTCTGTGTTTGATTTTCAGCAATTTCAGCTCTGTGGCTACACATGATCAGGGTCTTTTTTAGGGCACACCAAGAAGCTCTTGAGTCATTTACGTAGCACTTGAACTGGGAGTCCCTGTTCAGCACGTCAAGTCCCTGAGCTCAGCTCATTAGGAACAACCAACCAATTCATTATATTTGTTCATTTTTCAGAAATATTTGTAAGTATTATATACAGATTCACCTAGATCCTTGCTTCTCATAGTTAGTTAAGCGTATTCTATGCAGCTATTTTGTGCATTTCTATAAACAGTTTACACCATGGACTGTCATTGCCCTCTTTACTACTGGAAATAGCATCATTAGTGTCTTTAATCAGATTAGAGATTCAATTTCAGAAACTCCAGAACTTATTTTAGAAAATTCATATTTAAAATTCTGGCCCTCTAGAACTACTCTCAGTATCAAAATCTGGATTAGGGTTCTCCAGAGAAACAGAACTCTCATGAAGGTCCTCTGGAAAACTCCAGTATGGATTTTGATACTGACGTACATAAATACACTTATCACGAGGAGTTAGCTCACATGATTGTGGACATTGAGAAGCCCCAGGATTTGCTGTCTGCAAGCTGAAGACCCAGGAAAGCCTCTAGTGTGATTCCATTTGACTCCAAAGGCCAGAGAACAAGGGGAGCTGAAGGTGTAAATCCCAGTCAGAGGTCCAGAGAAGATGAGAGAAGCTGTCCCACGTCAAGTAGGCAGGCAGGAAGCCAAAAGAAGCAAATTCCTCCCCTCTGTTTTGTTTTCTTCAGGCCCTCAGGGGATTGGATGATGCCCATCCACATCGGGAGGGCAGTCCTCTTTATTGAGTGCACTGATTCCAGTGGTAATTTCATCCAGAAACATCCTCCGGACTCTGCCAGGAACAATGTTTAATCAGGGCACCCTGTGGCCAGTCAAGTTGACACATAATTAACCATCACAGCCAAGTAGCCATGTTTAGTTAGGCCATGTTTTCCAAACTATGCACCCCCTCTGCATCCTAATATTTCAAGCGTTGAGCCAAAGTATTGCTCAAACAATATCAACAAGTGCTAATACTGCTTTTTTCCCAAATCACAGTAAATAACCAAGTTTTAAAAAATTTCACATATGTGCCCTTTATAATTTTTAAAATGTCTTTGGTCCCTGTGACCACTTGTCTAAACTAGAATTTAGTATAGGACACTGACTCTGCACTATTGATATAGTTATTTTAATTGACTGTCTCCTAAATAAGTTTGAAATTTACTGAAAAGACCACATGGTTAGTGGGAAAAGTGGGAAATTAGGCTGTTGACTATTGACATACACAAGGTCCTGAAAGCCTGGCTCAGTACAGTAGTGGTGTGCTAAGCACTGGGGAGACTTGGGTGGCTTTTGATCTGAGAAGCCCAATTATAGCTGTGCCATAGGGAGACTTCTTTGACCACAGGGCCCAGGAAAGATAACAGCAGAACTTCTCAAAATGTGGTCCTCTATCAACTGGATCAATACCCCCCAGGAACATTTTAAAGTACAGAGTGAACACCCAAGACCTCCAGTCAGAATTTCTGGGAGCGGGACCCAGGAATCTACATTTTAACAGTCTCCCAGATTTTCACGTACATTGAAATTTACGAATCAGCAGGTTGGAGATGGGAAAACCAGTTCGGTGGCTGCAGAGATTCTGCTAAAGAGAGGTGATGAGAGAATAAACTACAGGGATTTGATCTAGAATGAAACAAGTAATGACACGTGAAGGAAAAGCCAGCAATGGACAAGCAGCCAAGGGCTTCTGATCAGGTTGACTGAAGGATGGTGGGGCCTTTAGCAGAAACAAGGAGGATAGGAGAACATGCTAGGAGGGTAGGAGAAACATATGAATTTGGTCGAAGGTAATATATACGTTTGGGTTTGGCCACTATAAAAGTGAGGTGCTGGCAGGACGTACTAGCAGGCACGTGGGATGCTCTGTCATTAGCAGATATCTGTGTGGCATCGTACATCTATGGTCGACTTGTACGCCTAGAAACCGAGAGACATAATGAGGCTCGGGCCATGGGGCCGGTCTTCTGGGAGTCTATTAGCTTTCTCTGCTTGTGTCCAGAGATGATACCCATTGCCCGACAGCGATCTGCAGATTAGTCCATTAGTCACACAAAAGTGATGAGAACTGGGGAGAGGAAGATAAACTACCTGAAAACCAACTCATGGTTCCCACCGCACCGGGGCTGCCTGACAACAGCATTTTCCAAAAGGTACCACAGCATTATTACTCTTGAGCTCTGGTTGGGATCTCTGTGCATGTCCTCATTGCAATAGTGCACCAGCAGTTCACTTTCAAAGGCGGCTTCAAAATCCTCACAGCTGTGTTTTAAACCCGGCCAATTAGATTTCACTGGAAAGTCAGTCAGGGCCAAAACCTGGGAGTAATTTCAAGGACACCTTTTAAGACCAAAAGGCAGCCTTTCAGAATTGACAGTTTCTGTAGATCCAAGTTACACAGAGCCTTTCATCTGCACATTAGCAGATGCAGGACTAGGGGGATGGACTGGAAGGACTTATCTGAAACTGGAATCATCAGGTTTCCTGAAACACACACATTTTCTTGTTTAGCTTCCCATCCACCAAGGGGGTCACCTGGGGAATATCACTGCCAGAAATACACCTAGAGGTTTTCAATTAAAATAAATTGCCTCAATCTTTGCAAATTATACAAGAACCGTCAGTGTCATACCAAGGCCACAAACTCACTCTCAGGCGAGCTCCAGGGAGACAAATTTCAGAAACCACAGATGGGGAATGAAATCCCTTCGATGCTCATAACCTGCCCTCTGTGACCTTCTGAATGGAGTCACAGTGCCTGGTCTTCATAAGCCCCAGGAAGCCATCAGCAGAAGCTGTGGAAAATCCACCCAGGTGATCAGTCCTCAGGCCTGCTTTAGTCTCCGGTTGCCCAAGGTCTTCCTGTCTGTCTCAGAGGACTCCTAAGGCCAGCTTAGGGATCAGTGGCCTCACACATCCTTTTTCCAATCCAGCAAGCCTAACTCATCTCAAGGACAGTAAGCAACCCTCAAGTACCTCCCAGGTCCAAACCCTCCCTGGCCTCTGATCTTTATTGCCATCAGACTCTCCTGGGCACACAGAACAAGCAACACATATTTATGTTGCTTCCCACTCTAGATCATAAACTCACGTGTTGTGTTTTTCCTTTCTGGAATTCCCCTGCTAGCTCTACAGCCCCAAGAGAGGAAGTGTCCGGAGTTTGGATGAGTGACACTTGTATTGCTTACAGACTTTTCAAGATGTGAATATGTAAGATGATTCAGGACTATGCATGGTGACACATGCCTATGTCACTATATTAGTCTGCTAGGGCTGCCATAATGAAGTACCACACACTGGGTGGCTTAAACAACAGTTTTTTTCTGTTTTTTTGCTTTTTTTTTTTTTTTGAGACGGAGTCTTGTTCTGTCGCCCAAGCTGGAGTGCACTGGAGCTATTTAGGCTCACTGCAATCTCTGCCTCCCCGGTTCAAGCTATTCTCCTGCCTCAGCCTCCCAAGTAGCTGGGACCACAGGAGCACACCACCGCACCCAGCTGATTTTTGTATTTTTAGTAGAGACAGGGTTTCACCACGTTGGCCAGGCTGGTCTCGATCTCCTGACCTTGTGATCCGCCCAACTCAGCTTCCCAAAGTGCTGGGATTACAGGTGTGAGCCACCGTGCCCGGCCAAACAACAGTTTTTTGTTTTTTTGTTTTGTTTTTAATACAATTCTAGAGGCTGCGGAAGTCCCGGATCAAGGTGTCAGCAGCGTTGGTTTCCTTCTGAGGCCTCTCTCCTTGGCTTATAGATGGCCACCTGCTTCTAGTATTAATATTTTCACATGCTCATACCTCCGTGAGTCTGTACCCTAATCTCTTTTTATAAGGACACCAGTTAGATTGGATTAAGGCCCATTCTAACAGCCTCATTTAACTTTGGTTACCTCCTTAAAGACCCTATCTCTGAATTCAGTCCCATTCTGACGTCCTGGAGATTAGGACTTCAAACATATGAATTTGTAGGGACACAGTTCAGCCCACGACAGCCACATAACATGCACCCAGTGGAAATCCAAGCCCTTCTGCGCCTCGCCTCAGAGCCAGACTACCCACCGCCGTATTCCTCATGAGTTGGAGTGAGTTAGGGAAGACAGAAAGTTCAGTTAAGTCAGTTGCTTCTGGTTCACAGCTCTGGTAGAAAATTCACTGGGAGGAAGTGTTGGAAATTAATAGCTGGCAGGCTCCGGTCCTCACCTGTTTAGACCCCCATCTCCCTTGTCGATGGGCATCACCTAGCGCCTTTTACTGATCAGCTACCCTGGCTCAAAGCCATGACCCCCCAGCCTTCAGAGAAGAATCTCACAAAGGATTCACACACACCCCAGGTGACAGAAATTGCTGTGCCTGCAGTGCTCTAGCTATGTGCGGGACCCAAGCGCTCAGTCCAGGCCTGCTTGGAGCACGTGTGATCTCATCGGACAGAGGAGGCTGCGTGGAAGGCCCCATGTGGAGACGGGCCAAGGCACCGACCAGAGACTGCTGGAGGCTGCATGCAGCTGTTTGAAGAGAATTGGTTTGATCCTCACAACGGAAGAGCCAAAAGAGTTCACGAAATCTACTCTAAAAGGGCAAAGATACCTACATCTGTGTTGAAGAGAAGCACTGCTATTTGTGAGAAAGCACTGCAAGATGGAACAAGGTGTGGTGCCATTTAGAGGAGGGTCAGACCCGAGGCCCGGGTGAGAAACGCTTGGGGGAAGGTGGCCGTTGAGCTCAGTCTGGAAGGCTGCGGGCAAGTGGGAGGGGATCCCAGAAGTGGGGGGCATAGCCTGTACAATGACCAGATTCCAGGCCTGTTCTGACCCAAGCAAAGGCGAGTTTTCCAGTTGTATCCCCAGAGCTACACGCCCCAGAAAGAGCAGGAGCTGAAGGCAGTGCCTGTGGCCAAAATAGCGCCTGCAGACAGCGGGAGAGGCCAGCCTGTTCTCAGACTCAGCACCCCTTCTGTATCAGAACCAAAAACTGGCTCTCCACTGTCAGCATTATTGCTTTCCAGGAATCTCCTGTTTTGTAAAGTATTTTTGCCAAGATGTGATGTTTTGCAAGCCCTGCAGCCCATCTCCCTCCTCCTCTGTGAAACTGATGAAACCATTCATCTTCCAGCCCCAGGCAGCCTTACCCCACCCCAGCCTTACTCCCCAACTCACTCCAGAATCTGGCTAAGATCCAGGAGTCTCGGAGGCAGAAGACAAGCCCGTCTGTCTTAACCAGAACTGGTGACATGGAGGGGCTGTGGTATCCTCACAGCCTGGTGAAGACAACTGCCTGTTGGCAGACACTCCTAAGGGGCCTAAAAGTCTCCAAGACAGACCCTGCATTTGGCAAGAGACAGAGTCGGATCCTTTCTGAGTATATTTTGATATGAATCAAGGGCAAGGGGCCCTTTCTGAAATATTTGCTAGAGGGCCATATTTTAAACTCATTGCACTGCTCAGTGACTCCTGCCCCACATAAACTAATCAATACGGTAAATATTTATTCAAATTCCCATTTATGAGGCCAAAGGGAAAGTAGGTTGACCACAGAGGAAGTGCTTCATGCATGTTGATACCTGTACCCAGAAGTCATTTATCCCAGCCTTGCAAGGAAACAATAAATTTCACCAAGCCACTACCATGCATCAATCCAGGCAGAAACATCTTAAGGCTGGATGAGATGTTATTAATATCAATCAAGCTATGGGACACGCATTGTTCTAAAAATTGTACATGTACTAATGTACATAACCTGAAAGAGATTTCTATTTTACCACAAAAACATCAAAATCCTGCATTAAAAATGTAATACATTTTAAGAATATTTTAAAATTCAAAACCACACACCTGGGACTCTTTATGTCAGCATCCTGGGTAGTACCTCATGGTAGTATCGCTCCACCATGAATACTGATAACAAACTGTACCTTTAATACCTTAAGACTTTAGGCCTAAGGACTAAACCCAGATTGTTCTATCTCAGCGTTCCTGGGAGCCCTGTGAAAGCTAAAAGCGAATTCGGGATTTAGTCTATATCGTGTAGAGAATTCCCAGCTGCTGTTTGAGCCCTTGCTGAGCAGCCATGCCAAGAAATTACCCCAGACCTTTCTGGTGACCTAGCCAGGGCCCAGGAGAGAGAGAGGGCGGACAGGTCACTTTGTCTCCACTCTAGTTTAGCCAGGGCTAGGGTCATAACCTCCCCAGCAGCAAGCATGCAGCTTTGGGAGAAATAGAAAAGTAATCTAGTAAGAAAACACTGTAGGAGTTTAGAGGGCAAAATAGCTGCCACAAGACCTAAATGATGTCGGGATGCTTTTCAGAAAGTCTACTCTGTTCCCTACTTCTGGTGCAGTAGGAAAGACCATGTAAGATTGCAAAGTCATCCCCTGAGGGGATGAATGCCCTTAGCCCATGCTCTTGACAGGTGAATGCAAACTATTATGTAGTTGGACATGTTTACTTTATATGCATTTGTGTGTGAGTATGTGTCATGCCCAGGGGGTGTCCTCCTCTGTGGACTAGGGAGTGTTGAAAGTTTCCCCTCTCTTCCATCCTTGAAGGAATATGTGACTCTAATAGTGAGGCTTTCAGTTATCCTGTCTAACCTTTGTCAGCGAAGGGAAAATAGAAACCTCCAATAGAGCCCCATAACCAGCCAATTTTTTCACCTTAGCCTAGGACAACACTAAGTATGAACAGCAACACAGGTTAGGCAGTTGCCACTTTTCAGAGAAGCTTGCAGGAGGGTGGAATCCGATCCAAAATGTTTGCTGGGGGAGAGGAGACACAGAATGCAAATATATGGAGACCGTGAATTTATTCACATTACAACTCAGAGATTCAAAGAAACTATTCTTTATTGTCTCTATAGCTTCATCTGATATTTCTCATGAGACGCTAGCCTGCTGGGCAGTAGGAGCTACTAAGATTGGCCAATTGACAATAGTTCAGGGTTTTTCCAATTTAAACTGCCTCCTTTCAATTTAAACATTGAGTCTATTTATTCAAAGTTCAATTCCCTTTAGGGTAGCTCGTATTTTAATAGCCTGTATAGGACAGCTCAGATTTCCTCCTGTGGTTGCTTTGTTCCTTTCCAATATGGCAGCCAGTGTTGGAGGAAAGATGGAATTTTCATGATTTTGAGGAGGGAGGGAGTCATCTCTGAACCCCGCTACTGGAAAACTTCCCTAGCCAGATTTCCTTATCAACTTCTGCCTGACACTTTGAGGGCACCCAGGCACTTCTGTTGGTCCATTCCATACTGGCATTGAAGGCATCTAAAGAGGCTAATCTCTGGTTTTCCCTCTGCCTGACCCATTGAATTGATGTGTATTGCCCAGGCTGGTGCAGGGACAGGCTATGAAACAGTCTCCTGCTAGAGTCGTAAACGGTGTTTCTCAGTTTATCCAACAGTCCCCCTCCACCATCAACTCTGGGAGTGTGATGATGACAAGGGATATTAGGGCTGGGGCTTGGTCTCTCACCTCCCTTTTTACTGTCAGCCCTCTGCCAATCCTTCCATGCCCTATGGAAGTGGCCAAAAGCAGGGGTCCTCCAAGAGGTCTGAAGCCCCCCCCCCCTTTTTTTTTGAGACGGAGTCTTGCTCTGTCGTCCAGGCTGGAGTGCAATGGCATGATCTCAGCTCACTGCAACCTCTGCCTTCATGGTTCAAGTGCTTCTCCTGCCTCAGCCTCCCAAGTAGCTGGGATTACAGGCACCTGCCACCACGGCCGGCTAATTTTTTGTGTGTGTGTGTTTTTATTAGAGACGGGGTTTAGCCATGTTGGCCAGGCTGGTCTCGAACTCCTGACCTCAAGTGATCCGCCCACCTCAGCCTCCTGAAGTGCTAGGATTACAGGCGTGAGCCACCATGCTCGGCCTGAAGCCCATTTTTATATACCTGTGAAGGCACGTCACTAGTCTTGATTTTTTGGCCTTCTCATGGCTATCTGGATGTTTCTGGTGGCCCCATGGGTTACAAGTTTGTGATCAAGATCCCTGATCCTGACCCAATTGTCTTCCTTTTTGTTTCTTCTTTGCACTCACAATTCCAGGTCCACATAGGGTGGCCTTCAAGCTCTTCTCATAGATCACAGCTTTCCCCTGCCCAGGAGCAACAAGCCTCAAAGCCTACTTGCCACAGGCTGAAGTCTGTCTCTTCCATAATTATGGAAAAATTTTAGAATATGAGTCTTCCAGTTCTGGGTTTTAAAATGTTAATACATTTTGAAAATCCTCTTCCTCTCTAAAAAATCTGGATTTCAAGACTATTGTCTTCCTGCAAAATTCTATTTTCGATGTCATAAACTTCCTTTCTCTGTGCATCCTGACATAACAATTCCGATTATTTCCCAACCTCCCTGAGGGGCAACAGATGGCTCAAACTGCATAAGGAGAACTGGGGGGAAGTTCTGCCCACAAAAATGCCAAAGGGAAAAGCACATGAGTAGTTTGCAAAAACAAAAAGCAAACAACCAAAAAAACAAAAAATCCTATCCCCGTTTCATATACCTATTACTGAGACTCAGTCAAATGCCTGTCCTCACCCTTATTTGCTCCTGTTCTCAGAACTACATGAACACTTTGGTGGATGAGAATGGGTTCACCAGAGGCCCAAAGCCTGCCCCATCTGGTGTCTCCATGGAATGATTACTCATCTCTGCCTCTCCTACTTCTCAAACTGTCTAGTCAGAACCTACAACAGTCATATGACCCCACCACAACGAGAATCGGGTACTTATGACTATGACAGGAACTTGAGGGACAATATGATGTCTTTTCAATGTCAGAAATGACAAATGGGGCTTGACTTAACAGTTGTACAAAGTTACCAATTTATGGCTGATCTCTTTTGCCACATGATGAAAAGGTGTTCAGACAAACTGCCACAACTGTCTTAAAGACTCTGCAAAGGAGAGAACACAGGCCAGATGTGGTGGCTCATGCCTGTAATCCCAGCACTTTGGGAGGCCAAAGTGGGTGGATCCCCTAAGGTCAGGAGTTTGAGACCAGCCTGACCAACATGGTGAAACCCCGTCTCTACTAAAAATACAAAAATTAGCTGGGCATGGTGGCGGGCACCTGTAATCCCAGCTACTCGGGAGGCTAAGGCAGGAAAATTGCTTGAACCCAGGAGGCAGAGGTTGCAGTGAGCCGAGATCACGTCATTGCACTCCAGCCTAGGTAACAAGAGCGAAACTGTCTCAAAAAAATAAAATTAAATTAAAAAAGGAACACAACTGTGTGGATTTCTCAATGCCCTTTGTATGGACGATGCAGTCACGAAAATTCAGGGAAAACCAAAGAGAACAGAGCACAAGTACAATGCACTTGGAACTTTTTCATTCACCAACTTCTCTAGGAGCCACTTCAAAGAGACAGAACTATTGTTATTTCTTATGTTGTCCTGTATGCCTGCGGCAACTTAGTTTTCAAAGGACTATCACACCTACTAGCTCCTTTTATCCTCTCAAAGCCCCATGAGGTGGGTACAACAAGTGCAGTCATCTCCTTTGACAGATGTGTCAGCCTCTAGGGCACACCAAGGTAGTGTGAGATGCTCCAAAGAAACCCAGGTGACTCCCAAAGAGAGTTCTTTACACTGTGTCGCAAAGAGGCAATTGGACCTAAATCTTCATAGAAAGATGGAAAGTTGAGTGATATTGCTGAATGGTTTAGAGTGAGACAACAGGTATCTGTATATTTGTGCTGGACCTAGGTTCTCATCCTGCTTCGGCCACTCGATGGCCATGCAAGTTTCAGAAAGTCATTGAACCTCTTCAGCCTTAGTTTCCTTGACCAAAAAATAGGAATAAAAATAATATCTGCCCTACTCTCCACACAGGATGGCCAAATGCATCAAAATTAAGCAGCTGTGGGTGCTGTATTTATGGAGGAATTTTTGGACACAATCAACCTTCAGAGGTGGGTCTATGACTACTTAATACTGATAACTACAACAGGCCCAGGCTTCTGTCTTTTCTAGTCACCATTTTATATATCAATCCTGGCTTTCTGCTTCCTTAACTCAAGAAAGAAAGAGGAAAAACGTGTGTAATCGATACAAACTAGTCCTTTTATCCTTGCTTACAGATGACTGGAGGAAGAACATAGCATAAATATGGTGAAGGATGCGGCTATTCGGGTCCTTGGTCTGTATATTAGAAGAGCACTTTACAAGCACTTTTACATACTTTTCTGTCAACCAAGTCAGTAAGCAGGACAAATAGCACCACCTGGATACAAAGACTGAAGAATGGAGCTGAGGACTAGTGTGACCTGACCACAGGGCATTGAACTCAACTCTCCCAAGAATTCCCTAAGTCTCTCCTCCTCCCCCTGTGCTAGGTTTGGGGTTGAAACTTGAGCACTTGAGACAAAATATTTGAGCAACTTGAATGAATGCATTCTTTCTGAAATTCAGCCATAGTCACCATCACTGTTCCTTAAGCACCTGGTATTTACGGAGCTTCATGTCGATTTACAAATATATGCTCATCTCCTGTTAGTGGCTCAGCATTGTGCTAGGGCCCAAAAGCGATGTTGAAGTACAGTGATTGGTGGCTTCCCATGGTTTATAAGTGTATTTGCAGAAACCCCCCAAATATGTGAAATAGTAATAAATGGTTTGGGCCAGAACTGCAACCAGCACTGGGCATGTCACTCACTATAAGAAACGTAATGAAATAACGAGAGATTGGATCAATCATTTAAAACGAATTAATGGGAAACATACTATGAAGGGCTAGGTTTTGTGGTTCATGATATAAACAATAAAGGGGTTTGGATGGAAAACAGACCAATTAAAGTGACTACCGTTAGAGGAAGTGTCATGGAAAAGGAGAGACTTAACTGGATATTAATAGATCAGTAAAAATATTATGTCAAGGAAAAAGGTGAAGCTATGCCTGATAGGAGGAAAAAAAGAACAAAATCCCAGAGACAGGATATGTATAAGGCATGCATAGTACAGCAGTGTGCCGGTAAAGGTTCAGCAACCCTCTCTTGGTGGGTGAGGGACTTGATTAGTAGCATTTGCCAATTTCCAAGGCATAAACACTCCCAATATGGCTAATCTCAAGTGACCAGCATGACATCACGGAATGGGTAGTTGGAAGGGATGGGCATTAGCAAACCATCATAGAGTATTTCCACCATTAAGATACAACAGCCGTGCATGATCTCAGGAGCACAGATAATGGTAAAACTATTTGGAAGCTATGAGTTTTAAGTATTTATTAACTTTTTAAACCTAATTTATTTAATTGTAAGTTTATATCATTTACTGTATAATGACAACTGTGTTTACCAACTGGCTCACAAGCTTCCTGAAAATTTTAGCACAGGCTCTTGAGAGCCTGTATGAGAGAGAGTTCCTGCACATGATTATGGCCCAGATTCAAAACAGGAAAACCGTCCCACGGGAATGATTCATGCAGGAGGTTTGAGGGAAATAACATTCACTTCATAGAGCCAGATCATAAAGACCAAGAAAGACAAGGAACCTGGTGTAGAGGGAATGTAGTAGGATTGAGAGCCCCCAAGCATGGAGCTGCCATGATGTTTCAGGAAGCTGGAGGGGGGTGCACAGGACAGACTGGGGAAGGAGTGTGCACTCAAAGGCGGGGCAGGAAGAGGAGCTTAAAATTGGGGTGACAGATTGGGTGGAGATGGGGAGACTAACATGAGGGATATCTTTAAGTAAACCCAGCACAATATGGCACCCAGCTTTGGGAATTCAGAGAAGGGCCCATTAAAGGTGCAGGAGGTAAGTCTGGTTGGCTGAGAGGGGAGTTGCTGCTGAGAGAAGGAGCTGACCTGAACATCCTGGGAAGGAAGATGAGTTCTCAAATCTGCTGCATGGGAGGCAATGGCCAGGGAGATGCACCAGGGGAAAGGTCTACAGCAGTGACACTGTGGACAACTGTCAGGAGATACAAGGTTGGAGCCTGTGGGAGAGGAATGTGATTGGAAATGTCCATTTTGGGGTTTCAGTCCAGAGCTGGCAGAAGCCTTGAGATGCATGAGCTCTCTGGAGAAAGACACACAGAAAAGAAGGCTTAAGCTTGGCACACACTGGCATCTGAAGGCAGGAGGAAGAAGAGCCACAAATGTTTCCAGATAAGAAGTCCCCAGAGGGTAGAAGAACTAGAGAAAAGGTCTCAGAGACCAAGATGGGGCCATTTCCCAAAGGGAAGTGTATGTCCAATGCATTAGGGTTGTTGGCTAAGCTAAAATAGGGAAAAATAAGTTCTCCTCTCTCAGACAGGGATGTTAGCTAGGCTAAAACAGAGAAAAATAAGTCATTTCTCAGAAAGAAAGAGTAATGGAATTTACAGCGGTGTGCTGGTAAACGTTCAGCAACCCTCTCTTGGTGGGTGAAGGACTTGATTAGTAGCATTTGCCAATTTCCAAGGCATAAACACTCCCAATATGGAGAGTTGCTGTCAAGAGAAGGAGCTGACCTGAACATCAGAGAAAAAGTAATGGAATTTAATTCCACCTCATGAAGATAAACCAAGTCCACTACTTGGGGCAGAAGCTGTTCTTCTGGCCTGGGTTACCTGGAAGGTGCCTCAATGTTGTACCTCACTGTGCTATGGAGGCACAGGCTCTTTGTTCCAAGGAGGGGCACCCAGTCAGTAAAAATGTGTGTTGGGAAATCTCGCCGCACTAAACGTGTTCCAGAAACTTCTCAATAGTCAACAATTTAAAAGCTTGAGATCATAGAAGTTAAAAGTCTAATAAGCAACTAAAAGGAGAGTACAATATATGCAGCCTTAGAGATATTTTTTCTACCCTAGGAATATAAAATTGCAATTTGTGAAATAATCTGGTAGCTACCTTGATTGCAGTTGTTTCCTTTTAGAAAATTCTCCATGAAACCTAAAAACACAAGTCTCGTTCCTTTAGAGGAAATCTTTTTTAAATGTCCAAAAATAATAAAGTATGAATACAGCAGTCCTCTTGAAGGAATGTGCTGTATACATCCATTGTCCGTTACAAACACCAGAGGTACCACACGAGGTCTTTAGGGATTACTATATAAATAATGAACACTCTTAAAAATGCAAAATCCAGTTCAATAGCGCTTTCATTGCTCTTATTTTGGATTATGTCTATTGAGAGAGAAAGCAGATTTCAAGCCAAATGGAGAGAAAGATAATACCCCATATATCGTGTTTAATTTAACATATTTAACAGAAATAACAAAGACAAGGCTTACTCTACAGCTTAGCTTTTTCAGATTTAGTAATTCCAGTAATGCTTTTGCTTCATGAAGTGCTGAAAATAAAGCAAGAATATTTACATTCTTGTTTTATTTTATACAATGCTTCTCATCATTTCCCTGTTTGTGTAGTCTTATGTATGTTCTTTCTTTTGTTCCTAACCCTTTATAAGGACAACCCAAAAAAACCCTATGTTTTTTTCATTTTTGTTCTTGAATGATAGAATGTTTCTTAACTCTTTATGATATATATTAAAACCACCCACATATTGCTGCACCAGGCTTTAATTAGGGGAAGATTTTTTTCCCTGATTGCATCTCCTTAGCTACATGGATTGTGCTACAATCAGGAGAACAACAGGGGAAATGAATAAAAATGACAAAATTGTTTGTTGACAGGGCTTTGGGGAAGAAGACACACTCAACTTTGCTGGCGGCACCATAAATTGAAAAAAGAAATCATTTCAAGAGCAATTTTGCAATATGTGACATGTCATAAAAATTATCCTACTCTTTGACCTAGTAGGGCTATTGGAGAAACATGTCCCAAGGAATAATTCCAAGGAAACAAAAATATCTGTAAAAAGATGTGTTGAGCCCTCCCATATAGTAAAATGAATAATTAGAAACAGCCCAGGTACCCAACTGTGAGGAAATGGCTTAGGCAGACTGTACTCTATTAATATAATGGAATATTAAGTGGTCACTAGGAATGACAGTTATAGAGATGATTATGCAATCTGAGGAGTATCATGCAAAATCATTTTAAATGGCAAGAGGAGAAAACATAGCAATGCACAGAGTGAAAGACAGCATTTCCTGCCTCCATAGGAGAGTGTGTGATGTAAAGAACTGGGGATGTAGCAGTTCAGTTACTGCAATTCCTCAGCTTTTATTTCACTTGCCTTTTAGATGGGCCTGTTTGACCTTCATTGCTTAGTTTATAAATCCTACTATTCTCAACTTGTAGGCTGCACACTCTCCTGAGAAGGGAGAGGCAATGCTAGAAGGTGGAGGCATGCATAATTTAAAAACAGTGTAGTGTTTCGCCCAATTGTGTGTGTGTGTGTGTGTGTGTGTGTGATTATGTATAGTTGAATTTGAAGCTCAAATAATATTTTTAAAGAATGTGAGCTTTGTATGTTTATCAAAAGCGAGGCTTTAAAAGGTTGAGAAAAAGTTCCCTCTTTTAACTTGTCCTAGGTACTTATGAAACTATTTAGTGCCATGTAAATTGGATCTGCAGATATTCCATTGAAATTGCCCATATTGAAGCAGTCTAGCCTGCCACAATTATCTTGAGGTGCAAGGAACACAAAAAAGAATTGCCTGTCCAACAATTTGCTAAGGAAGAGGGTTTACGTGAGATAAACAGGCTGCTGGTCTGTCTCGCCGAGATGGCAATATGGTCATACAGTCAAAGACAAATTTTTAAAGGGAATTTTAAAATGTTACTAAGGGCAGTGGACTAAATGGAAGACCAAATATTCTCTGAGTGTATGACTAAAAAGTCTCATTATTTTGTTACATACTTAGATGGAACTTCTGCCATATCTGTGTACAATGAGCCCTCCCTACGTCCAGGCTCTGGGACTCAGCCCACCACCTCCTCTGAGTCCTGCTTCATCAGGGTTCCATCTGTCGCTAGCTCCTCCACTGCCATCTCCAGTGGCTTCTTACTCCGTTGTCCTTAATCTAAATGAAACTTACACTGGATCTTTCCTTTTCCCTTCGGACAGTGGTGTGCCAGTAAATGTTTAACAACCAGCTCTCTGGAAAGAAGAGCTCTGACTTACAGCCTTTGCCAATTGCCGTGGTTTAAATACTCCTATCATGGTTGAGTTCAAGCTACCAACATGACATCACCGAATACAGAGGAGAAGAGGTGCGTAATCAACAGCACAAGCATCATGTAGTATTTACACACAGGGACAATAAAGTATAGATAATAGTAAAATGAAATAAAATCATTAGAAAATGAGGAGTTTTGAATATTTATTATCATTGTTTTTAATACAATGTATTTAATTGTAAGCTTATAAAATTTAATTTTAATCTAATCAAAATTTAATTGTAACGAATTACAAAATTTTATTTAATAATAGCTCATGAAATTCCTGAAAAGTTAATAATCAGCTCTTGAAAGCCGGCCCTAGCACATAGCTCTAACACACCACTGCATCTCTCCATCAAAATTTGGATCATAAAACTATTGTGTCACAGGATTTCATGGTCATTTGACACTGCCCTCCTTGAAGTGTTCTCCTCCTATGGTTTAGGGCAGCATGCTGTGGTGGTTTTCCTTTGATACTTCCAGCAAGTCTTCTTCATCTCCTGCCTTGGTTCCATCTCTCTCCTTTAACCCCCTTTGCATATTTGTGTGCACCCAATTTTCATTCTTTTTATTTGCTGAGCCAGGGTCTCACTCTGTCACACAGGCTGGAGCGTGGTGCCATCACAGCTCACTGCAACCTGCAACTCCTAGGCTCAAACAATCCTCCTGCCTCAGTCTCCTGCATATTCTCATTCTCCACCTGGGTCTCTTCCCTGAGTGATCTCATTCACATCTACCAACAACATATTAACGACTCCAACATGATTCTAGCATCTGCAGCCAAAAACCTGACTTGTCTCCAGGTGCAAAATGGCCCATGGGCGTCACCTCCTGGATCTTTATTTTTCTGCTTTCTTTCATACCTCTTTACCCAAACTTGATATTTCTCCTGCATTCCTTATCTAGGTCAAAGAACATTTCCACTCATTCATTAATTCAGTCGTAAATACTGATTGCATATTTAATATCAGCTAGGTACAGTTTTAGCCATGTATTCATGAAATACAATAGAGAGAAAAGTCACCAAAGGCCTCAAGAAGGCAGTTAACAAAACAAACAAGCAAACAAAGACCAGATATATCTTATAATGTCAATGACAATAAACATGGTGAAAGGCAAGGCATTTTAAAGACATCCTTGGTTCCTTTCTCCTTTACTCCCTACATCTGCATGGATACTAAGACCTATGCCTCGACTGGCTCAATATCCCTTGAATGGAGGCTTTCCTGCCTCTCCAAATTGGCATTGCCTTAAGTTGGGCATTAGCACCTGTGACTTCCCACCCCTGACCTGGCCTTCCTGTTACAGGTTCTTGCCTGATCCGTCCTCCGTATTTTCTCTGGTGCTTTTCAAAATTATCCCCTCCGCTTGTTAAATACCTCATGGGGTCCTTTAAGCACTGTAGGATAAATTCCTTGACATACTATGACAAGGGAACTAATTTCCCTAGTTATTTACCGTGTGTGAAATGCTCAGTGAACATGTATTGTACACACACAGGCACATGTGCACACAGTGCACACACAGACAGTTTATTTACATGTATACATATATACTATATAGTTACACATATATACTATATATGTGACTATTTGGAATATAGATGTAAATATATACTATATGTGACTATATGGAATATAGATATAAATAAATCCCTTATAGTAGAATAGATGTATGTATTCCATATAGTCACAGAAAGGATGCCATTATCCTTCTGACAGCTTGGTGAATCCACATCATTTTTCACTTTGTACAGGAGCTAGACCTTTTCATAATCTGGCCCAACCTTTCTCCCTGAAGTTTCCTCTCCTGCCCCACCCCCGGCTCACCTAAAATCCCGTCTCAGTGACCTACTTTTCCATCTGACGTCATTTTCACACCTTTGAGCTTTTGCTCACGTTGTCTCTTCTTCCAGGGATGCGTTTGCTTCACTTTCTCTGCCCGGCGAGACTCAACCATCCAGACGCCTCTTCTTAGGGAAGGCTTCTTCCCTCCAGCCCACACCACCATCCTTTTGCCCCAGGAAATCTCCCCCTCCTTGCCACTGCCACAACCCTTTGCTCATAACACCTTTTTGTTGAGCACCTACAATGTGCTAGGCACTATTCCACTATTCCAGAGACTGGGAATGAGTGGTGAATAAAGCTAAGTCCCTGCCCTTGTGGAGTTGGTATTCTACTGGAAAGAAATGGAATAGAAACACCATAATTTCAAATAGCAACACATACTGAAACAAAAATAAAATAAAGCAATAGGTAATGAGATGGAGGGGGGTGAGTCCAGGTGTATCAGTCTGCTCAAGCTTCCGTAACAAAATACGACAGACCAGGTGGCCTAGACAGCAGAAATGTATTGTCTCACACTTCTGGAGTCTGGAAATCAAGATCAAGGTGTTGCCAGGGTTGGTCTCTTCCGAGGTCTCTCTCCTTGGTTTGCAGATGGCCGCCTTCTCACTATGTCCTCACATGGTCTTTTTCCTCTGTGTGTTCACACCCCTGCTGTCTCTTCATGTGTTCAAATTTCCTCTTCTTGTAAGGATACCAGTCAGATGGGATAAGGGCCCACCCCAACCATCTCATTTTAACTTAATTGCCTTATTCAAGGCTCTATCTCCAAATATAGTTACAGTCTCAGGTGCTGTGGATTGAGGCTTCATCATATAAATTTGAGGGGGACCCACAATTAAGCTCCTAACAGCCAGGAAACTGCCCTTCCTCCCCAGGTGGGGACAATCACAGCACATTAT
Organism: Homo sapiens; assembly: GCF_000001405.40. Taxonomy (NCBI): domain Eukaryota; kingdom Metazoa; phylum Chordata; class Mammalia; order Primates; family Hominidae; genus Homo; species Homo sapiens. The sequence continues at coordinate 34,267,812 of NC_000021.9, read as the reverse complement.
CAAAAGGTAGCATAGCCATCTGTGTCCACACTCATCTCCCACATGAGTCACTGTGCAGTGAGTGTAAGGATCATGTCTTACTTCTCGTTGCCCTATATCACCTAGCATATATGCAATAAGTGTTTATTGAATAAATGCATAAACCAATTGGCTTTTAGAGACAATTCGTTTTGGGCTCAGAATCCAATCAGTTGTCCATATTTCAAATTCAAAAAAAAATCATCTGATAGCTTAGTAGAAAATCCTAGTGACACAATAGTGTGCCTAATTTTAAAGCTATTCATATCCAAGCCACCTGAATGGCTCACACTTTTCCCATTGGTCTTTCCAGTGGGCATTGTACCACATCCAGCCATCTGACAAGGAGAGTAAATTGCATCTGATTTTCCAGTTTTGAAAGCTTGAGGATTATTTCTGGCTTGGAAGCAGTTCAATCCCAGGAATATCGATGCCAGCATCTGTACTAAAGTTAATTTGTTTCTCCATCTGTGCCATTTGTGAATCTACCCATTTGAACTCTCGGGAAAGGGAGGTAGCTGGGTGAACCCTACAGTTAGAGAAGACAGTAAGCAGGTGGCTTCCTCTCAGGGAACGCACAGAGCAGCACCAGAGGGAGAAACACAACTGTGAGACATCAAATCGTTCTTGACACTCTCACAGAATACATGCAGCAGATGGAGAGGGAAAGGGATTGAGAATTTTCATCCTCCTACCTTGAAAGTAGAGTAGTGACTTAGGCAGATCACAAGCACGATCACATTTCACATTATATGTGGCTCCGTAATTAACATTACTTTTGTTTCAGTGGGAAAATAGCACATATTCTTTTATCACTAGTACAAGAAGAAATATTATTTTAGGTTCTAGTTCTGTGTTCTCAATTCCAGTATCCTTACCCTTTATAGATTTGCTCTCAGTGAATTCAGATTTGTGTGTGCGTGCACGCATATATTTTATTACTTAAACAGCCTACCATTTTGTCCAAAACATTTTAAGCAACTTATAAAACCACTTAAAATATAATAAGATTGTATGACTTAAAATTGGATAAAATTTTTGCATATGGCCTTTACTTGAAATGAGATAGACTTTTTGTACTAGATCTTTCTCACTGAGATTTGCTAAAACATAATTAAATCCTTCTGTATACGTATTTGATGCTCCAAAGAAAATAATGCTGCTAACAGAAGGCCAGCATAGTATCTCTGGGAATAGGGAAGATTATGTTCCATGTTTCAGGCACATTTTTGCACAACAAATGAAAGGGAATTGTCTTGTGTGAGGAACAGTCATGAAGTTCTAAATGCTTTAGTTTCTCAACCTTGGTGTCAAGACCTCTCAATTCATGCACATGTACAGTCCAGCATGTCTCCAATTACTGTTATGATGGGCAGGGAGGGAGGTGGGGTGGAAGACTGAGAGGTTAGAACATTCTCTAAAAGGAAAGCTACTCCAGTTTTATTTCATATTGGACTGTTAGGGAGTTGTGGGAAGTGGGGAGTAGTTGGAAAAGAAGAGAAACAATAGGGGATTTCACAACAATGAAACACTGAACCATAACACCAAATACTGAGGACCATGGACGGTAGACTGGTGGCAGGATATGACGTAGGAGTTAAGAACACAGGTCTGGTTTCAAAGTGGCCAGGTTCTAGCATCAGCTCTGCTGTTTGCTAGCTGTGTGACCTTGCCAAAAGTCACACACTTAACCTCTTTGGATCCAACTATACAAGGTGTTTCTTATTCTTCACTTCCTTTTTGAAGTGAGTCAGGCTAGAAGAGCTCTTGAGAATATTCTTGTCTTCTTCTGTTCAGTGTTGCTATAAAGGAATTCCTGAGATTGGGTAAATTATAAAGAAAGGTTTATTTAGCTCATGGTTCTGCAGGCTATACAAGAAGCATGGCACCAGCATCTGCTCTACTTCTGGCAAGGGCCTCAGGCTGTTTCCACTCATAGCAGAAGGCAAAGTGGAGCCTGTTGTGCAGAGATCACATGGCCAGACGGCAAGCAAGGGGGAAGGTGCCAGGCATGTTTCAATAGCCAGCTCTTGAGGGAACTAACAGAGAAAGAACTCACTTACCCCCAGGGGAGGGTATTAACCTGTTCACAAGGGATCCACCTCCATGACCCAAACACCTCCCATTAGGATCCACCTCCAACACTGGGGGTCAAATTTTAACATCAGGTTTGAAGGGGACTAGTATCCACACCATAGCAATTCCCTTTCAGTTTTCAGCAGCATAACATAACAAAAAGGTGCTCAAGAAGCTAGTGGAGATGTGCTGCCCTCCTGGGAGCTGGCTGGGGAAAAGTTTATTCTGTTTACTTCTGTTTATCCTGTTATTCAGTGTGGGCCCTGGGGGGATTAAGCCAAGGCCTGGGCCTCCAGGGGCCTATCTAGATTCTCCATTAGCTTGTCAAGCTTTGCCCTGAATAGCTCATTACTAAAAATGTTGACCAAAAAAAGACTTTGTGCATCTTTTTGGAATACCTGGTTCTCTCCCTTTAGTGTTTTACAAACTGTCTTAGTCCTTTTGGGTTACTGTAACAAAGTGTCACGGACTGGGTAGCTTATGAACAACAGACATTTATTTTGCACAGTTCTGGAGGCTGGAAGTCTAAGATTGGTGTGACAGTCTGGTCTCGTCCTAGGGAGGGCTGTCTTCCAGGCTGCAAACTGCCAACCCCTCCTTGTGTCCTCACATGGAGGAAGGAGAAAGAGCACCCTCCAGAGTCTCTTCTCATAAGGGCACTAATTCCATTCATGAGGGTCACCTTCATGACCTAATCACCCCCAACAAAAGCCCCACCTCCAAAGACCATTACACTGAGAGTTAGGGCTTCAACACAAACATTTGGGGAGATACAAACATTCAGTCTATAGCACAAACCACCATCCTAAATTTGTGGCATCGTATTTGCTCTTGGGAAAAGCAGACAGATATGGCCCTAAAGTGTGAACTCTTTGAATCCCTTTAGAATAAGCCAGCAGCCATGAAGCAAAAGGCCCTCATCAATCTTTATATTTTTCTTTCTAATTTTCTATAAACTATTGTTTTCAAACCCATTATTAAAAGTTTCCTTCACATACGAGCTCTCTAGG